>NC_000023.11:4012488-4637488 GCF_000001405.40 Homo sapiens | reverse complement strand
CATTAAGAATGTTTTGCTGTACTATCTTCACAAAAAGTAAAGTCAACTAAATGATGTTCTGTTCCCAACTCAGCAGTTAAATATTTGTTTAAGAAACATGGAGGAGAAACAGAAAGATGTATTGGAAAGTTATGCGTCTGAAACTAAATTATCAAGCCTCCAAGTCTTTTCCACAAACTGGTAAGTAACTTATTTTCAGTATGACAAACAGATATTTTTGTCAAATTTTTAATTATAAATAAAAAGATACATGTGAATTCCTGCCTAGTAGTTTTCTTTTAATTTTTATCATGTGAGTTTCCATTGAGAGGGGAAGTTTTCATTCCCTATGTGAACAAATTTGAAAATACAGACTTTTATTTTGCTTTTTGAATAATGGTTTCTTATCTTAAATTAGAGAACAATTAAAATTGGAACACTGTCTCTTTAATGAATAATATGATATATGGCACCAATTAAAGCTGCATAAATATTTGTTGATCAATGGTGTATATATATGACATAAACTATTTGATAATTTTAATTAATCGCACATGAGAAATAAAAAATAGTAATATTCTATAACGAAACACAATGTAGTATTCATCATGTCCTAAATATGAATTCACTGCTGGATGCTAATTGTTATAAAATATTGACAAATACAAGTTTTTCCCTTCTAAATATTTTAAGACATTCTTTCTATTTCCTCTGAATGTATTTAACCAACTACTTGCCTACTTGCTCTTTGTTTATTTTTTTGAGACAGGATGTTGCTCTGTGACCCAGGCTAGACTGCAGTGGCACAATCATGGCTCACTGCAGCCTCAACCTCCTGGGCTCAAGCAGTCCTGCTGCAGCTTCCTGAGTAGCTGGGACAACAGGTACATACCAGTGCATCAAGCTATTTTTCTTTAAATTTTTGTAGAGAGTGAGTCTTGCTGTGTTGCTCAGACTGGTCTCAAACTCCTGGGCTCAAGGGATCCTCCCACATTAGCCTCCTAAAGCAGTGGGATTACAGGTGTGACCCATCATGCCCAGCCTCCTTGTTCTATACTTAATTGAAATACCAGTGTTCTTGCATTCATAATATTATATTGCCTCCTCTATTTACAACCGCTTTGCATTTTTCTTCATTTCCTACTTATTTCACTTGTTGACTTTTAATGAATTAGATACTGAATCTCACTCTATAAAAATGTTTTTTTCTAAATATAGGCAATTATTAAACATCTCATACAGCTATCTTATAAAATTACGTATTGTAATCCTAGCACTTTGGGAGGCCAAGGCAGGTGGATCACCTGAGGTCAGGAATTTGGCCAACATGTTAAAACCCCGTCTCTACTAAAAATACACACACACACACACACAAATAGCCAGGCGTGGTGGTGGGCACCTGTAATCCCAGCTACTCAGGAGCCTGAGGCAGGAGAATTGCTTGAACCCAGAGGGCGGATGTTGCAGTGAGCTGAGATCACACCACTGTACTCCAGCCTGGGCAAAAAGAGTGAAGCTCCATCTCAAAAAATAATAATAATTACGTATTGTGCCTAAAAAATGTTATGGCGTATATATTTATACATTTTTCTACATTTTTGGCAAATGTTTTGTGGAATGGCAAAACTTGCCCTTATGAAAGTTATAATCCACAGGACTGTGGAAAGATTGTGAGGGACGAATGGAAATGATTGATCCTACAGAATGACGGTATTTGAAGGAGTAATGCAAAAGGAGGGGTGGGTGTGTGTGCACGTGTGTGTGTGTGTGTGTGTGTTATGGTTTGGCTGTGTCCCCACCCAAATCTCATCTTGAATTGTAGCTCCCATCATTCCCACTGTCACAGGAGAGACGTGGTGGGAAGTAATTGAATCACGGGCGCAGGTTTTTCCCATGCTGTTCTCATGATAGTGAATGAGTCTCATGAGATCTGATGGTTTCATAAAGGGCAGTCCCCCTGCACACGGTCTCTTTACCTGCCACCATGTAAGACTTGCCTTTGTTCCTCATTCACCTTCTGCCATGATTGTGAGGCCTCGCCAGACATGTGGAACTGTGAGTCTATTAAACCTCTTGCCTTCATAAATTACCCCGGCTCGGGTATGTCTTTATTAGCAGCATGAGAACAGATCAATACAGTGTGTGTGTGTGTGTGTGTGTGTGTGTATGTGTGTGTGTGTGTGTGTGTTTTGTTTTTCAGTACATTTACAAAGGAAATGATTCTTATATTGGATACATGTGCATAGTGCAGCATGACAATTATTTCCATTTGTCACTGAACCACTCCTGCCCTTTTTAAATGCAACAAACAGGGTAAGAACCATGTCAAAGCTATCTACTTATCCTCTAGCAGAAATCATCTACAGGCTTTCTTCTGTCTAATTCAAAGTGTAGCACAAATGAAAGACAGCTTCATTAATTATAAGATAAATGCCCAACTGCTTTCTGGGTGCAAAATTTCCTGAATAAAGCTGGGCAATAGGATTAGTACCAACTCAAAGAACGATATAATTAGGAACAGGAGTAAAGATGACTGCAAGCCAATAACATTATCTCCCTAAAAATAGTAACAGTTTTCAACCTCTATCTACAAAATTTGATTTATGTATCTCTCAAATACAAGATAATTTTGTTTACCATCTTTTGTGCTTCTATTCCATTAAAGCTTTTCATAACATTCAAAAATGCATCAGCCATGAAAAAGACATGGAGCTTGAAACATTAATAAGGTATTGAAATATGTTTCACCCTGAAGGTTTTATACCCTGTAATCAGACATCCTTCCACCTCGCACAGCATATGTTTCTGATGAACCAAGAAGTGTAAAAGGAACATAATCTGCATGAAACTAAGATATTGAAAGTTCATACTTACTTTTAAATCACTGGTTTCTCTGACACCAGAAAATAATGCTATTCCACCTAGAAATCAGATGTGTACCACTTATTTTGATTAGACTAAAGGATGTATCTGTCTATCATCTATGTATCAATTATGTATCTATCCAGATTTATATACTTATCATCTACCAATTAGCAATCTATCTCTATAGCAATATAGAGATATATAGACAAGATATAGATAGACTCTGTATTAAAGAAAGTTAAGGAACAGACCCACATGTCTGTATTACAGACTTAAAGCTTAAGAGAAATAATCTCCAACCTGGGAAATACAGCAAAACCTAAAAATAAAAACTAGGTGTTGCTATGTTGCCTAAAAATAAAACTACTTTACTAAAAATTAAAATTAAAATATTGGCTAAGAGTGGTGGCATGCACCTGTAGTCTCAACTACTCAGGAGGCTGAGGCAGGAGAATCGCTTGAGCCTGGGAAGTGAAGTCTGCAGTGAGCCATTATCACACCACTGAATGCCAGCCTGGGCAACAGAGCAAGACCCTGTCTCTAAAGAAAAACAAATCTGCTAATTGAATGTATAAATGAGAGAACTAGGTGAAGAATGATCTAGCAATAAAACCTGTAAAGCATAATTTTCCTGAAGATTTGATTTTGAAGAGATTAGGTTGATTTCAGGAAGAATTATTTTGCTCTAAAGGTGAACACATCTTCAACTAGCCACAGCAGGTTAAGGCATCTGTATCCCAGGCTATAATAATGAGGAAGCTACTAAGCCTACAACGTCAGAGAATGAAACACAAACCAACCATCTTCCTGAAATTCCAAACTAAAATTGGAGGTGAATTTAAGGAGAATTTTTGGTCTCTGATATGATTTGGCTGTGTCCCCAGTGAAATCTCAACTCAAATTGTGTCTCCCAGAATTCCCACGTGTTGTGGGAAGGAGCCAGGGGGAGGTAATTGAATTACGGGGGCTGGTCTTTCCGGTGCTATTCTCATAATAGTGAATAAGTCTCACGAGATCTGAAGGGTTTTTCAGGGGTTTCCAGTTTTGCTTCTTCCTCATTTTCCCTTGCTGCCACCATATAAGAAGTGCCTTTCACCTTCCACCATGATTCTGAGGCCTCCCCATCCATGTGGAACTGTAAGTCCAATGAAACCTCTTTTTCTTCCCAGTCTCTGGTATGTGTTTATCAGCAGCGCGAAAACGGACTAATACAGTCTCCTTCAACTCTCTGTTGCCTAAAGAATTTAAGGTATGATTGCAATACCTTTGACAAATAGATTTCTTCTGTTTGAATCGAGAATTTCCCTCATGACATGAAGAAAGAGAAAATACCTCAATTAAAAAGAAAAATATTCAAGGTTTATTTACCAGGTTCACGAAACACTTCCTATTTTTGTTTGCTTTCATCTATAAAATAAACTGGTATTAATCCATTTAATGATGAATACATCTAATAAAAAAAGAGGGTAGATGTTGCCAGTTCAAATTATACTTAATTTATGGCTCACACCTGTAATCCCAGCACTTTGAGAGGCTGAGCTGGGTGGATCACTTGAGGTCTGGAGTTTGAGACCAGCCTGGCTAACATGGTAAACCCCGTCTCTACTAAAAATACAAAAATTAGCCAGGCGTGGTGGCACACACCTGTATCCCAGCTACTCAGGAAGCTGAGGCAGGATAATTGCTTGAACTGGGAGGCAGAGGTTGCAGTGAGCAGAGATTATGCCATTGAACTCCAGCCTGGGCGACAGAGTGAGACTCTGTCTCAAAAAAATAAAAACCACGAAAAGAAAACCCCAACAAAAAACAACTTAATTTATATGAATAGGGATACATAGTATACCCATTTTTATCGGTAGATATCAAAGAAATTATCAATTTTTTATTTGTGTTATATCATTTCACTTATTTTATATCTTTGGTCATTCTCACCAAAATTTAATCATTTTAATTTACCTTTTAAAACAATAAATGAACCTTAGTTTATAAAACAAGACATTTTCTGATAAATTATTTCTCCATAAAATAAACTTTGTTACTAACATATAGTATAATATAAGAGATTCAGCTTACATATATAAGCTTCTTAATATTTTGGTCTCAATTATAACATCCCCTATACGTTAAACTGACAGATTCTTTTAATCCACCAGCAAATGTTTTCTTTGCCCACAGAAACTTAAATTGCAGGAAACTTCTTGCTCAGAATGAAGGATTAATTACTGTTGCTCCTTACAGAAAACTCTGGTCATAAATATAATGCTGTACGATTTAGCATAATGGCAGATAATTTTCTACAATGTAATTTGCATTTCTGCATTGATTTCAAGAACTGAAATTCCAAAGAGTCTTATAAATTAAATTAACAAAGTCCTCTTAAGTTAACTGTATTTCAATCAAGTATTTGGACACAGCCTCCCTATCCTACAAACGGGGTCATTTGGCAAAGGCTGAGAGTGAGAATCCAATGTTGCTGTCACGACATTCAAAAATTTTCACCCGGATGTGGTGGCTTATGCCTGTGATTCCAGCACCTTGGGAGGCCCAGGCATAAGGATCTCTTGAGCCCAGGAATTTGAGACCAGCCTGGGCAATATAGTGAGACCCTATTCCTACTAAAAATGGAAAAATTAGCCCAGTATGGTGGCATGCACCTGTAGTCCCAGTTACTCAGGAGGCTGAGGTGGGAGGATCACTTGAGCCCCAGGAAGTTGAGGCAGCAGTGAGCTATGATCATTCCACTGAACTCTAGCCTGGGTGACAGAGAGAGACTCTATCTTGAAAAAAATCAAAAACTAAAAAATTTTCATTTGACACCAGAGTAAAAGGAAAGAATAAACTCTACTACACATTATTTGATAAAAGCTGTTGGATGAGGCCAGGCACGGTGGCTCATGCCTGTAATTCCAGCACTTTGGGAGGCCGAGGTGGGTGAATCACTTGAGGCCAGAAGTTCAAGACCAGCCTGGCCAACACAACAAAATCCTCCCTCTACTAAAAATACAAAAATTATCTGGGCATGGTGGCGTGCGCTTGTAATCCCAGCTACTCAGGAGGCTGAGGCAGAGAATCGATTGAGTTTGGGAGGCAGAGGTTGCAGTGAGCCGAGATCACCCCACTGCACTCCAGCCTGGGCAACAGTGACACTCTGTCTCAAAAAGAAAGCTGTTGGATGAAATTAGGCTTGCTGTTCCCTTGGCACGGTTTTTTACTCCCTGCATTCTTTCTATTTTCATCCTTATTCCATCATTTGTTTCTGTTCTACTCTTTTATGTATAAATATCCCCAAGTCATATCTTCCCTTTACAAACAGAATCAATAGTCCTAACAACTCAAAATACAGTGACAGCAACAATAAATTTCTCAAATCCACCTGAATCACGTGCTACATTCAGTCATCCTTCACCTTTTTTTCCACAACCTGTCTTTATCCTTCACTTCTCTCGTGAATAGTACAGGTCTTCTTGTTAGGAAATAGGAATTAATGCTGTGATAGACACTGTGCTGGACCTCTGTTTCTGTTCTTCTCCTTTATGTATAAATATCCCCAAGTAATATCTTCAATTTACAAAGAGAATCAACAGTCCTAACAACTCAAAATACAAAAATACAATAACAGCAACAACAACTTTTTTTTTTTTTTTTTGAGATGGAGTCTCGCTCTTGTCACCCCAGCTGGAGTGTAGTGGCGTGATCTCGACTCACTGCAACCTCCGCCTCCTGGGCTCAAGCGATTCTCCTGCCTCAGCCTCCTGAGTAGCTGGGATTACAGGTGCCTGCCACCATGCCTGGCTAATTTTTGTACTTTTAGTAGAGACGGGGTTTTGCCATGTTGGCCAGGCTGGTCTCCAACTCCTGACCTCGTGATCCTCCTGCCTCGGCCTCCCAAAGTGCTGGGATTACAGGCGTGAGCCACTGTGCCCGGCCAACAGATTTCTTAAATCCACCTGAATCACGTGCTACATTCACTCATCCTTCACCTTTTTTTCTACAACCTGTCTTTATCCTTGATTTCTCTTGTGAATCATACATGCCTTCTTGTTAGGAATTAGAACTTCATGCTGTGATAGACACTGTGGTGGCATCAGGGATGAATGTCTGTGCTCACTTTATCTATGGGTTCAATTCACTGTAATTAACATGCCATACCCTCTATTCAGCATGTGTTTACACAAATTTTTTGTAGTTTAACCCTCTTCTTTGCTCACTTCCTATTTTTAAGAGATGGGACCTTCTCATGTTGCTGGGATAGCTCTGACTCATCTTCTGACTTTTTTTTAATTTTTTTTTTTAGAAATGGAATCTTTCTCTGTTGCCCAGGCCAGAGTGCATTGGCACCATCACAGCAAAGTGCAGCCTCAACCTCCTGGGCTTGGCTAAAGCAATCCTCCCACTTCAACCTCCTGAGTAGCTGGGACTGCAGGTGTGCACCACCACACCCAGATAATTTTTAAAATGTCTTGTATCAACAGGGTCTCACTATGTTGCCGAGGCTGGTCTTAAATTCCTTGCCTCAAGAGATCCTCCAACCTTGCCCTCCCAGGCATAAGCCACTACACAGGGATTTTCTGACTTTTTAAATGGTGTCACGTATTTTATATCCCACAGATCTTCATCTTCCGTTCTAACTCTTCTTGCTATCCCTCTGATGGCTCATTTTTTCCTCTGCGTTCAACTGTCACTCATAATAGCTGCCCTTGTGCCACTGTCGTCAAGCCAAAGCTTCCCTAGTCTCTATACATGGCTTTTCTGAAAGGTTAAACACTATCAGGTCTCACTGGATATCTGAAGGCATCTCAAACTTGAAGTCAGTGGTGATTTTATGGGCTTTCTTGAACCATCTGAGAACATAGCACTCGCGGAATGATGTAGTTAGACACCGTGGTGACAATTCCCTGGCAGAAATGATCCCTCACAAATGAGAGAATATGAATTAGACCGAATGTTGAAGGAGAATTTCATTTTCCAACATTAAATCTAGACTCTATGATCTCCCAGGGAATGAAAAAATGTCAATGTGTGTGTGTGTGCGCATGTGTGTGTGTAGGTGCTTCCTGATTTTTACCTGACATTAGGAGTATCCATAAGAACCATTAAATATCTTTGCACCGTACCAAATACTTACAGCCTCCATGAAATTAACACAGTACAAGAAATTTTGAAAATCAGTACAAATGTGCTTATGATGAGTGATATATTCAGCAGATCATCAAAAGAAGTGTTCAAATTATTTTAAATTAAAGTTTAACATCAGTATTTCCCTTTTAATTAAAGTGGAATTTGAGAACAATTTCTATGCATGGAGTGTTTAGTCCATACTATTTTAAAAGTGTAAGATTTTATTTTCCTATTTAAGAGCACAAGCCAGTAGATGAGAGAGGGATTCTCATTAAAACACAAAACACACAACACTTGAGTATTTCTCTCTGATGAACTGATTTATGATTTACGCACGGTTCTCTTGGGTTTTATATTTCACAAGGATTTTTATTTGCTTTAAATAAATATCCTTTTGTAGAAGGTTTGATCCTGAAATGTCTGAGGTAATGCAACATATTTTTGATAAAATTGAATTCAGAGAAGAAAATTACAAAAGTATGTTATATTATAATGTCCTTTAACTCTGATGGAACTGCAGCTGGCTTGATTCTTACACATCTACCTCCTGTCATCATATGATTGGCACTGAAACAGATACCACTTCTGTGCTTGGATGTTGACCTACATATCTGTGGGTCTGGTTATCAAGACATAGTACATAGACACAGGTCTAATAAGTCAGAATAGAGATGTATTTCTGGTTCTACTTGCAGGGAGCATGATTATAGGTGTTAGGCCATTCGGGCTGCTACAGCACAAAACCACAGACTGTGTGACTTATAACCAGCAGACACTGATTGATCATGGTTTATGAGGCTGAGTCCAAATCAAGGCTTGGCAGATTCGATGTCTGGTGAGGACCTGCTTTCTGGTTCATAGACAGCGCCTTCTTGCTGTGTCCTCGCATGGTGGAAGGGGCGAGGGAACTCTCTGGGGTCCCTTTATAAGGGCACTGATCCCATTCATGAGGCCCCACCCTCATGACCTAACCACCCTCCCAAATACCTCACATCCTAATTCCATCACCTTGGGATTAGATTTCAACATAGGAATTTTAGAGGAAAATAGACATTTATACCCAGGGTGTCCAATCTTTTGGCTTCCCGAACAACATTGGGAGAAGAAGCATTGTCTTGGGCCACATATAAAATACACTAACACTAAATATGGCTGATGATCTAAAAACAAATACAAAAAAATCTCATAATGCTTTAAGAAAGTTTATGAATTTGTGTTGGGCCTCATTCAAAGCCATCCTGGGCCACACACATCCCGTGGGCTGCGGGGCTGAACAAGCTTGATTTAGACCATACCATTATGTTTAACCTACATCCTCTCTCTTCTTCACTTTGCAGGAATGGGGACAAAGCTATTGAAAACTTCTCCTTCTCAGGCTCACTTCGCCAACATCTGTGGCTGAATGTAGACATTCCCCCTTTTAGGCAAATTTCTTTAAATTCATAGCAAGGTATGACCAAGAACATTAAAACAATGCTTCATTGCTTATGCCTGACGTTGAAGAGCAAAATTTACATCTGCTACACAGTTCAAGGTTTCCATGGCCTTAGTAGAGGTCATGAAATGTACAGTTTTAAAACTTATTGGAGTATCTTTATGAACGATTTTAATGGACTAGAGTGACAATATTTTTATACAACATTGACCTCCCCTGCCCCAAATGATGTGAAAGACTGTGGCTGTATTAGAATTTAGTCTAGTAAGACCAATACCATTTCAGGGAGTTTTTTGTAGTTTTCCTCCATAAATATATTTTCCACATCAACTGCTCTGAGCTGAGTTGCTGGAACATTTTCAATTCTTTATAAGTACATATTTTGGCTGAGTTCAGAAACCTTGGACTAGGCACTGTCCTTTGAGTGAGACGTCAGGATTGAGGTAGCATAGGCACAAGACCAAATTTTAGTTCATGATGGAGTATTGCCAGCTTGTGAGCCTCTGGTGCTTTCAAGGAAGCACAGGTGATGGAAATCAAATAAAAACAGAGCCAGGAAAACATCTGGTGTGGAAAGTAGCTCATTGCATAAAATGCTAAAAACAAAAAGTTGAGAAAATTAAGCCTCTTCTACTTTTTAAAAGAAAAATTTGACTCTACCAATTATAACCACAAGGAATGTTCTCCAGACTTGAATATTTTAAGTGAAAGATTAATATCCAGCCATTTATAAACCTCCAAATCCTTTCCCCAACTTTATTCATACCATTTTTTATTATAAATTTTCAAAAAATTTACTGATCTAGTTTGGAAAAATCATGTCCTTGAACTGTTGAACCATATTTGTAATCTGTTTCAATAAAAATATAGATATAATACTTAGAAAAACAGATTCTTTCTGGAATTGGAAGGTTAATGATGATTTCATCTATGTTTCTGTCTCCTAGTTCAACCATTTATCCAACATTCTACCGAATTATCCTCTTGCCTTTGTCTTCACAGCTGCAAAGACAGGGAATTCAATGCCTTGATGAAAACAAACCAGGATTCATAAGCTTTTACTGAAACATGACTAAAAATGTCAAACTATTAGAAAAAGTATATCCACATTCATTCAAGATGAAGAAAAACTCATCATAGCTTATCTTAGCCTGACTTAAATGATAGAAGTCATATTTGATTGCCATTTTAAATCATTTTACAGTTTTTAGCAAGGAGATTCCTTAAAGAACTAGAAGTAGACCTACGAATCAATCCAGCAATCCCACTCCTGGGTAACTACCCAAAGGCAAAAAGTCATCATATCAAAAAGACACATGCACATGCATGTTTATAGCAGCACAGTTCACAATTCCAAAAATGTGGAACCAACCTAAATGCCCATCAATCAAGGAGTGGATAAAGAAAATGTATGTATACACCATGGAATACTACTCAGCCATAAAGAGGAATGAAATAATGGCCTTTCCAGCAATTTGGATGGAGCTGGAGGCCATTGTTCTAAATGAAGTAACTCACGAATGAAAAACCAAATATCATATGTTCTCACTTATAAGTGGGAGCTAAGCTATGAGGACACAAAGGCATAATAATGATGCAATGGACTTTAGGAACTCAGGGGGAAGTGTGGTAGGAAGTGAGGGATAAAAGACTACTCCTTGGGTACAGTGCACACTGCTTGGGTGAGGGGAACACCAAAATCTCAGAAATCACCACTAAAGAATTTATCTATGTAACCAAAAACCACCTGTACCCCCAAAAACTATTGAAATAATAAAAAATATATTTTACAGTTTTCATATATATATATATATATATATATATATATATGTGATCAATTTATGGTTACAAAGTAAACACAGGCCCCAACAGCTTTGTGTGTGTGTGAAATTTAACTGATATATTACTGTGAAAGTATCTAACACTAAGTAGATGCCGATATGTTGAACTTTTGCTACCAGGCATGAAATAATCCATATTTGGTAAAGAATCAAGAGGTTAAAGGAACTACCAGAGGAGTCATAAGAACTCACATTTCCTGCTTTAAAATTCTATAACCTTGGAATCCATGATGCTAATTTTTGGCTCCCAAATTGGCAGGGATGTTTTTCTCCCACTCCTCCAATTTTTTCCCCTGATTATTGTTCTTCTCATAGAGATATTTATTACCACTTTAAGAAACACGTTTGTTGTTATTAGTTGTTCGCCTGCATTATTCAGTATAATCAGAACAAAATATACTTTACATTTTTAGATTCAACTGAACTGCTGCTCCACTGTGGGAACCAAGATTATTAAAAAACAAATTTGTCTATACCTCAAAACCCTGCTTTCTACCTTTTTTTTTTTAACTGTCCAATTTTAAAATTGTGGTATGCAATTAACAAAACATAGAGCATTTTTTTTTTTTTTTTTGAGACGGAGTCTTGCTCTGTCGCCCAGGCTGGAGTGCAGTGGCGCGATCTTGGCTCACTGCAAGCTCCGCCTCCCGGGTTCATGCCATTCTCCTGCCTCAGCCTCCCGGGTAGCTGGGACTACAGGCGCCCGCCACCACACCCGGCTAATTTTTTTGTGTTTTTAGTAGAGACGGGTTTCACTGTGTTAGCCAGGATGGTCTCGATCTCCTGACCTCGTGATCCACCTGCCTCGGCCTCCCAAAGTGCTGGGATTACAGGCATGAGCCACCGCGCCCAGCTCAAAACATATAGCATTTAACAAAACATATATAATTTCGAATTTTTACCATTTTAAAGCATATATTTTAGTGGCATTTGGTACACTCATCATCATAATGTGTAACCATCCTCTCCTTTTTTTTTTGGTTATGTTTTGTTTTGTTTTGTTTTGGAGGCAGGGTCTCACTCTGTCACCCAGGCTAGAATGCACTGGCATGATCATGGCTCACTGCAGCCTTGACCTCCTGGGCTCAAGCGATTATCCCCCCTTGGCCTCCCAAGTATCTGGGACTACAGGAATGAGCCACCGCCCCGGATAATTTGTAAATTTTTTTGTAGAGATGGGGTTTTACCACATTGCCCAGGCTGGTCTTGACCTCCTGGGCTCAAGTAATCCTACCACCTCAGCCTCCCACAGTGCTGGGATTACAGGTGCGAGCCACCACTCCCAGCCTAAATGGAAATCTTATACCTATGAAGCAGTGACTCCCCATTCTCCTATTGCCTAAAATACTGGCAACCACTAATCTGCATTTGGTCTCTAAAGATTTTCTTATTCTGGACACCTCATATAAATGGAATCCTATAATATGTAGCATTATGTGTCTGCTTTTTTCCACAGAGCATGATATGCTCAAGGTTTATCCATGTGGTAGCCTGTGTCAGAGCTTCATTCTTTTTCATGGTTGAACAAAATCCTATTATATGGATAGATCACATTTTGTTTATTGATTCATCAGTTGATAGGCATTTGAGTTGTTCCTCCTTTTCACTATGGTGAATAGTAATTCTATAAAAATCATGTATATGCATTGGTTTAAAAATGTGTTTGTACTTCTTGTGGGTATATACTTATGATTGACATTACTGGATCTTTCTTCTACAAAATTTTCAGATACTACATTTTAAAATTTCAACATGCCCTGCAAGAATGGCCATAATCAAAAAATCAAAAAATATGATGTTGGTGTTGATACAGTGAAAAGGGAACACTTCTACACTGCTAGTGGGAATGTAAACTAGTACAACCACTATGGAAAACAGTGTGGAGATTCCTTATAGAACTAAAAGTAGGACTACCATTTGACCCACCTATCCCACTACTGGGTAACCATCCAGAGGAAAAGAAAAACATACTTGCACACGCATATTTACAGCAGCACAATTTGCAATTGCATAAATGTGGAACCAGCCCAAATGCCCATCAATCAATGAGTGGATAAAGAAACTGTGGTGTATATATACAATGGGATGCTACTGAGCCATAAAAAGAATAAATTAATGGCATTCACAGCAACCTGGTTGGGATTGGAGACTATTAGTCTAAGTGAAGTAACTCAGGAATGGAAAACCAAACATTGTATGTTCTCACTCATAAGTGGGAGCTAAGCTATGAGGATGCAAAGGCATAAGAGTGATACAATGGACTTTGGGGACGTGGAGGGAAAGGGTGGGAACGGGGTGAGGAATAAAAGGCTACAAATTGGTTTCACTGTATACTGCTCCAGTGATGGATGCACCAAAATCTCACAAATCACCACTGAAGAACTTACTCATGTAACCAAATACCACCTGTCCCCCAAAACCTATGGGAAAAATATTTCAGTATGCATAATAGGATTTCAACACACATAAATATGATTTTAACAAAGACATATAACCACACAATTTTAGTAATATTCTTTCTAGCTATCAAATGACTAGTATCTGCTAAAATAAATATTTTATATCAAGCCATCTATACAGAAGAAGGAAGTTTGAAAATGTGAGTGACAGTTTGATGTAGAGATCTATTTGATATAATCAATTTCTTCCAATTATACATTGCAACATTGGAGCCAAGTCAAGTTAAAGTTCACTTCAATATATGAAGGAGAGTCCATTAAAAATGATCCAAGAATTCACAGGTACTTTAAAACAATTTGAAAGTGAATTCCATGGCAAACGTGGTATTAATGACAATGACCACTTTCTTATCTCTGCAGCAATTATGATGTACATGTCTTCAGAAATCTGTATCTGAAATATAATTACTGCAACACTGAGAGTATTGCAAGATTGAAGAAACTGTGTGTAGGTTGATAAATTCATTAAAATATCTACAATTCTAACTTAGGACACCTTCCCCCCTCCCAAAAAGGGTACTGACTCAGTGTAAATGCTTAGAAACAGTGTTCACTGAACTAAAGTTAACAATCAAGTTATGCCTTTCAATGAAAATCTCAAGTTCAAGTTAAAAAAACAAAAAAAACCAACCTCAGGAATAAGTGAAGATAAAGAACTTAGCCTAAAAACACCTGCAGAAAGCACTTTGGTGTCAGCCTTAGAGATGGGTCTTGCATACAGGACAATATAAATTAGGAAACAAGGCAATGTAAGTAGTGTCAAACTGGTCTGAGCTCTCTGTTGTTCCAGCCAACACATTTGTTTGCATAACAGACCAGAGTGACAGGGTAGAGTAATTACTGCAATCCGTCTCTGAGCCCATTAATCTGAGCTGAACTGTAGGGAGTAAATGAAACAGAAAGAAACCCAGTGGAGAAATCTTTGTTTGTGTCAAACCTCAAATCGAGTTTTTATCTTGAAACTCCAATTTATAATTTATCTTTCTGTTCCCTGACGATCAACAATGAAAATACTAGGTGAAAATCTGGGATTGGCAGGCATTTCCAGACACTTGGTGGAAGTTGGTTAATGAACAGTTGGTGGAAATGTGACATCAATCTGATCCGGGTCTGCTACCTCTAATGACTGCAGAGTCCTCATCAGTTGCCATTTTCTTACACAAGAATTGGAGCTCCTGTAGTCGCCCTGTTGTGCTATCAAATAATAGATCTTATTCATTCCTTCTAATTCTATTTTTGTATCTATTAACCATCCCCACTTCCCCACTGCCTCATTACCCTTCCCAGCCTCTGCTAACCATCCTTCTACTCTCTGTCTCCATGACTTCAATTGTTTTAATTTTTAGCTTTCACAAATACGCGAAACATGTGAAGTTTGTCTTTCTGTGCCTGGCTTATTTCACTTAACATAATCTACTTCAGTTCCATCCATGTTGTTGCAAATGACAGGATCTCATTCTCTTTTATGTCAGAATAGTACTCCCCTGTGTATATGTAGCACATTTTCTTTATTCATTCATCTATTGATGGACACTGAGGTTGCTTCCAAATCTTCACTGTTGTGAACATGCTGTAGCAAACATGGGAGTGCAGCTATCTCTTCAGTAACTGATTTGCTTATTTTTGGGTGTATACTGAGCAGTGGGATTCCTAGGTCATATGTGGCCATAAAAATAAAAAATAAAAAGAATTGGAACTAATGGTTTGCAGAAAATCACCAAAGTTTTAACTTTTTTTTCCTTTTAATGTTTTATTCTTTAGTTATTTTATTTGGGTTTTTCTCTTTCTATTCATTGTTCTCATAAAGATTATTGAACTTGGATGGGATTTGTAATTTAAGATCTATTTTGAATTAAATGAAAATGAACACAGTACACAACATTACAATTTGTGGTGTGCAGAAAGAGAAAGAAAAAATACATCACCATATACCTATATTAAAAAAGAAGGAAGGTCTCAAATAAAGGATCTGAGCTTCTACTTCAAAAATCAGTGAAATGAGAGCAAGTTAAATCCAAAATAAAGGGAAGGAAAGAAATAATAAAGGTAAGAACAGAAATCAATGAGAGAAAGAGCAATTAAACAATAGAGAAAACCAATTAAACCAAAAGCTGGTTTTTTGAAAGTTCAATAAAATTGATACATTTCTAACTATTCTATTTGAGGAAAAAAGACATGAAAAAATAGGGAACATTGACAAAACTCACACAGGAAGAAAAAAAAGATAGTTTATATAGCCCTATGTATATTCAACAAATGGAATTTGCAGTAAAAAGTGTACCCCAAAGAAATTTTTAGGAAGAAATGGCTTATTAGGTGGAACTTTAAAAAATTGGGGAAAATAATACTGAGTACATGCAAAATCAAATGGAAAGAAAAGATTAAAAAAAGGGTTTCCAACTCATTTTAAGAGGCTAGTATAATAATAATAAAGATTATAATGAGTAAACTATAGCTTCATATCCCTAGTGAACATAGGTGCAAAAATCCTTAACAAAATACTAGTAACTAGAATTCAGCAATGTATAATAATGACCATCTATTTTGGTTAAGTGGGCTTTATTGTTGAAATATAAGGTTGCACTCAGTAATATGCCAGTTTAAGTCCACATATGAACAGAATAAGAGGAAATATTTACATGATAATAGTAAGAATCACTGGCTAAAAATAATTGAAGCAGAAAAGACACATGCCAACATTTCAATATAAGAGCAAAAACTATAACTTTTCTATAGGAAATTATCATTTCTTGTAAGAAAAATTATTTGTGACCTTTGATTAGGAAAATATCTCCTAAGTGGGACACAAAAAAGATGGACCATAAAGGAAAATAATAATAGATTGTATTTCATTAAGATTTAGAAAACATTTTTTTTAAAGATACTGTTAAGGATATGGTAAGTTAACCCACAAATTGGAGGAAAAAGCTTACAATATAAATAACAGATAAAGTGACAAAGAGTTCTGTTTTTTTTTTTTTACCAGAATATATATATTTAAAAAACTCTTACAAATAAACAATAAGAAGAAAAGCAAAACAATTAAAATAAATGAAATGGCTAAATGATATAACCAGACATTTTATCCAAGAAAATATTCCAATGACCAATACGCACATGAAGTGTAATCAATATCATTAGTTATTAAGAAGAGCAAATTAAAACAATGAGTGACCACTACACACGTATTGGAGTGGCTAAAATTAAAAAGACTGACCATATTAAGTGTTGGTGAAAGTGTGGAACAGTTAGAACTCACACATGCAATTTGTAAATGTAATATTAGGAAGCCACTTTGGGAAAGATATTTGACATTTTTCAGTAAAGTTCAATATACACTTGACATATCACACTGCAGTGCCTCTTCTATTTATTTATCCAAGATAAATAAAAATATACTTCTACTCAAAGACCAGCACATGAATGTTCAGGTCAGTTGAAGCCATATTAAGGAGAAACTGGAAAAAATCCAAATGTCCATCAACTAGTGACTACATCCATAAGAAGAAATCCTCTTCAATGATAAAAAGAACAAACTACTCATATCCATGCCAATATGGATCACACGCAAAAACATTATGCTATGTGAAAGATACCAGGCAGGCAGAAGAGAATGATTCATTTCATGAATATGAGATCCTTGACAAACAAAAGCTAGTGACTTGGGACTCAGGAATTGTTGCAGACTAGGAGGGAGTTGTGGTAATCAACAGCCATGGGACATATACAATATATTTATTTATTCATTTATTTTTGAGATAGGGTCTTTCTCTGTCACCCACACTGTAGTGCAGTGGTGTGATCATGGCTCACTACAGGCTTGATCTCCTGGGCTCAAACAGTTCTCCCACCTCAGCCTCCCAAATAGCTGGGACTATAAGTGTGTGCCACCATGCATGGCTAACTTTTTTATTTTTTGTAGAGTTGGAGTCTCAATTTGTTGTCCAGGCTCAATTTGTTGTGGGCCCAAGTGACCCTCCTGCATCAGCTTCCCAAGGTGCTGAGATTATAGGTGTGAGCCACCACACTGGGCCCACACCATATTTTTGACTGATGGAAATGGCCTATACCTTGGCTGTGATGATTTTTACATGTATACACGTATTTCTCAGAATCTATCAAATTCTACATTTTTAAATGTGAATTTTAAACTTGGATATTATTGTATACGAATTACTCATGAATGAAAATAACTATTATTAATTCTTAAAGACCACAGTTCAGCATTCATGCATGCCCAAGGATGATGATGATGATGAAGAAGTCAACCTGCTCAGAATTCTTGGAGATACCAACTCACCTACCCTTCTCCAAGCAGGTCCACACTGAACCCAGAGGGACATCCTGGTTTCCCTTTCCTTAGAAAGTCCAGTGGCTATTTGAAAAAACATGCAGACTTGGAAACCAAGATATTTTATGAACATCCTCAGTTTAATGAACTGCATAGAAGGCAAATCTTATTTCCTCTGTTATGGAAAAAGAGATACCACAATTTCCCTGAGACCCTGGATTCTAGCTGTAGTGTGATGTAACAAGGATGAATTCATCTTGAGTGGATGAAGAACAAAATTGGGTAGAAATTCAGGTCTCTATCAGACAGATAAATGTCACTAAAACCCCATTTTATAAATGAGAAAAAAAATTATCTCCTGTCTTATTACATCTTTGACCCCACAGTTTTCACCTCCTTCTTTTCTCCTCAGCTGCATGGCCAATGTCTGTCTGTTGGGTGTTTTTTTTTTTTTATATTAAGAAATCGTGCTCAATTTTTCTCTTTAAACTCTAGATGAAACAAAGAAAAAAAGAGAGAGAAGAAGATGTTAGGTTGGCGTGCTGTTCAGATGAAAGAGTTCTTTTTATGTTGAACTAAATGGCTTTTAGAAATTAAACCTGATTGGCAAGCGACATAAAAAGGGAATTAGAAAGTATTCCAACAAAATGTCAACAGGATTGGCAGTTTCAAAAAAATTGTTTCAGTCTGGATTTGATCAACAAGATGAGAAACAGAAACATAAAATTATAAGTGGTTATGATTTTTGGAATTCTTTGCAAACACATAAATGGGTTAAAGAAATCTAGTAATTGAAACATGGTGTTAAATTCAGAAGGGAATTTTCTGCATCTGTATTCCAATTCTGGCCTTCATTTTCATTGCTATTATTGAACAACACAAGTCCGGATACCAAATTTTGTAAATAATAATAATAATATGTATAATAATGGGTTTTAGAGCCTTTTTGGAATTAAATATAAGATGTAACATCTATCTTCCCTCATCCATTTCGTACTTAAAGAAATAAAATTAACATTAACTGAATTCATGGAATGTACCTCAGTCATTATGTGAAATTTGGTTAAAGGGTGCAGTATAGAATACATAACACTCATTAAAAAATGATCCTCTAGGATCTTGTTCCTATCTGGAACAGATTGCTTCCTGTAAAATAAGTGCAGACGAGACAGTTTAAGAGGTTATGAAAATTAAGAGACCTCAGCTTGCTGCAATGAAATCACGGTAAAGAAATAAGATAGGCTTTCTCTCTTGCACCCCTGCCAAAGCTCAACTCTCATTCAAAGAAAGATAGCTTAAATGATAGCTTACAGTAGATAGCAGTGAACGCAAGGATTGGAAAGAAAAAATACATTGCATTTTGCTTGTTCAAGTTTGCAAAGAAAAGATAAGGCCAGTGAAGAAGCAGAAAGAGATAACACCAAGAAAAGCTGGTCATAGGAATAAAAGACTCCTTGAAAATGCTGTTCCACTGAGAGAAAAAGGAAATCTAAGACCAAAAAATAAAAAATAAACCCTACAAACCAAAGAACGATATCAAATGAGCGTCCACTATCAAATATCACCTGCTGAACACAGTCTCCCTCTAACGAAAAAGTGGCAAGAACTTATTAGAAAAGTGATACTCCATTATAAGAAACTTACTATCAAACAAATAGAAATCTGGATGTGAGAATCGAGTATAAACATCCAAATCATGATTTTTGAGTCAGGGTTTTGTGTGTCACATGGACGCTCATTCTGCAAACTGAAACAAACAAACCAACAAACAAAAACAGATTTCTTAGCTGGGCAGTTCAAACACAGCAGTTCAAAATGAGACAGGCTCCGGTCTGCGTTGCTGCTAGCTGAGGTCAGGGGGCTAAGTTGTTGCAAAGGGGTGAAAGGAAAAATGCCAATATAAAAGCTTGCAGGAAACCTTCTATAAATTAAAAGAGAAAGGAAGCCCTTCTTCTGCCCTCTTCTTTGTTTTTCCTTTCCCTATTGTGGGACTGGAATACAGATAATTCCAACTCAAACTGTGGATGAAGGATTTCTATTTCTGGTAAGCACTTTCAGCTTTATTCTAATTTTCTTGTGTGTATGCATTCTTCCTCTTTGTATAGCAGTTATTAACAGCCGGAGAGACAAATTTGGCTGTGAGCTAAGAGTGGTTTGGACATTTTAACATGTAAAATGTAAAACAAACAAAACAAACAAAACTACCAGCTAGTCCTTCAGAGAGAACAATAGCTTGCCAAGTTGAGGGCATTACATCTATTGAAATTTCTAAACTATTTACTCTCTGGCTCTTTAAAGAAAAAAATTGCTACCTTATTCCTAAATATATAGCAAATATTTATAAGAAAGGAAAGTAGCTTATGGTTTTCATTTTTCCAACAATACCTGGAATAATATTCATAATAAGCTAAGCACTTGATAAACTAAATCATGCAACCACTTTTATTAAACACCTCTTGTGCCAAGTATACTTTGACTTTGTGTCTTTGGACAATTCCACCCACCAGTGTCAATTCTCTACCAAAACCAACCAAAACAAAACAAAACAAAAACCTCCATTGGCCATTTCGTTCATATGGGTACAATATATCTAAAACAGTTTATTTGATATTGAAAACGTCACAATTTTTAAGAGATGGTAAAAGGATACTATTGTTTAATGTTTCCACAGCAATTCTTCCAAATAAAAGCCTTTGTTTATTTGAGTGGCTTAGTTGAAATTGGTGTTAAAAAGTGAATGAAAATGTTACCACTTGCTTACCTGTTATAAAAGTTCCCAGCAAAACTGAAGTCATACTAGAAAGAAGTGGCAGGATCAGAGATAGATGAATACTATTAATTTTTGATGAGACATAAAATAAAAGGTATGAATGTGTGTCATATTCACAGATTTCATCAAGAAACAACTTCTAGATATGTTAGGTGTATTTTCAAGGCTGGCAAATGTAAGTTACTATGAAGGAAGCATTACTTTAAAAATTATCTTATTTTTGTGCTAAATGTTGGAATCACTGGATTATTTTCAATAAATTTTACATAAAACATTTTCAGATAACAGAAGAGAAAAATGTAACCTGTAATTAGTAAATTAATGAAATGTTTTCAAGTACATATGCATATAGCAGTGGTCCTTGATATCTTTTATTGGGTAATATAATTTTAAAATATAATAATTTGAAAACATTCATAGCTATCATGCTATGTTTTATCAAATCATTTGATTATGTCCATTATAGTTTATTGAAATTTCCTTGGTGTCAGACAAAATATCGTAGCTGTAATGCTGTAGTTTCTCTCAACCTCTTGGCAGAAAAAAGCAAATTAGAGTGTTATGTATGAAAACATGCAAACAAAAAAAAAAGAAAACAGAACTTTGAAAGTAAATATTAACTTCAATAAAGTCATTTTCTCCCCAAATAGTGAACATGGATGGTAGAAATAATATAAAATTTATATTCATTATGTTATTTTATGACTTCAACCCCCATTGTGAGGTGCATGTTTGTGAGTATACAAAACAGAGCAGTATTGAACATTACTTATGGACTTTAAAATCTTGGTATATTGTCAATTGCCACTATTTTTGTTTTTCTTGTTGCTTTATTCCTATTATTAAATAAATAGGATACTAATTCATAGTAAGAAAATGATTCATGGCCAATTCTGTTGTAATCCTCTATGGCAAGACCCGAATCTGGCAAGAGATTAAAATCACTAATCTCTGAATTGATCCAAAACATTGACAAATGGTAATAAAATGAGGTTTCCCAACCACAGCATTCACTTGTCAAATTAGTCTTTTATACTATCAGCCTTATTTTTAATTTCTTCAATTTACATATTTAGTTCTCTTCATAGAAATTCTACTGAATGGTAGTAAAAACCATCAATTATGTGTCCGCCCCTTTGGGAGCTGAGTTTGCAAGACATTCTCATCTCTTATGTGGAGATTGGGACACACCAGCGTACAATAGCTATCCTATGACAGCAGTTTCCTGTTGGCATCATTGAAGGAGAAGAACACCAAGTTACTTCCTAATGCTCTTAGCCTCTAACACTTTTAGGAAATGAACTTGCCCTTGTATGAGCCCATGTCTCCAGGTGAGTTCCCAAGGACCCCTGCCTCCTGGTACCATTTGCCATGCCTTCTGTACAGCCAGCCCTCCCTGACTGTACTAAAATAAGGTAGAGGTGATGTGATAGATGGCATTTCTGAAATTGGATTATAAAAAACCTTGCAATTGTCCTCTTCTCTGTATGTGTACGTGTGCCTCTCTTTCTGTGTTTTTCTCTGTGTCTGTCTGTCTCTTTCCCTCTCTATCTTTCTCTCTTTCTCTGTCTCTCCTTTCTCTTTTTCTCTCTCTCTCATCTCTCTCTCCCTCTCTCTGTCCCCTCCTCTCTCTGTCTCTTTCTCTCTCCCTTTCTGTCACTCTCCCTCTCTTTCTCTGTCTCTCTCTTGCCCTCTCTCTCCTTGTGTATCTTCCCCACCATCTCTCTTTCTCTCTCTTTGTTAGGCTCTGTTTCTCCATCTCTCTCTGCCTCTCTCTCTCTCTCCATCTCTTCCCTCTCCCCCCTCCTCTCTCTGTCTCTGTCTGTGTCTCTTTCTCCTTTTCTCTCTCTCCCTCTATCTCTGTCTGTCTCTCTCCCCAACCTCTCTGTCTTCCTCTGTTTCTCTCTCCCTTTTTCTGTCTACCTCTGTCACTCTGTTTCTTCCTCCCTCTCTCCCCTCTTCTATTTCTGCCTTTTTGTCTCTCTCTGTCTCTCTGTCCCTCTCTCTCTCCCCATCCTTTCTCTCCTCCCATCTCCTCCCATCAGCACTCCCTCTGGGGAAGCCAGCTACCATATCCTGAGCAGCCTTGTGTAGCAGCCCATTTGATTGGAAACTGAGGCCTCTTCTGTTGGAACAGCCATGTGACTGGGCGTGGCAGCAGAATCTCAACCCCAGTCCAGGTTTCCCATGGCTGCATCCATAACTGAAAGCTTGATGTTTACTTAATGGGGGACCCTGTTGTGGGAAGTCAGGGACCCTGAATGGAGGGACCAGGTGGAGCTGTGGCAGAGGAACATGAATTGTGAAGATTTCATTTTAATATGGACATTTATCAGTTCCCAAATAATACTTTTATAATTTCTTATGCCTGTCTTTACTTTAATCTCTTAATCCTGTTATCTTCGTAAGCTGAGGATGTATGTCACCTCAGGACCACTGTGATAATTGTGTTAACTGTACAAATTGATTGTAAAACATGTATTTGAACAATATGAAATCAGAGCACCTTGAAAAAGAACAGAATAACAGCAATTTTTAGGGAACAAGTGAAGATAACCACAAGGTCTGACTGCCTGCAGGGTCAGGCAAAAATAGCCATATTTTTCTTCTTGCAGAGAGCCTATAAACAGACGTGCAAGTAGGAGAGATACTACTAAATTCTTTTCCTAGCAAGGAATATTAATATTAATATCCTGGGAAAGGAATGCATTCCTGGGGGGAGGTCTATAAATGGCCGCTCTGGGAGTGTCTGTCTTATGCAGTTGAGATAAGGACTGAGATAAGCCCTGGTCTCCTGCAGTACTCTCAGGCTTACTAGGTTGGGGAAAAACCTCTGCCCTGGTAAATTTGTGGTCAGACCAGTTCTCTGCTCTTGATCCCTGTTGTCTGTTGTTTAAGATGTTTATCAAGACAATACGTGCACCACTGAACACAGACCCTTATCAGTAGTTCTGCTTTTGCCTTTTGTCTTGTTCCCTCAGAAGCATGTGATCTTTGTTCTGCTTTTTGCCCTTTGAAGCATGTGATCTTTGTACCTACTCTCTGTTCTTATGCCCCCTCCCCTTTTGAAACCCTTAATAAAAAACTTGCTGGTTTGAGGCTCAGGTGGGCATCATGGTCCTACCGATATGTGATGTCACCCCTGGCAGCCCGGCTGTAAAATTCCTCTCTTTGTACTCTTTCTCTTTATTTCTCAGCTGACACTTATGGAAAATAGAAAGAACCTACATTGAAATATTGGGGGTGGGTTCCCCCGATAGGACCCAAGGCCACAAACCACCCCATGAAATGACTCCAAGATTTATGACCCACACACACTGTGAGACGATAGCTGTTTGACGATTCAGTTGCTAATTTTGGGGGAAATTTGTTCTGCAGTGATAGAAAAATTAATACAACATGCTTCTCAAAAGTACAATAGGATTTTTTAAATAATCAAACCCAATAAACAGTATAGGAATCATTATGAGCATGGTTAATTATTAATCCCGAGAAAGTAGATAAACACAAACGTTCTTTTTCTTAATAGTGGGACTTACCTTGAATAATAGGACAAGCATTTTTTTTTCTTACAGAAGAAACTACCTTAAGTTCTGTGTGATAACTAACAGGGAACCAGAGAGATATTTCACTGGTTTCAAAAATAGACCAGGAAGTAGAAAACAGCCCCAAATTTCAAAAATTTAAAAATAGAACCTTCACATTTACTTCTGTGAACATATTTGTTCCTTTTCTTTAGACCAACTGGATCTTCAACCATATTACTCACCACAGTGTCATCTTTAAATTTTGGCCTCTGATTACATGCTAAGACATAAAAGTAGTGCATAGAATAAATGGATCTATACTTAGCATTCAAATTAGATGATAGAATATGGAATTCTAAGTCAAACATTTATAAATTGGGTCTAATTTCTCAGTGTATTATGAAAATCAATAAGCTATTTTAATATATAGCAGGGGTCAACTTTTTTCCCCTGGAAAGGGGCACGTAGTAAGTATTTTCAATGTTGCAAGCCATGCATCTCTGTTGCAGCTACACAACTGATTGCAGTCATGCAAAGCAACCACAGGAAAGATGTAAATGAATGCACATGGTTATGTTTTCATAAAATATTATTTACAAAAAAAATGGTAATCAACCAGACATGGTCATATATACCATAGTTTGTTAACTGTGATGGTTAATATTGAGTGTCAACTTGATTGGATTGAAGAATGCTAAGTATTGTTCTTGGGTGTGTCTGTGAGGGTGTTGCCAAAGGAGACTGACATTTGAGTCAGTGGAGCGAGAGAGGAAGACCACCCTCAACCTGGATGGGCACCATCTAATCAGCTGCTAGTGTGGCTAGGATTGTCTCTGTGTGTGTGTACATATATGTATACATAAATTATGTCTGCACATATATACACAATCTGTATAGTTATATATATGATCAACATATATATATACAGATTGTATATATATATACACACACATATATACAAATGTATCCATATATATACACAAATATATTTATATATTTATATATGTGTAGCTTTAACATAGATACATAGACATAGAGGTGACTTTAATATAGATAGACAGATAGATAAATATAATATATATTGATATCCTATGTGACTTTTTTCTGATTGTGTTTAATTGTTGCAGAACCCCATCAAAACACACTCATACAAATTAAATAAGAGTAATCAAAAAGCATATAAAAATATGCTCTGCACCCTTTGTAGCATGGAATACTACCAGCTCCATGGCATAGCTCAAATTTAAAGTTCAAAAGACACATACAAAGGTTTTGAAGGATCTGGGGTACAAAACACCCTCAGACCTGATTGATGAGAGACTGATGTTTTTGGAAGGACCATTGTAGAAAACAATTTCTTTAAAAGTCAAATACACCTTATTTATACCTTGCAATTTCAGCATTAGACAGTTACTCAAGATAAATGAAAGTAAGTCCACACTAAAGCCTGTGTATGGCTATTTATAAAAGCTTCATATAAAACAGCCAAATGGCAAAAAAGAAACCTCGCCAATTAGGGGATAAACCCATTAAGGTCTGTCTACACAAAGCAATCCTCTGTAATAACAAAAAGCAAACTATTGATGGCTGAATTTCACAACAATATGGCTGAATTTCAAAAGAATTATGCTCAGTGAGAGAAGCTAGATACAAAGAAAACGTTATATTTGAAAGTTTGATCAAGTCTCTTTATCAATAATTCTATTTCTGCAACATTCTTGAGAAGATATCCTGTGTGAATCTATATAGATATATCTAGATTATCTATAACATAGAGAGATAAAGATATGGCTTTAATATAGATATTTGATATAGACATGACTTTAAGATACTACAGATCCATAGGGATAGATAAATATTATAGCTATAGATATAAATATGTTTTACCTTTACTACAGCCATATCCATATCTATCTATCTCTGTCTGTCTGTCTCTCTCTCTCTCTATCATCTATCCATCTATCTATAAATCCACACAGGAGAAGATATAGATATCTTCTTAGATATAGATACAGAGACAGAAAACAGATCAAGAGTTATCAGAGGCTGTGCTTGGAAGGCGTGCTTTCTGCAAAAGGACATAAGTGAGCTTTTTAGGGTAAAAGAGATGTTCTTTACGCACATCGTGGTTGCCATTGTGTAACTGAATGCATTTACCTAAATCTACCACATCAAACATTTGAAAGGGAGGGGTGAATATTGGTTACATCCAAGCCTTGGTAAGTTATATGTTAAAGAAAATATTAACAGTTATTATTGTTGTTATTGAAATGCGTATTGTTGAGCAATTAACAACTAATTATCTTAAGATAGTATTGGGCTTTTTGATGTAATGCTTCAAAATAAATGTTTCTAATAGAATTCATGATTGACACCAGCTGTCATTTAAACTTACGGTAGGTTTGATAAGTGTGTGACCTCTTTGAATGCAAGACTGACTTTTTCAACTCTTATTAAATAGACTTTTTTTCAAGAGTTTGCATGTCTAATCTGGGCATCCTTCCTCCTTCTTTTTCCTTTCTTTTGAAGCTTTGAGAGAATGTGAAATTTAGTAACCTCCCACTGATAAAGAAGTTTTTTGTTTAATGCACGTTATAGGATGCCTGGGGCCAGCTTCACCCTATGGGAAGAATAAACACAGTAAGTTGAAATTCTCTTTACTTTTAAGTAGTACTTTTGTTATTTAAAGAAGAAAATTGCTTAGTTATATTTAATAATCTGTACTCAAGGACATATGCGGAGAATAAAATGCAATTAAAAAGTGCAAAATCTGTGACATCATTATATCACATTGTCATTAGGGATACAGGTCTTGACATATTGGAAGCATTTGTTATTTTCAGTGTCAGTTATGGAAAATAGCATTGTCAATCTAGAAAATTTTTGCTGCAATCCCTTTCATAGATATAATAAGGTGCATACTAATGGTTTAACTTTTAAGCACTGTATTAGTCACAGTTGTCCAGATAAATAGAGTCAATAGGGAGTGGAGAAAGAGAGAGAGAGAGAGAGAGAGAGAGAGAGACAAAGAAAGAGAGAAAGAAAGAAAGAAAAAGAAAGAAAGAAAGAAAGAAAGAGAAAGAGAAAAAAAAAGAAAAGGAAGATTTATTTAAGTAATTGGCTCTCTTGATTGTGGAGGGCTGGCAAGTTCAAATTGTGCAGGGTAGACTTGCAGGATTGAGATCCAGGGAAGAGTTGATGTTGCAGCTTCACTTTGAAGACCGTCCTGGAGGCAGAATTCCCTGTTCTTGGAGGTGCAGAGGGGATCAGTCTTTTCTATCAAGACCATCAACTGATTAGATGAGGCCTACACGCATTCTGCAGAGCAACCTGCTTTACTCAATGTCTACTCATTTAAATCTTAACCTCATCTACAAAGTACCTTCACAAGAGCATGTAGACTGGTGTTTTACCAAATAGTCAAGTTGCCACATAAAATAAGTCCTCACAAACACTTATCATAAATTTGCTGAAATTAACTTACAATGTATGCAGTAGATTTTTAAATAATAATATTATTAATAGTCTACAATAATTATAAAGTATGAATTTATATTTTTATGAAGACAATTTAGACAAATGTGGTTGCATTTCTAACTTGTCAGCACTGTTCACAGTAGCCAAAATTTGGAAGCAACCTAAGTGTCCATCAACAGATAAATGGAAAGCATGGAAGGAATTGGAGGTCATTATGCTAACAGAGAGACCTTCTTTATCACTATTTAGCATTGTTCTGCTGACCTTTTGATAATTTCTACATTTTGGTCATAAAGTCTTTTAATCATTGAGTAGGAAATAATCAAAAGTTAGAAGCCTTAGAATATGGAAGTGTGTAGCCTAGAAATACACGTTTGGGTGACTGTTTAATGAGGGCTTGTTTAGAACACTACATAAACATTATTTTTGCCAAATATTATATATAATATATATACAATACCAGTAGATAGCAAATCTATCTATCTATATATAATAACAGTATATATTGGTGTATATATATATATATATATATAAAACCAGTAGGTAGCAAATATATGTATTTATAAGTGTGCTATATATAGCAAATATATATATTTGTATGGTTGTATGTCTATCTTGCTATATATATGTATATATTTGCTATCTAATAGCAAATATATTTGTATATTTGCTATCTAATAGCAAACATATTTGTATATTTGCTATCTAATAGCAAACATATTTGTATATTTGCTATCTAATAGCAAACATATTTGTATATTTGCTATCTAATAGCAAATATATTTGTATATTTGCTATCTAATAGCAAATATATTTGTATATTTGCTATCTAATAGCAAATATATTTGTATATTTGCTATCTAATAGCAAATATATGTATATATTTGCTATCTAATAGCAAATATATTTGTATATTTGCTATCTACTGGTATAACATATTGCAAATATATCTATATACTTGCTATCTACTGCTCATATATATATTACATATTTGTATATAGAGATATATAAAATCAGACTTGTTAAGATGAAGTCCAAAGCATATACAGAGCAAGGAATGTTTTGATGCATTGCGTAGCTGCTTCAAATTTTATTAGAGATTTAGAAAAGTTCAAAGCAAGCATTCACTAAAAGTTTGCATATGACTGCATCGATTTTCCCAGTTATGTTAAAATTAATCAGTTGCATTTTTCACACACACACAATCATGACAAACATTTTCTACTGTTCCACCTTCCATGCACAAGTGTAAGGATGGTTTCATGGAAATAGTTGAAATTCTCAGTTTGCCTGTCCTTTGCACAAACTCTTGGGATTATGAAAAATCACAACTATTTCCCTTGGTCCACTTGATTGCCAGGTTTCTTATACAAATAATGCTGTAGGTGGAATGCTGTATTTGGTTAGCTCTGATTCAAAGACTGAGTTTCAGAGCACTTTCCAGCATCTTCGAGACTCTACTTCTATCCCTCCCTGTTTTCTTTCAACAGCCTGAAAAAAAACTAAGAGTTGTAAACTCTAGAGATTTTCAACAGTGGCTGCATTAAGATTCTGCACTGAACATTCTTTTGTACTCTAGGAGGTTTGGCAGCATCCCTTGCTTTTACCCAGTAGATCCCTCCATTCTGACAACCAAAGATGTCTCTGGAATTGCCAAATGTCCCATGGAGGGGAGAAAATCACCCCCAAATCTGAGGTACTATGATGGATGCTACATCAGTTATTTCTTCTAAAATGATTAGACAACAGTCTGTGACAGTCAGCGTATCAGTCCATTTTCTCAGTGCTATAAAGAACTACCTGAGACTGGGTAGTTTATGAAGAAAAGAGATTTAATTGACTCACAGTTCCACAGGCGTACAGGAGGCACGACTGGGAAGCCTCAGGAAACTTACAATGACGGTGGAAGGCAAAGGGGAAGTAGACATGTCTTACCATGGCGGAGCAGGAGAGAAGGAGATAACGAAGAGGGATGTGCCATACACTTTAAAATAAACCATCAGGTCTCGTGAGAGCTCAATGATTATCATGAGAATGGCGTGGGGGAAAATCCTCCCCCATGATCCAATCACCTCCCACCATGTCCCTCCCTCAACTTTGGGAATTACAAGTCAACTTGAGATTTGCGTGGGGACACAGAGCCAAACCATATCAGTAAGTATTCAAAAATACTTGCTGAATAGTTGCTACTATTTATTAAACTTCTACCATGTCTTCAGGATAGCAATAGATGAAAGCCTCGTTTCCACTAGGGGAATGAGAAAACAAGCTTGAGAAAGAAGCTGGTTGCAGAGGCCAGATCTATATTTTCATTTTCCAATAGAGGAGGTTGAGCAGCTTCTTTCTATGCATGGCTTTAAAATTCCCATGTCATAGTCCCTGAACCAGACCTCAGCCCATTTAATTAGCTTTGGGCACTGCACATCTGCTGGCCCAAGGCCTTTAATAAATAGCAGGTGATGATGATATTTCTGTTGCTTGTGTGGAAGATACAAGGGAACCAATTCTTTCAATGCATGGTTCTGTCGTGGTAACAGAGGCAATTTGAGAGACGCATTAACTTTTTCAGGCCATTAAGGTATTTTATGGGAAATGACTTCGACCGACGGTGCCCCAAATGGTCATCTGGTGGCCTCATCCAGTTAATGCAACTTCCAAAATTACCTCCTCCGCAGGAGTCCATCGGGAGCACTCAAGGTGAGCAGCTGATAACGTCAGAGTGAAGCCAGGGTACACTGTGCATCTGCGTCTTTTTCCAGGCTCTCTCAGGTCCCCAATGGACACAGAGGTGCAGTTGGTCCATCATGCATAGGGGACTCTGCTCCTCAGGACCCATGATGATCCCAGTTCTCTCCCTTGAACCACAATGTCACTGCCCTGCCCTATACAACAACTCTGATATCTGCATCTCCTATGCTCTTGGGAAGGAAGGATGTGTCAGAATAAAAGTAGCTGCAAATTGTGGTGCATCATCATTAAGTATTCATGAATGATGAGATGCTGTTCCATGGGAATTTGAAGACATAGTGATACAGAATTCCTAAAGGATGTGTTTCAGAATGAAGAAAACATCAAGTAACATTCATATCTTTTGTGCAGACTTCATTGCAGAATTGTACTCACAGAAACAAGGCACTCTTCCTCCATGTATTTTTCAGCTTTGAAATCATGCCCTTTAGTTTAAGCAGTCATTTCATCATATCATCAGCAAATTTGCCTTCTTATGGTAGGTCAAGAGTTAAAAGTTAGGGTTGGTATCATTACTCTTAACTACCCTGAAGCAAGGGGCATGGTTCTCTCATATGAATTACCCTTATAAATACATCACTGCATTTCTTTTTAAATGTTCTTTAAAGTGGGTTTCAGGAAATCTTGTAAATAATTCTGCATGCAGAATTCTTCTGGGTGTCTTTTTTTTTTTTTTTTTTTTTTTTTTTTTGGTTTGTTTGTGAGACAGTGTCTCATTTTGTCACCGAGGAGGGAGTGCAGTGGCGAAATCATGGCTCACTGCAGCCTCCACCTCCTGGGCTCAAGTGTTCTTCCCACCTCAGTCCCCCAAGTAGCTGGGACCACAAGGCGAGAGTCATTATGCCCGGCTAATTTTTGTATTTTTTCTAGAAACGTGGTTTTGCCACATTGCCCAAGCTGGTCTCAAATTCCTGAGCTCAAGAGATCCTCCTGCCTCAGCCTCCCAAATTGCTGGGTTTACAGGTGTCATTCACTGTGTCTGGCCATTTATTTATTTTATTTATTTATTTATTTTTTGGCCAGCCTCACCCCCTAGCGTAGACACTATAGTTTCAACAATGGAGTATAGTTTTAAGACTAGGTATAGTTTTAACACTAGAGTATCATTTTGCCTGTTTCTAAATCTTGTAGAATTGAAACCATACAGAATATAATTTTTTGTAAGTGGATTCTTTCATTATGTGCACGAGACTCCTTCATTTTGTATGCAGTTGGGTGTAATGTAAAATCTTCTAATATATATGAATTTACAACTTTTTTCCATTCTGATATTGATGGGAGTTTCTGTTGTTTCCCGTGTCTGGTTTCTTTCTGATATATGGCTATTTTGAAGAACTGCTGCTAAGCAGATTCTTATGCATGTGTTCTGGTAAATGTATGTATGCATTTCTAGTGAGTACATACTTAAGGGTGGAATTTCTGGATCATAAGGCATAACAAAAGTTTTACACAGTGCCTGCGCCATATAACACTTCCTCCAGCTATGTAAAAAAGTGGATCTACATTCTCATTAACACTAGATATTTCCTGACATTCTATTTTTAGTCTTTGGTAAGAGTACAGTGGTATTATATTTTGTTTTTAATTCCATTTTCTTAATAATGAGTAACGTTGAGAACCTGATTACAGTTTTGTTGTTCATTTAAATGTTCTCAGTAAAATTAAAATGTCTGTTTTTTCATGAAGTGTTTAATAGAGGGTGATGGATCAATAGATGGATGGATGAATAGACAGAAAGGCAGACAGACAAATAGAAGAGATGGATATAGATAAATGATAGTTGAATAGATGAATAGATCAATTAGATAGATAGATGATAGGTAGATATAACTGATAGATTATATAGATAGATGATAGAGATGATAAACATGATAAATAGATGATAGATAAATATGATAGACAGATATGAATCCTTTGTTGGATATATTTATTGTACTTATATTTTTCATTCAGTGGATTCTATTTTTAATTCCTTCATGGTATCTTGTGTTAGATGGAAGAGTTTAATTTTGTTTTATTCCAATTGATCAATGTTTCCTTCTATAGATAGAAAGATTTTATCCTAGATAAATATTTTTGCTTAATTAGTGTCATGAAGATATTTTCTGTTTTTTTCCTAAAATCATTATTATTTCATATTTTGCATTTAGGTGTACAATACATCTAGAAAGAATTTGTGTAAGTGATATTAACTGTCAGTAAAGATGCGTATTTCCTCATACAGACGTCCAATTGAACTAGCACCATTTATTGTAAAGACCGTATTCCATATTACAGAGTTATGTCTGGTACTGCATATCTTTGAGTATTGTTCTTCAGTTTCAAGATATCATAGCTATGCATTTTCCTTTATATTTCCATAAAAGTTTTGCTATCACTTTGTGGGTACATATTAGATTGTATATATTAGTAACAAACTATTGAGATTTTTATAGTGATCATGCTAAATCTATAAATTTGATAAGAAATGACATCCTTATTCGCGAACATGGTACATTTTTCTGATTTTGATTTTTAATTCCTCAAAATAATATTCTGCAGTGTAGAGTGCAAATGACTAGCACATCTCATTAAAATTATTTTCAAATATATGATATGTTTGATATTTTAACAAATTTTTTCACTATTGAATTTATATTGACTTGCTTTTCTGCCATATAAAAATTTTTATATTGCTTTGTGCCTGGAAACTTTTCTAAATTTTTTAAAATGGTATATCTATAGATTCTTTTGAATTTTCTATGTGGGCAATGATGACTTCTATGAATAATAGATTTCATTTTGAAACATATATAAATATACTAGTTCTGAATAAGGTAAGTATTCTTTTTATTAATTCAGAAATATTTCTATTATATATTCATTCTGATGCCATATATATATACACACGTATATATACATATACACATATATATGACTTGTGTGTGTATCTGCAGATCAGAAGTTCTGTATTACAACTATTCAGCTGGATCATGTGTCGTGAAGGCACATAAGCAGTCATTGAAATTGCATGTCAATACTGTCTCAGGGTGTGGATTTTTTCTAATAAAACATTTTTTTTTTTCGCAGAAGCAGGCAGGGAGCTGGCCTGAGGCCTATAGTTTGCCCAATTTTGGCTTAAACCCACTGATATAGTACAAAAAAATTAGTCTCCAAAAATCAGTCCAATGTGCTTGCATAATAAAGCAAACTATGAAAATAAGATGAAATCTATTAAATGGACAGAAACAGAGAAAATATTTGAAATCCAAATTTATTCTGAAAAAATTTTATATAACTATGGTTTCATTGATCATGATAAATATATACACGCCAACAATTAGCAATATCAGAAGGGAAACACAGGCTATCTTTGCAGATCCTACATGCATTAAATACACTAAATAATCAAATGTGATGACCTACATGAAACACACACCTTTTAAACAGTTGTCAAAATAATTACAGCACATGCATCAAATCAAGCCCATGGTCCATTTTTGTTTGCTCCTTGAGCTAATGATGGTTTTTGCCTTTTGGATAAATTATATACAAAAAGAGAGAGAGAAAGGAAAAAAGAAATATGCATATATGACCCAGACCATATTCAGCCCGAAAAGCTCACCTCTGCTTTAAAACCATCAAATTATCAAAGAAAGATTCTATAAGAAAGAAAAACTCTCACACACTATTCATAGGAATGTCAGTTAGTACAGCCACTATGGACAACAATACGGCAGTTCCTCAAGAAACTAAGAATAGAACTACCATTTGATTCAGCAATCCTACTACTGGCCATTTATCAAAATAATAAGAAACAATTATGTCAAAGGACTACCTGCACTCTCATGTTTATTACAGCACTATTCACAACAGCAAAGATATGGAATCAACCTATGTGTCCATCAGTGAGTGAATGGATAAAGAAAATGTTGCGTATGTACACATGGAATACTATTCAGCCGCAAAAAAATGGATTCTGGTCCTTGGCAGCAACATGGATGAACCTACAAGATACTTTGTTAAGTGAAATAAACCAAGCACAGAAGGGCGAATGCTGCATGGCCTCACTTATATGGGGAAACTAAAAAAGTTGAATTCATAGAAGCAGAGAATAGAACAGTAGTTACCAGAGACTAGGCAAGAGAGATGGGAAGGAGAGAGATTGGTCACTGGGTACGAAGTTACAATTAGACAGGAAAAATAAGTCCTGCTGTTCTCCTGCACAGTAGGGTGACTATAGTCGACAGTAATGCATACTGTACTTCAGTATATCTAGAATAGGGCCGGGTGGGTGGCTCATGCTTGTAATCCTAGCATTTGGGGAGGCTGAAATGGGTGGATCACTTGAGGTTAGGAGTTCGAGACCAGCCTGGCCAACAGTGCAATAGTTATTTCTTTGCAAAGAGTAATATAACATAAACTTCCCATAAGACTATCCCAGAAATAGAGATGGCCCCATTAATAAACTGAGAAACCAAAGGTAACATTGTTTTACACTAAGCTATATTAAAAGAACCCATGTACAAATACATGCTTATTTAATAAAAATCTAGATGACATGGGCAAATTCTTTTATAATGTAACAAAAAATAACAATTAAAGAGTAGAACCTCAAGGCTGGGCGCAGTGGCTCACGCCTGTAATCCCAGAACTTTGGGAGGCCGAGGCAGGTGGATCACCTGGGGTCAGGAGTTCGAGACCAGCCTGGCCAACATGGTGAAAAACCCTGTCTCTACTAAAAAATACAAAAATTAGCTGGGTGTGGTGGCACGGGCCTATAGTCCCAGCTACTCAGGAGGCTGAGGCAGGAGAATCGCTTGAACCTGGGAAGTGGAGGTTGTAGTGAGCTGACATCGCACCACTGTACTCCAGTCTGGGTGACAAAGTGAGACTGTGTCTCAAAAAAAAAAAAATCTAGAAAAGGAAATTTGGAATGACAAGTATTGGAGGTGATGGATGTGCTAATTACCCTGATTTGATCATTACACAATGTCTATATGTGTGAAAACATGACACTGTACCCCATTAATATGTCCAACTATTATTTGTTAATTAAAAACAAAATAAAACTTTTTAAAGCCTCCCCAAAAGAATCTTCAGGGCAGGATAAATGGAAAGAATAAAATTTAATAGCCAGTATCCTTGTCTCATTTCAGATATTCATGAAACAGCTTTCACTAATAAATTATTAAGAATAATTTTAGTCTTACTGGTATTGGAAATATAGTTTGTCTGCTGAAAGGGGTGTTCTCATTCATAGCATTGTGAAGAGTTTTATTAGAAATCAGTAATGGGTCTTATCAAGTGCTTTATCTAAACTACTAAGATGATCATATAGTTGTTTATTCCATTGTGCAGGGAATTATATTGAGGATTTTCAAATGTTAAATCAACCCTGTATTTCTGCAATAAACTTCAGTTAAACAAGATGCATTATTTATCTTATGTACCATAGATTTAGTTTGCTAATATTTTATCTACATTTGCCTTTCTGGATATGGTAGATATCGTATTTAATTCAATTTCCAGATTTGTTATTAGGTTAATGCTGTTCTCATAAAATGATTGGGAAGGTTTTCTTTCTTTTTTCATTCTCTGCAAGAGTTTGTTTATGCTGTTTCTTCAGAAAATTTTTGGATGAATTCAGTATTGTGTCCATTGTGTTTGGAGATTTTTTTGTGAAAGATCTAAAATAGTGAATAATTTAAAAAAGTTAATAGGGGTTATTGAGTTTCTACTCTTTGTTTTTTGTTGTTGTTGCTGTGTTTGTTTGTTTGAGACAGTTTCTCTCTTGTTGCCCAGGCTGGAGTGCAATGGCACGATCTCAGCTCACTGCAACCTTTGCCTCCCAGATTCAAGCAATTCTCCTCCCTCAGTCTCCCGAGTAGCTGGGATTACAGGCATGCACCACCACGCCCGGCTAATTTTTTGTATTTTTAGTAGAGACAGGGTTTCACCATGTTGGCCAGGCTGGTCTCGAACTCCTGACCCCGGGTGATCCACCTGCCTCGGCGTCCCAAAGTTCTGGGATTACAGGCGTGAGCCACTGCACCCAGCCTTGAGGTTCTACTCTTTGTTATTTTTTGTTACATTATAAAAGAATTTGTCCATGTCATCTAGATTTTTATTAAATAAGCATGTATTTGTACATGGGTTCTTTTGATATAGTTTAGTGTAAAATGATGTTACCTTTGGTTTCTCAGTTTATTAATGGGGCCGTCTCTATTTCTGGGATAGTCTTATGGGAAGTTTATGTTATATTACTCTTTGCAAAGAAATAACTTATTGCACTGTTGATTCACACTATTATTTGTACTGCTTATTATTTGTTTAATGTCTCCTGTGAAGTACAATATATATTCTCCCTTTTGCTTTGTTTGCATTCTATTTGCTGGAATTTCTTCCACATGCATGATTTAGATAATTCATACTTGTTTTTCAACTTTTCTTTTTTCTCATGTATGTATTAACATCCATACATTTTCACTAAATTCAATTGGAATTTCATAACACCTGCTTGGACACACTTTATTTTTTATTATTATATAGTTCTAAGTTTTTTTTCTAAATTGCAATGTAATTTCTTCTTTGACCAGTAAGTTATCTGGAAATGTATTGCTTAATTTTCAAATAATTGGGTATTTTGTTTTGTCCAGTTGATTTCTAAATTAATTTTACTGAGACCAGGGACCATTCACTGTGAATTCAGCACTTTGAAAATTGCCTAACCTTAAATTATGTTCCAGCATATTATCAAATCGGGCAGACGTTTCAAGTATTGTTAAAATGAGTGCATACTAACCAATTTTATTAATTGTATTGTTAAAGTTGTCTTTATCTTACTGGGGATTTTTGCTAAATTTATATCAGTTTCTGCATTCAGTATCACTCACTCTGATTTTGGATATCTCTATCTTTTCCTTTGTTTCTGTCAATCATATTTTTGGAGCTTTGTCATTTGCATACATATGCATTAAAATCATTATGTCTGTAATGGATTTCTTTATGAAACCTTATTTTTTGGCAATTCTGCTTTCTAGTCTACATAGAATAACATTAGGATAATTATTCCAATGTGGCTTGGTTAATGTTTACATGATATTAAACATATTTTTCTATTCTTCTACTTAAAATATTCTGTTACCTCTGTGCTTAATATGCCTCTCTAGTAAGTAACATATAATAATATTTTACTTTGTAATCTAGTCTGAAAATATTTCAAATATTGAAATATTAGATGACTAACATCTAGCATAATTACTGACATATTTGAACTAAACATATGACATACGTATTGTATTACTATTTCTTTTTTCTATTATTTGTTTTATTGTAGCATTATTGTTTTTTCCCTGCCTGTGCTTTGTTTCTTCTTCTGCTGCCATACCGTCTTTCAATAATTTTCATTTTTTTCTCAAAGTTCTTATTCATATTTTTTCAGCCATTTACTAGTTTGTTTTGCAGGGGTTTTACCATTATTTAACTAGATATTATTGAAATTAAAATGTACCTTCTTATGTTGCTGAAGTCAACATAAGAATTTTATGTCAACATAAAAATTATAAATTTATAATTTTTCCCACTTCCCTGAACTTGCATGGATTTAGAACACTTCGACTTAATAAACGTTAATCTATTCTTCTGTCATCATGCATTTTTAAAGAGAAATTTAACTCACAAACCATAAATGTCACTATTTCAAATTGCACAATTTAGTAGCTTTTACTATATTCACAATGTTGTGCAATCAGCACCGCTCTCTAGTTCCAGAACACTTTTCGTTATCCCAAAGAGAAACCCAATAACCGTTAGCAGCCAATTCCCATTTACTTTTCCCCAGTCTCTGGTAATCAGTAATCTACTTACTCTCTGTGGATTGGCCTTTCCTGGACATTTCGTATAAACAGAATCATGTAATATATGGCCTTTTGTGATTTTCTTCTTTTGCCTCATATAGTGTTTTCAAGTTTCATCCATGTTGTAGCATGTATTGGTGCTTTGTGCCCATGTATAGCTGAATAATATTCCCTTGCGTGGATAGACCCCCTTTTGTGTGGGCATTCATCCATCAATAGACACTTGAGTTGTTTCTACTTTTTGGGTCTCATGAACAATGCTGCTTTGAACATGTGTGCAAATCTTTTGAGTGGATACTTTCATTCTTCTTTGAGTAAAACTGCTTGTTCATGGGGTAACTTTATATGTAACACTAGTTCTGAATTTTTGCAGCCTGATGGTGAGCAATGGAGGAGGTGAAAGTATTGGGAAGGACTATGAGGCCAGAAACCACCACTATTCAACATAAACTCAAGTATTTGACTGGAAGAACAGAAATGGGTCATGCTACCTATCCAAGTTGACTTTTTCAATCTGTTTCTACTAACAAGGAGTTCTGCATTTTTCTTTTTCTTCTAAGTTTTATATATATATATATATATATATATATATATATATATATATATATCCTAACGAACATGTTCCTATATACATAATAACATTACTCTCAAGAATGAGAGCAATGTTTTTTGTTTTTCATTATAGGTTTAAACAATTATAATCATGACTGTATATTGATATTGATATATAGATATTAAATATACAATCATAATTATATAATTGATTATATCAATTATAATCATGACTTGATATTTCTATGTATTTCTTTTATCCAAATCACTGACTATAATTTAAAAATGAATTGTTTCTTAGATGATCTTTTTACCTTTTCTAGGAATACTCCTTTATCATGTTCAAATATTTGGCATCTATAGCTTAGAGACAGATATTAATCAGTGATGAATGTGACATAGTTTTTATTTGCATCCATATTAAGCCAGATTGCTTGAATTAATTCACTAAATCATTAGTCTCATTGGTACCAAAGACATAGCAAATACATTCCCAGAAATATAGATAGAACCTCAAACACACACACACACACACACACACACGTACACATAAACACTCAATCCATTATACATATGTTAAAGTAGTTGTATGAATTCTCTTTTTTTTGCCTAAATATTTTAATTAGGTAATGCTTAATTTGTTTTGTACAAAGTGATGATAGATCAGTGATTAAACTCATAATTCTATGACATACACAAGTGACCCTTTTAAACACCAATAGTTACAGACATAGATATAATTAATTAGGTATTACAACTAAGAACACCCATGATGGGTTCAGAGAGAACTTGGCTCCACCTTAAATTCATGCACATTATGTACTCATTTCTAGTTATTAATTCATTTCCAAATCTCCACATGTTAAAAACAAAAACACAATAACAAGTTTCTGTTTTATCTTTTCTTTGTGTCATATAACTTCTCCCTCTGGAATCGAGTCACTTCTTATCCTATCATTCAAGCATCAGGACATCAAGATTGTTTAATAAATCATTAAAATTTGATTCCAAATTAATTCTAGAAATTAATTTTATTAGAAATTAAAATTTTTTATTAGAAATTTCTCATTCTGTATCTGAGTAGACGTTTTAAAAATGTGACCATATTTTATTTAAAATATGACTATTATAGTTAATTGATTTTTTTTTTTTTTGAGACAGAGTTTCACTCTTGTTGCCCAGGCTGGAGTGCAATGGCACGATCTCAGCTCACTGCAACCTCTGCCTCCCGGGTTCAAGCGATTCTCCTGCCTCAGCCTCCCGAGTAGCTGAGATTATAGGCCCCCACCACCACGTCCAGTTAATTTTTGTATTTTTAGTAGAGACAGGGTTTCACCATGTTTGCCAGGCTGGTCTCGAACTCCTCACCTCAGGTAATTCCACCTGCCTTGGCCTCCCAAAGTGCTGGGATTACAGGTGTGAGCCACTGTGCCTGGCCCTATTGATATCTTAATATTTTAAATGAGCCATTATCATTCTTTCTTTATATCTGTCTGATGAGGTATGCCTTTTAGGTTGTTAAAAATGGTCTGTACTCTCTAAGTAATAATGTATACCCTGACTGTAAATCAAGTCTCACTGAATGAGCTACATTTAGGCTAAATAAATACATAAGGTCCTGGGAGTTCAATTACAATATAATGCAGATTATCTGGCCCAATCGCTGATCGTAATTTACAAGACAGTGATTAGAAATCAAAAGCAAACATGTTGCAATAATTAAATTTTAAATGGTTTTAACAATTTTTAACTTCCATTTTGATTATGTTTTAAATAGAATTGTCCATTTAACTATGAGTGGATTGCCATGCTTGCTTTTATGAACTTTTATCCTGAAAAGAAGTTTAAAACAGACATCCCAAAAATGGAGTCTGGGACAAAAACCTCCAGATTGGGGTAGGTTTTAGATGAATGATTAAGAGCAAAATATCAGCTAAACTTTAATGGCAGGTGACAAATGAGTACAACTTAAAATTGTTCTTGTCAAGTTCATATATAGCTCATTACTTTCTAGCCTTTATTTTTCCCCTGCCAGATCTTGAAGAAAAAGCTTAATTTAAAAATGGCATGGATAATTTTGTATTCGTTCCTATTACCATTTCTCTCTGTAAAACCATTGATTTATTCTTTGCTCTGCTTTTCAAAAATTATTCTTTAAAAATCATTTTATAGGCTACTTAAAAGTTATCACAACTCAGTGCTATTTATAAGATACACAGCAGCCTTAGATAGAGATGAAAATTCTCTTAGTTTTTATTAGATTGAAGGAGTAACTCCACACTGAGACAGATGCTGTAATTCAAAGCAGTCCCTTGAGCTATGAAAACTTGTATGACATGAAACCATTAAAAACTCAAAGTACTTTTGAAACTTAGAAATTTTTTCTTTTTTTTTGCCAGGCTTGGTGGTATGCATGTGTAGTCCTAGCTATACAGGAGGGAGGCTGAGGCTGGAGGACTACTTGAGCCCAGGAGTTCAAGACCAGCCTACACAGCATAGTAAGAACCTGTCTTTAAAAAAAAAAAAATTAAAAGCAACAAAACTTTTGATTTTTGTATGATGACGTTAGTATGCTGACTTACAAGAGTAGATCATTCTAATATGTATGATATAGGCTTTCAAAGCTGGTACTGTTCTATGCTTCAAATATTATTTTCATTCATTGGGTCTCATGGGATTTCATCGCTGAGTTATAAATCAATAATCATAATGTTGAGAGGAAGGGATTACAAGATAGCTCTTCAAAGTCATCTTTGCATTTCATGTTAAACGTCATTCCCTTTTGGACTACAATGAAAAACATTGAGTTTGTTTACTTTGAAAATGAGCCTTAGTCTATGAATGCCTGGGTAGGGTCAAGAATGAAAAATGAGAGGAACAGAGAAGCATCAGGCAGATAAAAAGATAAATCTCACAAAACTTGCTATTTTTAAAAAGCATCATTCTTATTTTGAAATGAACAAAATGGGGACAAAATCAGAGTAATGGAATAGTAGGATGTCTTATGCACAAAAGCAATACATTTCAAGGATGATCTAAAACAATTTATTAGTTATAGGAAGAAATATACCTGAAAAGTGCAAAAACAAATTGGGTTTGGCCTCTTGTCACTGAAATGATCTACTAAATCTAACAGCATCTATGTTCCTTTAGCCATTGTGTATATTGTATACAAATGTGAAACCATAACTCATATTTTACTTATAATTTCTTATAAATAACTGGCTATGAAGGCTTGCATGTCATTTCTGTAGACCTTATAAGTCTAACTCAAAGGAATTTTCCAAGAAAAATGTTGAGATATATGGTTATACATTTGCATATATAATTATATGCATATGCCATATATATGTATGTATATGAATAATGAACACATATGTAATTTGACATTAATTTCTCTAAAATACAATACTCAGGGATTACTAATTTTTATAGGTTTCTTAAAAAGTAGTTGTAAGTTTTGAAACTCTATGTTCTATATGGTTATTCAGTTATTTTATCACTATTTATCAGACATTCTTTTCCCATTAAATTTCTTGGGCATTCTTGCCAAAAATCAGTATACTATATAAATGAGGATCAATTTATGTCCTCTTTATTTTTATCCAGTGGTAATTTGCCTTCGTATAGGATAATAACAGGCCCTCTTAATTCCTGATGTTGACAGTAAATTCTGGAATTACACAGCCTCTTACATATGCAATTCTTTTTCAACATCACGTGCCTCTTCTTGGTCCTTACATTTCCAGATAATACTTAGATTATACTTGACCATTTCTGCTTCAAAAGCCTGGCAGTATAATGAGGAAAATTGCATTAAATATATCAATCAATTTGAGAAGGTTTTGTATTTAACAAAGTTAGGTCTTCTAATCCATCCATACACATGGCATATATTCCGATTTATCTCAGCCTTCTTATTTTCTTAGAGCCATGCTACGTGGATTTCAGTGAAGAGATCTTGGATAACTTTTTTTAATATGCTGAACATTTTTTGTTTTTATGCTAAGGTGAAAGTATTTTTTTAAAGTTTTACTTACAATTGCTAGCTGCTAGTAGGTAGAAAAAACGATTTATTTATATTGACTCTGTAAATTGCAACCTTGCTAAGTTCATTTAATGGTTCTGTTATTGATTTTGCACGTTCATTAGGATTTTCTGCATTTGAAAAGCATATTGTCTTTGGATATAGACAATTTCACTCATTGTTTTTTAATCTTTATGAAATGTGCTTGTCTTTCTTGGGTCATTGCAGTGGCTGAGACTTCCAGCACAATCTTGAAGAAATGAGGTGAGAGTGCATGTCCATGCTGAGCTCCCAATCTCAAAAAGGCAGTGTTCCATATTTCAATATAAAGTACAATGTTAGTGTAAGTTTTTAAATTAGGTGGCACTGATCAAATTAAAGAAATTCCAGGCTGGATTATGGGCTCACACCTATAATTCTAACACTTTGGGAGGCTGAGGCAGGAGGATCACTTGAGCCCAGGAGTTCAAGACCAGCTTGGGCAACCTAGTAAGACCCTGACTCTACAAAAAATTTAAAAATTAGTTGGGGATGGTGGCACACACCTGTAGTCCCAGCCACTCAGGAGGCTGAGGCTGGAGGACTTCTTGAGCCCAGGAGTTGGAGGCTGAGGTGAGTTATGATCATACCACTGCACTACCGCCTGGGCGACGGAACGAGATTCTTTCTAAAAAAAAAAAAAAAAAAGAAGAAGAAGAAGAAGAAAAAGAAAGAAATTTGCATTATTCTTACTGTATGTGGAGATTTTATCTTTAATATTTTTGTATCCACTTTGGTACGAAATTATCATTCTGTAATTTACTCTTCTTTGTGATATCTTTGTCAGGAGTTGCTATTAAAATTACGTTGACATAAAATAAGCCTCTGAGTGTTCCTTCCCTATTTTCTGAAATAATTTTTGAAGATGTATATAATTTCAGCAAAAATTGCCAGTGTCAGGAAAATCATTCTGAATCTCTAAATCACTTAAGACATGGGTAAGCACATGGAAAATTATGCTGGGTTATGAGACCTTCCCAATACAAATGAAATCCGGCAAAAGAGATATTTATATTCTAATGTAGTTTCATTGTGGCTGTCTTCTGAGCATGGCCCAGGCTTCTGCTTCTACAGAATCTCTCTTTAGCCTTCAGTCTCCTAATGCAGTTTGTTTAATAATTAATTAGACATTCTGGATGTCCAGGGATGTGACATAGTTGAGTGGTTAAACACATGGAGTTCAGAGATAGAAAGGGAAAGTTTCAAAACCTAGTGTGTCCCTTTGCTAGCTATATTGTCCTGGAAAAGTTATTTAAACACTCTAAGTTAAAGTGGCACTGTCTTTAACACTGGCCTAATAATACCTTCTCAGTGGATTATAATATAAACTGAGTGTGTTAATGCTTACTGAACACAGTTCACAGCCCTTCCCATGGTGAAAGACGGTACTTCTTGCAATTTGGTTCATATTCAGCTGTTTTGATACAGCTATTTGTCTTAGACTTCTTATACTACCCTTACTTTCTGCACAGATTTCTTGTAACAAATAGGTAATTTTATTTATTTATTTTTATTTTTATTTTTTTGAGACGAGTCTCTGTCGTCCAGGCTGGAGTGCAGTGGTGGGACCTTGGCTCACTGCAACCTCTGCCTCCTGGGTTCAACTGATTCTTGTACCTCAACCCCCCAAGTAGCTGGGATTACAGGCGTGTGCCATCAGGCCCAGATAATTTTTGTATTTATGATAGAAATAGAGTTTCTCCATGTTGGCCAGGCTGGTCTCAAACTCCTGACCTCAAGTGATCCGCCCGCCTCAGCCTCTCAAAGTGCTGGGATTAAAGGAGTGAGCCACTGTGCCTGGCCAACAAAGAGGTAAATTAAAATTGTATTAAATATATCAATTTAAAGTGTTTAAGCATGTGTAAGTGTTTCCTGTTTCATCAATACTCAATCTCCTTAGTCCCAAATGAAACAATATGACAAAGTCCAACAATAGCTTCATATAATGAAGTAAAATTAATTATGTTTGAAAACAAAGATAGGCAACAGGGCCAATGCCTTTATAAAATACCTTTGGAATCTGGATTCTGAACGTTATTTTGTGAAACTGTAGTCACCGCTTAAGAAACGTAGTAGCGGTTGCTATTGCTGCCTATTACAAAAACACATGGATCCAATGTAGAAACAAGACACTAAAAGCTACATTTAACATAATTTCAATTGCTAAAATTGGCCTTGTCAAGAACTTGAGTGATCTAAGTTGTATGCATGTCCTTATAGGTCTATAAACCTATTTCTCAATTAAAGAAGAAAGTCGACTGGTTCTTCTTTTCAGTCTTCCCATGTTGACAAGTGAAGTCAAGCATGATATTATCCCTGTTGTTTTGCTTTTCTTTTCTGCAAATATGTTTTCCAATAAATTCTAAAGCAAGTGGTGAGGGAGGCTGACTTCAGCTATTTTATAAAGATTCTCATAACTTATGTTTAATGTGCTGCCAAATGACTTTTTATAAGTGAACAGAAGTTAACTCTTCTGCAATAGTTTCTGCTGGTTATAAAACATCTTCAATTGCACACTTAACACCAACCAACTCATCTTTATTTAAAGAATGCATTCAAGGCTGGGTGTGGCTGCTCACACCTGTAATCCCAGCAGTTTGGAAGGCTGAGGCAGGAGGATTGCTTGAATCCAGGAGTTCAAGACCAGCCTGAATTACATAGCAAGACCCTGTCTATGCAAAAAATTTTTAAAAATTAGGCGTGATGGTGTGTCCTTATAGTCCCAGCTACTTTGGAGGCTGAGATGGGAGGATTGCTTGAGCCCAGGAGGTCATGGCTGCAGTCAGCTATGATTATACCATTTCACACATTGTACTCCAGCCTAGGCAACAGAGCAAGACCCTGTCTAAAAAATAATAATAAAAATAAATAAATACAAGCATTCACCCCTTGACTGTATTTGTCCGTCTGTCTGTCTTGTTTTTAAAGAGACACATTGACGAATTTATAAATGCTGATTCGACTGATATTGATGAGGTTGCCCTGACAACTCTAAAAGCACTGAAAATGCACTGACCCACAGAGCTTCTGTCCTGTTACTTTCCAGCCCTGTAGGACTCTGAAGAGTTTACCCATTAGTTCCCCTGTCTGAGGCAATAACCTCTGAAAATTCCCCCTCATCGATGGAAAGCCATCCTCTTGCCATGCATTTGAAGTCTCTCCTGGTTTCCTCTTAGCACTTGAAAGGGACTTGGGTCTTCTTTGAACTTTACTCCCATTGGTCTTCCCATCAATTATATTCTCCAGGGCATCTTTCGTGACTCAATCCTGCATTCACACTATTTTTGTCTCTGGTCAACATTATCAGCCTTCATTACTTCAGCTTTGCCCCTCTGTAGCTATCCTGGGTTGAAGAGTGCACTCCTAAACTTCATGTGCTCTGGGAACCTCAGAATGTGACTTTATTTGGAAATAGGGTCTTTGCTGATGCAATTAAGATCTTGAGGTAAACTCGTGGGCCCTAAATCCAATGACTAGTTTCATGACACAGAGACAAGAGAAAGAAGAACATGGGAACATGGAGGCAGAGATTGGACTGATGCAGCCACATGCCAAGGAACACCTGCAGCCACCAGAAAATGGAAGATGCAAGAAGCAGCCTCCCCTAGGGCCTTCCATGGGAGCATGACCCTAAAGACACCTTGATTTTGAGCTCCTCAGTTTATTGCAATTTATTCAAGCAGCCCTGGGAAACTAACCCTCTAGCTAGCTCAGCATTCACTTTCTCTATTTCCATCTGCCATTACTCTCTTGAGCTCCAGACCAAAATTTGAACTCTACTCAAAGGATTAAAAGCATCTCAAATTAACATTTTTTTTTTTACTTGTATTTTTGGTTCAGTGGTCCATGTGCAGGTTTGTTACGTAGATAAATTGAACATCACCGGGGTACAGGGTACAGATAATTTTGTCACCCAGGTAATAAGCATAGCATCTGATAGGTAGTTTTTCCATTCTCTCCTTCCTCCCTTCTTCCACCCTCCAGTAGGCCCCGGTGTCTGTTGTTCCCTTCATTGAATTCGTGTGTACTCAATGTTTAGCTCCCACTTATAAGTGAGAGCATATAGTGTTTGGTTTTCTGTTCCTGTGTTACTTTGCTTAGGGTAATGGCCCTCAGCTCCATTCATGTTGCTGCAAAGGACATGATCTCATTCTTGTTTATAGCTGTGTAGTATATATGTGTATATGTACCAGATTTTCTTTATCCAGTCCACTGTTGATGGGCATCTAGGTTGATTCCACATCTTTGCTATTGTGAATCTTGCTGCAGTGAACATATGCATGCATTGTCTTTATGGCAGAAGGATTTATATTCCTTTGGCTATATACCCGATAATGGGATTGGGTGTGATTAACATTCCTAAAGCAAGAGGCATCTTCCTCCTTATCCCAAAAACTGTGTGTTCCTTCAGGGCTTTCTATTTGTAATACTTTTCTTAACGCAGTTTGGAATCCAAGCTAAAACCTCAGCAGAGACTCTGTCCTCATTCTATACTCATATTTATTTGGACCCCAAATTCCAGGGATTCTTGCTTCATAGCTTTCCTCATTTAGATCCCCTCTTTTTCTTGACCATTGCAATTGATCAAGATCACATCAATACTTAAAGAGTGCCAACCCCGGCCGGGCACAGTGGCTAATGCCTGTAATCCCAGCACTTTGGGAGGCTGAGGGGTCAGGAGTTCGAGATTAGCTTGGCCACCATGGTGAAACCCCGTCTCTACTAAAAGTACAAAAATTAGCTGGGTGTGGTGGCAGGCACCTGTAATCCCAGCTACTTGGGAGGCTGAAGCAGGAGAATCGTTTGAACCAGGGAGGCGGAGGTTGCAGTGTTACAGCCTGGATGACAGGGTGAGACTCCGTCTGAAAAAAGAAAAAAGAGTACCACCCCCTAAAAAATATCATCTCTGCATTTTAATCATCCTGCCTGCTGCCAGCACACCCCTCCACAGGCCAGCCCCTTACTGCCCAGAGGAGAAAGTAGAAACATTGTGCCATGTTATATACACAAAAGCCAACAGGTTCTGCTGCCTGACGAATTTTGGGGTCTTGAGTTTTCTTGCTTTGCTTGAGGTTCATGCTGGAATATTCCATCACTCTAATTTGCTTCCAGGCTCCTAAAGAACCCAATCCTTTGCTTTAGCTTTTAAAAATTATATTATTATCAGAAAGTTCCCTTTTTTTCTGGTCCAAACTTCAAAATTCTTAAAGTCCCACCTCAAATGGCATCTCTTTCTTCAAAGTCTTCCCAACTCAACCTCTGTGACAAAATATCTGATCTCTTTCTACTCCTTTGGACCCAATATTCATTTTTCATTTAGCCTTATCCTTGATTTTTCTATTGAGAGCCCTTACACGCTCTTCACTCAGTCGTAATCTAAAATCTCTTGCAGGAAAACAACTCAGACTCATTCATACGTGTTCCCTTGGTGCTCGGCTTAGTGCCAGAGAGTGAACAGATACTAAATGTTTCTGAATCAAAGAGACTCATGCGAGAGTCAGACCACATCTCTGAAATCCAGTTTTCAGTGCAACAAACTATGATTTAATTGCTTTGACCTGGCAGGAAGGAATATTTCCTTTAAACCTCAAACACAGAAGACCTCAAAATTAAAGCTCTTCAAACGCATAAAATGCCTCAGCAATATAACAAACTCAGGGTGATGAGAGTTTTATGAAGAGTCAGAAGAATCATCAGAAACAGAGGGAGTAGATTCTAACATGTGAGGAAGGCTGTGTTATGTAACGTATGGAACATTGGCGGACTTTCAGCTCCTTGGCTGTTCATCTTTGCCTGTGCTGGGTCTCCACATTCTCCTTTTAATTGGAATGTGTATTTGAACAGAAAGTCATTAGAATAGCAACCTGTAGGCTTTGTATGCAAGCCAGTGGTTTTCTTGCCAATTTTACTGCTGAACACTTAAACTTCTAATGGAGAAAAATACTTCTCACTGTGGTGCGAAGTAAGCTATCATAAAGAATAGGTCATTAGTGGTGGCAGTTTCTAGGAGCCGTGGTTATTATCCAAGAATAGAAGATGCTGAGGAAGCCGTGATGGTCTTTAAGGGAACTTATTATTCTCAGTCTGCGACACAGCCAGACTGCCACCTCCAGAACTGTGTACAAAACATCCACCCTTTCTATTTCAATAAAGACAACAAAACACCAAAAGTAGAGCCAGGATTCTTTTGCCAAACCACAAAACTTCTTCACGTCTATGTTTTAAAAAGTATTAGACAGAGGAACATTACATTCCAGAGAGAATCTCCAAGGCTGAATGCCAGTTCATTATTTTTACCATTCTACCATCATAAAAAAAAAAAAAAACAGTGCCTGCTGTTAATATGCTATTGACAGACAGACAGTCGGTGCCAGAAATAACCCTGATGTGAAATTGATGCTCATGTATTATTCATGGTGTCTGGTTTATATTATTTCTGGCACTCATGAGAAAGCAAGGATCATGGCTCCTCTGTAGAATAATTCGGGACTCTTCAAACTCAAAGGATACCTGAGAGAACAATGTCAAACACCGAAACACAAGCAGAGGTCTGATGGAGTTGTGCAGTTGTCAAAAGAAAAAAAAAAAAAAAGCAGGAAATGTACTCATTATGCTAAGTTGCTAGATGAAGCAGGAAGGGGCATAATGTTCCTTGCTCCTCTTAAAAATATCCAAAGGGACAGGGAGGTTTACCATAATGATGTCAAAAAAAAGCCCTGATATACCCCTATAACAATGTTACTTTGACGGTCATCTAGAAAATGCACCAAAGCACTAGATGTCAGCCAGGAGTGCAGCACGGTGAAAACAGAAAGGGCTCAGGCTTGGTTTCAAAGACCACATGGGTGAGCCACTACTTGCATGACCTTGAAAAATCCCATCACCTGCTTCCTCATGTGGAAAACTGGGGAAATGGTCGTACCTAGCAGGGCTGATAGATGGTTTAATGGGGCACCTAAGTTAGTACTGGGGAAATTGCAGGTAATAAATGGCCATCTATCTTCTCTCTGTCCGTCAAGGCATGTGCAGACTTCAGGGAAACCTTCTTAGAATGCAGGAGGAGGGTCTAAAACTTTTATTATAAGAGGAAGTACCTATCCTCAGATGTGTTTGACCTTGTATGGTGAAATGATGGACTCTAAAAGACACAGCAATTTCTAAAGCTCTTCTTTGTTAGAAATGGTATAATCTTGAAGCATTCTGCACTGGCAATCAATTTAGGTTTCAACTGACATCAAAACGTGGATGATGAGTGAGAAAAATCTAAACTTCCTTCTTGACTCTGGTTCTTATCAGAATGATGACTTTGAATGGACCTCTCCTGTTCTGCTTATCAGACGTAGCTCTCTCCAGCAAAGGAGCATGCAGTTGGAAGTGTTGGCCACCTGTTCTCATGAAAGTGCCTTCTATCTCGGTTTTGTAGCTTGCATTCTGCTAGGCAACATTTTGCCTGCTTCATCTCAGGGTTCTTTGATTTCTCTCTCTCCGTGTCTAGATTTCTCCTCCTAATTTCCCAGCACACAGCTCAAATGTATGACCAACAACGAACACATTAGTTCCCCAAAAGTTCTTTTCCTGGAGTATTCATCAATTGATTAAAGTTAGCATTACCCACCCAGTCCTTGTAGGAAGAGACTTCAGCAGCCTTGCCCTTTTTGGTTTTCTCTGAATCTAATTCTCACTTTTTTTTTTTTTTTTGCGACAGTCTTTCTCTGTCACCCAGCTCACCGTAGCCTCAACCTTCCAGGCTTAAGCAATCCTCCCAACTCAGCCTCCTGAGTAGCTGGGACTACAGGTGTAAGCCACCACACCTGGCTTATTTTTTTATTTTTTGTAGAGATGGGGTTTCACTCTGTTGCCCAGGCTGGCCTCAAACTCCTGGCCTCAAACCATCTGCCTGTCTCAGCCTCCCAGAGAGCTGGGATTACAGGTGTGACCCACCGTGCCCAGCCAGATCGTAACATCTGATTACTTATTAAAGCCATCCCTTGTTCTCTGTTCCCACATGATGACGTTCCTTCTGTCCATTCCATCTGTATTAGTTTCTAGAGCTACAGAAACAATGTTCCACAAACTTGGCGGCTTCAGTCAAGATTAATTTATCTTCTCACAGTTCAAGCCACCACAAGTCAGAATTCAAGGTGTTGGCAGGTCTGTACTGTCTCTGAGAGCTCTATCAGAGAATACTTTCTTGACTCTCCCAGCTCTGCTGGTTTCTGTCAATCCTTGGGCTGTGGCCACATCACTGCAACCTCTGCCTAGATCATGACTGTGTGTCTGTGTCTTTTCCTCCCTATGTGTGTTGTTCTCTGTGCCTACTTTTCTTCTCTTCTGTTTTTTTTCTTTTCTTTCTTTCCTTTTTTTTTTTTTTTTTTTTTTTTTTGAGACAGTGTCTCTCTCTGTTGCCCAGGCTGGAGTGCAGTGGTGCCATGTCAACTCACTGCAACCTCTGCCTCCTGGGCTCAAGTGATCCTCCCATCTCAGCCTCCTCAGTAGCTGGGACTACAGGCGTGCACCACCACACCTGGCTAATTTTTGTATTTTTTGTAGAGACAGGGTCTCACCATGTTTCCCAGGCTGGTCTGAAACTTGTGAGCTCAAGCAATCCCGCCCTGGCCTTCCAAAGTACTGGGATTGTGGGGATAAGCCACCATGCCCAGCCTCCTCTTCTTATAAAGACACTAGTCATACAGGATTAAGTTCCCACCCTACTGCACTATGACCTTGTCTTAACTTACATCTTAATTACATCTGCAAAGACCCTATTTTCAAATGAGGTCACATTCACAAGTACTAGAGATGAGGAATTCAACATATCTTTTTGAGGGAGACAAATCAATTTCTAACAAATGAATAAATTGGTATCACTGACTTACTTTTCTCCAAATTCAATTTCATCACTCAACATTCAACATGTCTCCAAGAGTTCTCTTTCTTTAAAGACTCAAAAGCAGAAACCCATGCTTTAAGTTTTCCTTAACCAGCTCCCATGGCATACCACTGTCTACTCCTCACTTAGAAAGTAAAAATTGAATTGCAGAAGAATACCTTGTTAGTCTACATCTTTTTTTTTTTTTTCTGAGACGGAGTCTTGCTCTGTCTCCCAGGCTGGACTGCAGTGGTGCGATCTCAGCTCACTGCAACCTCCACCTCCCTTGAGAATTGTTCAAGCAATTCTCCTGCCTCAGCCTCCTGAGTAGCTGGGATTACACTGCGCACCACCACACCCAGCTAATTTTTGTATTTTTAGTAGAGACGGGGTTTCTCCATGTTGGCCAGCCTTGTCTCGAACTCCTCACCTCAGATGATCCACATGCCTCGGCCTCCCAAAGTGCTGGGATTACAGGCATAAGCCACCATGCCTGGCCTAGTCTACGTATTACTCATCAGTTCTCCATCTACACCAAGTCCTCTGCCCCACCACCGGTGCCACTTTTTGTCTATGATTCTTTTCCTAGGATTCACATAATTCAAATAATCTCTCATCACTTCTTCTGCCTCCTCCCCACAAAAGATTATGTACATTATCTTTCTTCCTCCTGCAGTACTTTCTACACCTTTTATTTCAGCACTTGTGTTTTAGGGAAAACTAAAATTTGCTTGTAGTCTCTGCACCATGTGTCAGACATGAGTATAGATGCTCTTCAATCAATTTCTTGCTTAATCTTTGCGAAGATATGTTAGCTCAGTATAGAAGTATTCATCTCACTTCAAAGGCAAGAAAAGTAAGTGTCAGGGAGATAAATGTATTCAAGTTTGCATGGCTAAAATTTCGTGAAGCCATTGTTGCAACCTAAATCTGAGACTATTACTCGTTCTACCAACCTAATTCACTCCTACATTTGTGGTTATGATGGGCTCCTTAGCACCAAAACAACATCCTATTTATCTTTGTATTCCTAGAGCTCATTAGTGCCTTGAACTTTCCCAGATGGAAAATGAGGATACAAGAGATGCGTAATCTCTCTGCCTGTTGCATTCTCTATGGGAGCAGGACCTTATTGATGTTCACATTCAAATAATGGTTTAGAGAATTCATATAGAGTGAAAGCATTTTGTTGCAAATATTGCTTCCAAAATGATCTTTGACCCCTTAAATTTCACCACTGAAGACTAATTTCCATGTATACATATCTGAACCACTCTGTGAACATTTCTACTGCATCTACCAAAGTAAAAACCTATCAGTTTTTATTTCTAGTTTCTGTTTTGATTTGAAGAGAGAGTCAGATACTCCCCCCACAAAATAAATCAGAAAATATTGTGAAAACTGAAGATGAAAAAGCAGGGAAGTGAGGCGGCATCAACATTGAAATCCAGACTCTGATTAATAAGCACGGCTTGACTTCATCAAGCCATTTCCACTTGGGAGAGCTTTTAATGTTTATTATACACCAATTAAAATGCTTTTCCTCTCAGACACATTCTAATGGCTTTGTCTGGATAAAGTTGATGGGTGAGGAAATTTTGTTGACCTTGTTTTTAGTTTAAACTTGGAGACATACTGAACTTTATTTAATTGGTGTTTGAAACAGGTTTTGAAGTGAAACAAATATAAATTGTTTCAGTGAGTAAATTAATTACTTAGGTTGGTATACTTTGTGTTCATTTTACCAAGTGTCTTCTCATATATTAACTCCTTGAGTCTTTCATAATACCTTAATAATGTACAATTAAGTGTACTAAGCTATGCATGTACATTTATGTATATATTTAAAATGTACACTGTGAACTCAAAATATCTAAGACAGGTCTCAATCAATTTAGAAAGTTAATTTTGCCACGGTTAAGGATGCACCTGTGACACAACCTCGGGAGGTCCTGATGATATGTGCCCAAGGTAGTCAGGGCACAGTTTGCTTTTATACATTTTAGGGAGACATAATACATCAGTCAATACACATATAAGATTTACATTGGTTTGATCGGGAAGGGTTGGACAACTGGAAGTAGAAAGGTGCGGGACTTGTAGGTCATAGGTAGGTTTAAAATTTTTCTGATTGCCAATTGGTTGAAAGCGTTATTATTAGGTTTGTGCAAAAGTAATTGCGGTTTACTTTCCATGGCAAAAGCTGCAATTACTTTTGCACCAACCTACTATCAGTAGAAAGGAATATCTGCATTAAGATAAAGGGTTGTGGAGACCAAGGTTTTGCCATGCAGATGAAGCCTCCAGGTAGACAGCTTCACATACAATAGATTGTAAACGTTTCTTATCAGACTTAAGGTCTGTGTTGATGTTAATACCGAGGGGTAGAATGAGGCATGTCTGACTCCCTTCTCCTCAGTCATGGCCTGAACTAGATTTTCAGGTTAACCCCGGAATGCCCTTGTCTGAGAGGAGAGGTCCACTCAGATGGTTGGGGCAGGCCTTAGAAGTTTATTTTTGGTTTACAATACATACATACATATATATATATGTATGCATTACCTAAAATATATTATATATAACACATGTGTATATTATATACATACAGAATATTTTAACACGTATGTAATAGGTACTATATATTCATATAAGTAATATGTAGATATTATATATGTATTAATATGTATGATTAGTATTACTAATATATATATCATATGTAATAGTCTTGAGTGTATTATTACAAAGTAATAATTATATGGTAAAAATTTCATTACAATTCAATATATAAAATGAAATATGCTTCTTCCACTCCTATTGATGAGAGGCAAATTATTACCAAGATTTTTTTTGTCCTTCAAAAAATATACATATACATACACACACACACAAACACATACACAAATGCATGTACAAACATTTATTTGTACAATGTCCACTATCTTTCTTTTTAATCTTTTTGCCCTTTTAAACAATACACACACACACACCCCACATACTTACACAAATGCATATACACACACACTTATTTGTACGATGTCTACTATCTTGGTCTTTAATCTTTCTACGTATCTGTATAAGAAACCACTATGAGGATTCCCTCTGAACTTGTTCTGGTTTTGGAGGCTGCCTAATAAAATTGAAAAGAACAATAAACCACTATGTAATGGCAGTTTTGCTTAGAAAGGCAATGTGTCCAGATAAAAATCTTTACCTGCTCAGATTCCCCAGAAGGTAGCATGCCCATCTGGAGCTCTTCCTAACCAATGAGACGTGAGTGGAAGGTGGTGGGTGGAGCTTCCAGGAACTGCCCTGAGAAAAGCAAGATGCTTCTGATTCGTTACACACTCCTGATTAAAACTGTTCCTAAAACTGGAACTCCTGCATCAAAATGTATGTGTATTTTTCATCATGATGGGTATTGCAAAATTCCTCCAATGATGTTACAATAGTCTATTTTCTTATCAGTTATTTATGAGAGAGTTTCTCCATCCACTCATCAATTTGCTGTGTGTTATGAAACGTCCTCTTTACCAATCTATGAAGTGAATGTTTAAATTTTAATTGACATTTCTACCAATGTGATGAGTAATAGCTTATTTGTAAATTAAATCGTGTTTTTTTTTTTTTTTTTTTTTTTTTTTTTTTTTTTTGAGATGGAGTCTCACTCTGTCACCCAGGCTGGAGTGCAGTGTCGCAATCTCGGCTCACTGCAAGCTCCACCTCCCGGGTTCACGCCATTCTCCTGCGTCAGCCTCCCAAGTAGCTGCGACTACAGGTGCCCGCCACCACGCCCGGCTAATTTTTTTGTATTTTTAGTAGAGACGGGGTTTCACTGTGTTTGCCAGGATGGTCTGGATCTCCTGACCTCGTGATCCGCCCATCTCGGCCTTCTGAAGTGCTGGGATTACAGGCGTGAGCTGTCGCACCCGGCCTTAAATAGTATTTTTGTGAATAATGTATATTATCCTTTTAAAATATTATTTATGTATTTGTATATTAAAATACACATTATACTTATATATTAAAGAATTTAATACTTAATGTTTTCATGTGTACTCTGATTTTACTGATAGTACTTGCAATCTATTAAAATGTAATCCAATATACCAACATTTTAACAATACGTGAGTTCAGTGCTAAAACCATATTTACCACTCTGAGATCATTTAAGCAAAATCATTTCAAGCTTTTTTCTGGCACTGTATTGTACTCCTTTTTACCTTGAAATATTTAATCCAGAGGAAATGAATTTTAGTGTATATAAATGGATGACAGGAATCACCTTTCCCCCCTCAAGGGATACTCACTTACTACTAAAAATTTTCAAATGTGATGGAAGCCTACATCATATACTAACTTGTTTTATATTTTGGGATCTGTTCCTGGATGCACTACTTTATTGCAAGTATTTATTCAACTCTTCATATCCTAATCCCAACTCATTATTCCATTTCCAATTATGCCAAAAGTAATGACACCATAGCTAAAAATTAGGTACCCCCTACATTTTGCGGGCGATATGCATACTACATACAGGACAATATTTTAACTAGATCTTGTATACAAATTCCTTTCCATTTATACAAAAGACTGACAATACTAGTGATTTATTGTCACAATTGAAAAAATGAGAAAATATAAACACAATGATGCTAAGGAACTTGCTGTATGTCTTGAATCTAGTAAGAGGTAGTGGAAGAGTTATACACAAGCATTTGGAGACCTCAGTTTCCGCTATGAGCTTCATGCTTGTCTAAGGTATAAATAAAGCACTAATATAAATTAGATGGTAGGGAAAATTCCATGCATTATCAGTCTGTTTCAGAATATTCTATTCTCCCCAGTTTGATTTTCTATAAAAGAGTCACCATATCTGATTTCTTTTCCTTCAAAAAAAGTGGTATTTTAAAGTAGAATTGCACTCACTTATAGTTTAATTTGGAGATAATTGATATCTAGTATTGATAACTTGGGCACAAAGATAGTGCTTGTTTTCCTTAATCCACGTAGATTGTATCCTCCTTTATAACACTGGAATTACAATCATCCTCAGTATATGAGACAGATAGACTCCAGGACTCCTGCTTATACCAAAATCTGAGCATACTCATGTCCCAAAGCATGCCTTGCAGAACTTGCATAAATTGGACCTTAGTAAAACGAGTAAACTCAGTATACTCAGATTGCCCATCTCATGAATACTGTGTTTTCGATCCTCATTTGGTTGAAAAAAAAAAATCTGTGCCTAAGTGAACTCTCAACTGTATTTTTTATAAAGCTTATGTGTTTCTCTGATACGTTTACTCCTGAAGTCCTAGGACTACTATAATTTCGTCCTTAGTTTATATTTGCGTATTTTATTTCTTTTTATTTTCTAAATTATATGTGTGTATATAATTTGCTATTAATTTTTATGTATTCATTTCTTTATCCTGCAGATTTACCGCATGACGTCATTGCTTAAGGAAGAAATTTAATTTTTTATCACTTTTGCATTCCTATTAACTGTGAATGTTGCTAATGTGTTATCTCTTTCTGATTTTGTATGATTTTTAAAAATTGCTTTTGTCTCAGGTATGTTGTCTAAAACAATATCAAGTCAAAGTGGCTTTAGTGGTGATTACTGTCTCTCTTGAGATGCAATTATTTCCTGAGGAGGATCAACAACTTCTATTCTGAATGTTTTTCAAAGATGTTTGAAACATAACAACATAGTTGGAAGAATCTCTGGTGGGGAGAACTGTCCAGTATCATAAAGATAACATCTCCACCAGAGGCAAACGGTAGGCAGTTTCTCACTCTCACGAAAGATGGGAATTTCTTAAGCTTGAAGTCCCTCAGATGTAACACGAACTTACAGCATGAGCAGTATTTACTCAGACACTCTAAGTCATCCCTACAGAATGACAGGGAGAAGTCACAGAGAGAATGACAGGGAGAATGCAGGGAGAACTCCCACACACTTGAAGTTGAAGCTCATGTTTCCTGCTGTGCGTAATAGTATCTTTTGTCTCTGAATCAGGAATCTCATGTCTTCCATCAGCATTTATGAAAACATGCTAAGCTAAATGGTCTGTTTGCAAGGAGGGTGATATCTCAGATCATTCACCATTCTTGACAGTCCTACACTCCTGCATTAAAGAGTTTCTTTAATACAACTGATGATTACAGTTAGCTTGATATATTTATGATTATTTGTCCACTTACTCCTGTTTATCACCTGATTTTGTTCAGTAAAATTCTCTTTTATTTCTCCTCTATATTTCTTAAGAGAAAGAGAAAGAGTGTGTGTGTGTGTGTATACAAGATAAAACAAGATTTTGAGAGCTTGCTTTGAAAGAAGAATGAATCAGCATGGATTACGCCTCATCTGATTCCTTTTTGTTTCAGCTTTTCAACCTTCAGATTTTAGGATTGGCTTCTAAATTAATGATTGAAAACTAGTTTTTTTACTTTTTCATTTTTAAAATTTTTTAATTTTTTAAATTTTTAGTTTGGTTTTAATTATAAAATTTTTTTATTTTTATGTATTTATTTATTTTGAGACAGAGTGTCACTCTGTCACCCAGGCTTGAGTACAGTGGCACAATCTTAGCTCACTGCGACCTCTGCCGCCTTGGGTTCAAGTGATTCTCCTGCCAGTAGCTGGGATTACAGGTGCATACCACCACGTCCAGCTAATTTTTGCATTTTCAGTAGAGACGAGGTTTCACCATGTTGGCAAGGCTGGTCTCAAACTCCTGACCTCAGGTGGTCCACCCACCTCAGCCTCCCAAAGTGTTGGGATTACAGGCATGATCCACCATGGCCAGCCTATTGTTATTATTTTTAATCAACATAGAGATGGTTCCTCCCAGTCTTAAAGCTTGAAACTCACATTGGTCTAATCTGATTTCCTTTCTCAGGAAACTGACTCTCAGGCCTCGCAGCTAGTATCAAGGAACTGAAGCTCCTTTTCCTTACCCACCTCCCCCAATTCCTGTAGATTCCTTCCGCAACATATAAACCTTCAGTTTGACTTGGTTGCAGAGATGGATTTGACATTGATCCCCTGTCCCCTTGGCTGCTGCACCCATAAAAGTCTTCTTCCTTGGCAACACCTGTCTCAGTAATTGGCTTTCTCTCTGGTGAGCAACAGGACCTAAACTAAACCCCTAGTGTTTTGGTAACATTTCCCTTGTTATGAGATCAAATCAGGGAGCTTAACATATGCCTCCTTGAGGATGAAATATATGAGACTCACAGCTGAAAACTCTGAAAGTGACCTCTTGTCCATGGTTATATGCTCCCAGCACAGAACAGGAAGGGTTTCTGTGCAAACTGGCATCCAAGAAGACAAATGATTGAAACTGCATCATTTGGTCAATTCAGCTATTGATACCCAAAAGAATATAAATCATTCCATTACTATTCACAATAGCAAAGACATGGAATCCACCCAAATGCCCATCAATGATAGATTGGATAAAGAAAATATGGTACATATAAACCATGGAATGCTATGCAGCTACCAAAAGGAACGAGATCATGTCCTTTGGAGGGACATGCATGAGCTAGAAGACGTTATCATCAGCAAACTAACACAAGAACAGAAAACCAAACACTGCATGTTCTCACTTCTAAGTGGAAGCTGAACGATGAGAGCACATGGACACAGGGAGGGAAGCATCACACACCAGGGCCTGTAGGGGGATGGCAAGGGAGGGAGAGCATCAGGAAAAATAGCTAATGCATGCCAGGCTTCATACCTAGGTGACGGGTTAATAGGTGCAGCAAACCACCATGGGACACTTTTATCTATGTAACAAACCTGCACGTCCTGCACATGTACCCCAGAACATAAAATAAAATAAAAAAGAAACTACATCAAAGCCATAAGAGAACCCAAGGACATCTAGCTGAAGGAGACAGTGCCTGGAAAAAGAAAACTTCATAAATCTTTTCTAGTGAAAATGATATCTCCAGACCCCAACAATACCCCAGGAAAGAACAAATCAGGGCTTTGAATCAGCCATACCCTGTCATAGCCACATCACATTTCAACTGTGCGACTTTTCTACAACACCTCCTTCTTATGCCTTACCTGGGTGTGTTGTTTTCCACACTCCTACCTTGAAAGAAACAGGCACTGAAAGGTACCTGAGCAAATAGACAAAATGTTGCTTAAGAGTAAGTGGAAAATTAGAAAAATTTAACCATGGCTTTTGACTCCAGTTGTATTTCTGAACCGAGACTGGCTAGAACTAGGGTTTCTTAGTTTGTTTTCTGTTGCTTCTAACAGAATGCATGAAACTTGGTAAGTTATAAACAAAAGAAATTTACTTCTTACAGACTTGGAGGCTCAGAAGTCTCAGGTCAAGGCGCTACATCTGGTGAAAGGCTTCTTTTTGTAATTTTTACTTTTAGAGGCAGGATCTCACTCCGTCACCCAGGTTGGAGTGCAGTGGCATGATCATAGCTCACTGCAGCTTCAAACTCCTGGCTTCAAGGGATCCTCCCACCTCAGCCTCCCAAGGAACTGGCATTACTGGCACATGCCACCATGCCTGGCTAATTTTTTTTTTTTTTTTTTTTTTTTTTTTTTTGGAGAGGCAGCATCTCACTATGTTGTTCAGGCTGGTCTTGAACTCCTGGCCTCAAGCAATCTTCCCATCTCAGCCTCCCACAATGCTGGGATTACAGCTGTGAGACCCTGCACCTAGCCTGGTGAGTGCTTTATTGCTGGTGGGGACTTTGCAGAATCCCGAGGTGGCACAGGGCATCACATGGCAAGGGTGCTAATAGTGCTGGCTCAGGTCTCTCTTCCTCTTCCCATAAAGCCACTACTCCCACTCTCTTGATAAACCATAAATGCATTAACTCATTAATGCATTATTCATGATAGCAGAGCCTTCATTACCCAGTCACCTCTCACAGGCCCCACCTCTCAATACTGCTACACTGGAGATTACATTTCAACATGAGTTTTGGAGGGGACAAATATTCAAACCATGGCATAGGGCAAGTGAAAAACTTTACTTGGGTAAGAGTTTTGATTTCCATGACTAGACTGGACTGGATTTTTTTAATCTCCTAAATAGGGCCTTATTGATATCCCTTCCTCCCCAAAAAAGAAGGAAAGAATAAGTCAAGAGAATGCATCGAAATGACAGGAAAGAAAATACAATAACATGGCACCTTGCACCATCATGCCCAGAGCGGTCAGTTAACATTGCATTTATCCATTTTCCCTTATTCTATATTTCATTTTGATGTTCTGACTTTCATATAGTTTGCACAAGGACAAGAGCATCTGATGGAAAGATGTCTGTAAATGTAGAAAAATAATACACACTCCATTAACGGAGATAAAGGATGCAACTTAGCATCCACAGACAATGCTACAAAATAAGAGATTGCAGCATTTTTCATCGTGAAGCCCCTGACGTTCCATCTGCATGAAAACTCCCAGCTGCCAAGGATACTCCTGCTGGGTCCACTAGGAAAACACCATCAAGCCTACTGAAAAACTCTACTGGGGGTTCATCTAAGAAAACTTTATCATATTCTGCACGTTCAAAGAACTGTTTTTGAACACTCTGCAAATATTGGCTCTGCTTTTAGTGAATTCTGTCTGATTTATCAGAAATATTTGTGTCAAAGGAAGGTTATTCCAACTAGAGCAAAGCCTTTTGACATCATGGACCCCCTTTTCCTTGCAAATATTGGTTCTTTAAAGTTCATCACAAATGGCACAATGAGGTGACAATTATTATCCTGATTTTACAGATTTAATGTCAGAGGCTTGAAGCCTGGAATTTATACCCAGCCTGCTGATTCCAGAGTGTCTCTCCACCATACCACCCTGCCTCTCTTTGTCTGCTACTGGCACTGTCTGGCCATAATGAAGACTGTGTGAATTTATATCTGTCTGGCCACTAAGGACACCATCCATGACTGTGAACCTCCTCTTGTTTTTTTCTTCTAAGTGCATTCTTTCAACTTCACCCCATAACTCATTTGGAAATGATGGCTATAGCTCTGGTTATTACAAGGGGTTAATTCCCCAAAACAGCATTACTTTAGCAATCCATTTAAAGTAAATTCATCTGTAATGTCCTAATCTGGTATATTTTACTCTTATATATACAATGGGCAGCTTCAAGATTATTTCTTCCTTTCTGTGCTCTGAATGTGAATGCTAGGTCCACTATAATATATTAATTATTTGGTAAACATTTTTTCCTTCTAAAAATATATATTACCTATTTTGAAATGTAATACATACTACATTTGGTAATGTATTACATTACATTTATTACATTACATGCATAGTACATGTGAGTGTGAATGTGAATCCTAGGTCCACTATAATATATTAATTATCTGATAGATTTTTTCCTTTTAAAAATACATATTACCTGTTTTGAAAGGTAATACATGGTACATTTGGTAATGTATTATAAACACATTACATTTATTATATTACATGCATATTACATTTGTAATACATATTACATAATATATAGTACATATTTTCATTTTTCACAATAGACTGTGCCAAGTCACAAAGTAAATGTAATTGGAAATGTGTTTGTTTTTCATTAAAACTCTATATCAACATGGTAGAAAATTTTCCTTTTCTCCCCTTTTCCTTGTTCCCTCTTTTTCTATAGCATCCAGTCATAAACATCACATATATAGTATGCCTCTCCGTTTATACTAGTTAGATTTGATACTTTCCCTTATAAAGTTATTAAAGTTTCAATGTGGGCTTCTTTAAGAATTTCACTTTGAGTAGATTCATTTTTCTCCATCTTATCTTTTAACTAATCATTGCTAATGCATAGAAATGCTTTTAGATTTATTAATTCTCATGTTAATTTGGTTGTCTTGAATTGTCTATGTATTTAAATATATTATCTTTAAAAATTATAATTATAATTCGTGCTTTCCCAAAATTATATCTCTCTTTCCTTTTGAAGTCTTGTCTTAGTTCAGGCTGCTAACTAAATAGATTGGGTGGCTTAAACAACAGACATTTATTGCTCACAGCTCTGGAGGCTGGAAGTTCAAGGCATGGCAGATGGACTTCTCTGGTGAGGGATCACTTCCTGACTTACTGTGCCCTCACATGGAAGAGAGAGAGAGCTCTGCTCTCTGGTCTCTGGTCTCCTGTTGTTTATTTGTAAGGACACTCATCCCATTATGAGCGCTCCACCTCCAAATGCCATAACTTTGGGGGTTAGGGCTTCAACACGGGAATTTCAGGGGACACAAGAATTCAGTACATAGCAGATTTGAGTGAATTCGAGTTTGCAGGAAAATGGCAGGAAGAGTCAATTCATTGGCTGCCAGTTTCAAGGATGACATCATTAAGTGATTCTCTAGATGTTGGTTTAAGGAGAAATAGTTGGTTTATTTAATAAAATATTTGATTAGGCCTCATTTTCTAAAAGGTTGTTTTATCTTTAATGCATGCTTAATGGTAGTAAATTCTAAACATCAATTTAAAATAATATTTTGTTTATATTTAAAGCATAACAATAAAAAATATGTTTGAGAACATTTTGGAAAGGTGGTGATGTGGGAGAGAGAATCTAAAGTAAGCCATAATTCAATAGGCAGACATATTGCAATTAACATTTTAATTGTAGTTACTTCCTGCACACACTTGAAGTGTTTTAAAATATTGACCTAAATATGTAATATTTTTTAATATTCTATTTCCTCATATTAAAGTTTTATGCTTCTGGGATGATAATGTTTTTGGCCACATGACTCATTCTATTAAAATCCTAGTTAAGTCATATTTTTTCTAGGTTTTTCACATCATTATTTACAAATAATATTGTCACATGAATTTTATTTCTGTGGTATATCAGACTCTGGTACTAAGCTAAAGCTAAGTATATTTTCTGAGTAAAATTTCATTTTTACTTTGTTCTTTAAAAATTATTTCATCAGAGGTGCTTCTTTATTAATATTTTAAAAGTTGTCCCACTAATATCTGACCTGGTGCTTTTAGTAATGGCAAGCCTTTCGTTGTAGGCTTAATTTGTTGAGGTCAATGGTTGATAAAATTTTATACTTCTCTTTGAACCAGTTTGATGTAGATCTTTGATAAATCCATTTAATTTAATGCCAAAAGTGGTGTTGTTTCTAAATGTTGCTAACATTTACATTTGTAACAAATTTGGAATTGATCCATTTTTTTCTACTATATCAATATTTTGCAAACTTTAAAAATCACTCAGAAATCATTGTGGGGTTTGAAGGGCTGGGCTTTCTTTGTTTCTTTCTTTCTTTTTTTCTTTCTCTCTCTCTCCCTTTTTTATTCTTTCCCCTCCTTCTCCCCCTTATCTTTCTTTAATTTTCCTCTCTCCCTCCCTTCGTCCTTCTTTTCTTCCTCCCTCTCTCTCTTCTTTCATCCCTCCCTCCCTTCCACCCTCCTTTCCTTCTTGGCATTCAAGGAGATAATTTTTTCTTGTTGGAATGCTATTTGACTGATGTTGTCATTCATTCATGTCCTCTGCAACCGAGTTTAGCTATGAACATAAAGTTGTAACAAGCTGCAGGTGAAGGAGCAACAAGGAAACCTCCATTGCACATTTACTCCTGTGCAATAATAGGAGTAATTTATGACCTCTCTCCTCTGTAGTGAATGCCCATGTATATTTTAACATGAGACTGGCAATCTTTGACAATGTGAATGCACAATTAACTGGATACCTTGTTGGAAATGGTGTTATTGCTAGGTTACCTTTGTCTTAGTGTTCTTAAATCTGCAGGCAGCATTTCTCAAGAGCACTATTTGTCCACCACAGGGAGCTGCAAGCTGCTCCTTTGGCTCTAGCAAGAAGAAAAGCTAAGCCTATTGCCTTTTAATCTACAGCATTCAAAAGCTCTCTTTTTGCATTCATCCAAGACAAAAGACTAAAATAAAATAAAATGTAAATGCATTCACTAGACTTACAGATGCCTTTTGACCTTCAGGCATACATGTTGAATATTATTTTACAACTGCAGACATAAATCTCAGACTACTTTCTTTCCACAATTGCAAACAAAAATCTTGGAATACTTTCTTATTCCACATGACTGAAACTTCAGGAGCAAAATTCTCTGCCCCACCATGCCTTATGTTTATTACCACTGTCAAATTTGTCTTTTTGTAAGGTTGATTCGATAAGCACTTAGTGTGCGCCAACACACTCCTCTACTTGGCCAGACTTATCAGGGAATGGAACAAATATTACATTCTTCTGATTCTTTTTTAGCTCTTTGAGGAATCACCATACTGTTTTCCACAATGGTGGAACTAATTTATACTGTCACCAACCGTGTAGAAGTGTTCTCTTTTCTCTGCAACGTTGCCAACATCTGTTATTTTTTGACTTTTTAATAATAGCCATTCTGACCGGTATGAGATGGTTTTGACTTGCCTTTCTCTAATGATCAGTGATATTGAGCTTTTTTGCATTTGCTTGTTGGCTGCATGTATGTCTTCATTTGAAAAGTGTGTGTTCCTGTCCTTGCCTACTTTTTAATGGGTAGTTTGATTTTCTTGTAAATTTGTCTAAGTTCCTAATAGATGCTGGATATTAGACCTTTGTAGGATGCATATTTTGCAAAAATTTTCTCCCATTCTCTAGGTTGCCTGTTTACTCTATTAGTTTCTTTTGCTCTTTAGTTTAACTAGATTCCAGTTGTCAATTTTTGCTTCTGTTGAGATTGATTTTGGCATCTTTGTTATGAAATCTTTACCTATTCCTATGTCCATATTGCCTAGGTTGTCTTCCAGAGTTTGTACAGTTTTGGGTCTTACATTTAAGTCTTTAATCCATCTTGAGTTGATTTTTTTATATGGTGTAAGGAAGGGGTTCAGTTTCAATCTTCTGCATATGGCTGGACAGATGGAAATTTCAAGTAACCATAATAGCAATGTATTAAGAGATAATAGCATATATGTCAATAAAATAAATGCATGGCAGTAATTACATAAGGAATGGGAGGGTGGAATTAAGAATACTCTCTTAAGAGGCAGCTCCATTGTCCAGGAAGCAGTATCATGGTATTCAAAACGTGACTTATATTAGCTGCAAAGATAAATAAGTAATCCTCAGGAAAATACTAAGTTGTTTTAAAGTGTAATTTATATGCCAAGAGAAGGGACAAATAATATTGCTTAAACTGCTCAAAATATCCCATGTATCCCCAAAATATATACATCTTCTATGTACACACAAAAAATAAAAATAATTTTTAAAAATACCCAACAAAAAAGCATAGACAGCCAAAAATGGGGGAAAAAACAAACAACAAATATAATAAATAGAAGGATTACAAGCATGTTAGAAATTCATCCAAGTATATTACTAATCACTTTAAAGACTCATGTGTATGTACTTCAATTAAAAGGATGTGATTATAATGGTAGATTTAAAGGAAAAAAAAAAACTCCCAATATACATTTCTAAAGAAAACTCATTTTGAATTTAAAAACACAGATATGTTAAAAACAAAGAGATGGAGAGATATGCCATGCAAACACTAATCAAAACAAATCTGGAGTATCTAATGAGTTTCATACAAATCAGACTTCAAAACAAGGAAAATTATAATGGATTAAAGTGCACATTCTATAATATCAAAGAGGACAATTCTTCAAGAAAACATATCAATTCCAAATATGTATTTGCCAAAAACAGGAGCATAAAATTGCATGAGGTAAGAACTGATAGGACTGAATGGAGAAACGGAATAATCCACTAATCTAGTTATACATTTCAAATCCCCCTGTCAGTAACTAGCAGATGAAACAGCAAAAATATCAGAAAAGATATAGTTGAACTGATCAGCTCTATCAATTAACTTGATTTGACTCACATTTATAGAATAAGTCATACAACAATAGCAGAATATACATTCTTCTCAGGTTCACATGGAATACTCACCAATACAGAAAACATTCTGGGCAATAAAACACAACTTAAACATTCATAAGAATAGAAATCAAACTAACAGAGGAGAAAGTAAAAAACTGGTCACACAGGCAGTTAGGGTAGGTTCTTGATAAAGCTCCTTCAAACAAAGAAGATCCTGAAAATCAAACTGCAGGCCCCAGATAAGAAAGAGCTTGCGTCCTTGAATGGAAATGCTTACTCTGTGAACCCAGATGAACAAATTCCACCCCTTTCTGGCACATTTCTTTCTCCTTGGCATGCCTTAGGCTCTTACCTTTCACCCATTTTACATATGCCTATCTTTCTATAATTGGCTGCAAGCTAAGTCTTCATTTACATAGGGTGAATCATCACTTCAGCTGCTGATTGGTCCTGGTCCAAGATCCTGGGCCAAGTCTTCACTTCTGTCTCCAGTTGGTTATTTACACTCTCATACCTCTTTCTACATGGTGCTTTCTCCAAAACAGCCTGCAGCCCAGTCAGCACATTCTTCCCCATCCAAGTCCATAAAAACCCCAGACTCAGCCTCATAGTTGGCAACCTTCTTTCAGGCCCCTCTCCACTACAGAGGGCTTTCCTCTTTTGGTTATTAAACTTTTGCTCCCACCTCACTCTTTGTGTCCACACTCCTTAATTTTCTTGGTCATTAGACAAAGAACCCCAGGTGATACTTCAAACAATGAGAGACTGCTACCTTGTGGTACATTAGTGAGATTGTAACAAAACAAAGTATATTCTCAGCCTACAATATAACTAAACTAGAAATCAATAACAGAAAGATAGATGACTATTCCCAAAATATCTGGAAATGAAATAATACTCTCTTGAATAACACATGGGCCAAAGAAAAAGTCTGAAGAAAATGTTTTAAATATTTTGAATTCAATGAAAATAAAAAATACAACTTATTGAAACATGTGGAGTGCAAATGAAATTTTAAAACAATAAATGCATATATTAAAGAAGAAAGATCTAAAATCAATAATCTAAGCTTCCACCTTGGCAAAGTATAGAAAAAGAGATACATTTTAAAAATTTAGAGCAAGAAGAAGGAAATAAATCAAAGCATATAACAATAAATTTTAGAACAGCCCACAGAAAAAAATCAGCAACCAAAAAAAGGTTATTTAAAAAGATCAGTAAAATTTTAAAACTTCTAGGTATACTATCCAAGCAAAAAGAGAAAAGACACACTCTAGTAATATCACATATGAAAGACAGGTTATCATCAATGATTCCACGGACAGGAAAATGTAATAAAAGAATATTATAAATAACTTTATGCCCACAAATTTGATAATTTCAATGAAAAGAACAAAATTCCTGAAAGACACCAATCGCTAGAACTCATACAAAGACAAATATATCGTTTGAACAGGCTTATATCTGTAAAGAAATTGAATTGGTAATGTCTTTTCCAAAAATGTACCAGGACCACCTAGTTTAACTACAGAATTCTACCAAACCTCTAAAGAATAAACATGTAGTAGTCTGCTTGGGTTGCCATATGAAATGCCACAAAATGCGTGCCTTAAATAACACAATTTTATTTTTTCACAATTCTGAACACTAGAAGTCTAAGATTAAAGTGTCTACAGGTTTGGTTTCTTCTGAGAACTCTCTGCTTTCTTGTAGATGTCTGTCTTCTCCCTGTGTCCTCACATCATCTTTTCTCTGTGTGCAAACACCCTGATGTCTCTTTCATTAGGACACTAGACATAATGGATAAGGGCCCCATCCCACTGACCTCATTTTAGCTTATGGCCTCTTTAAGGGCTTTATCTTCAAGTAAGGTCACATTCTGAGGTACTGTGTGTCAGGATTTCAACATATGAAGACTGCAGGGTGGCAATCCAGCTCATAAGAAACAACCCCAATTTCCTAAATCTTTTCTATGAAATAAGAGCAAAGGGAACCTTTTTTATGTCATGCTATGTGGCAAGTGTGATCCTAATAACAAAACCAGATAAAGACATTGCACAAAAGAAAAACTACAGGCCAACGTCTCTCATAAGCATAAATGCAAAAATTCTTAACATAGGTAATAGCAAATAGAATTCTACAAGATTAACCAGATAAAGATAATGCACAAAACTAAAACTACAGCCCAATGTCTCTTATAAACATAGATGCAAAAATTATAAACATAAGTATTATCAAATAGATTTCTACCATATGTGAAAATATATATACACAATGACAAAGTGAGGTATATCCTATCTATGCAAGGCTGGTTCACATTTGCAAACCAATTAATGTAATCAGCAAGCTAAAGAAGAAAAGTCATCAGATTATATAAATTAAAGCAGAAAAAGCATTTGCTATAATTCAGTACCACTTCATGAAAAACAAACAAACAAAAAACTCTGAGCAAGTTAGGAGTAGAGTCCTTAATTCCTTGATTTTATGAAGAATATCTCCACACATCCTAAAGCTAATATCCTACTTAATTAGGAGAAACTGAATATTTTGGCCCTAAGATCAAGAACAAGACACGGATGTCTCCTCTCACTATTCCTAGTTCAAATTGTGATGGAGGTTCTAGGTTATGCAATAAGACAAGAAAAAGAGATACAAATTATATAGATTGGTAAAGAAGATATAAAATTGTCTTTTTCCTCATAGATAATATGATTGTCTCTGTGGGAAATCCCAAAGAATAAACAACTACAACAAAAACTCCTGGAAGTAATAAGTGATCACAGCAAAATGACAGAATACAAAGTCAGTGTAAATATTCAATTGCTTTTCTATTCACCAGCAATTAGTAATTGAAATTAAAAAATAATTAAAGTATTACTTAATTATCACCATAAAAAACAATTGATTATTGCAAATAACCAGTGCAAAATCTACCTTTATGTTAGGGCTTTGTGTATGTGTATAATAACAAAATATTATAGACAACCTCAAGTCTGTTAGTAGGGAGATGGCTAAACAAACCATTGTATAGTTATGATCATTTATAAAGCATGACACACAGAATTATAATACTGATCTGCATGTACTGTGATCCACCCTCAAGCTACATTATATAGCATATAAGTACCATATAGTGTTATTGAAGAAACACATCAGATTGTCCACATGTTGTCTACAGGTATTTATACATATACCACATGATGATCGCTATCTCTCAAGAAGTGGCAGGAAAACGAAACCCTACAGGAAAATAAAAATTTGTAACTTTCACATGATTTGTATGAGGTAACTAGCGTCATCACCTTCCTTACAGATGGGGCAATTGAAGCTCAGAGAATTACTGTTAACAGTGTTACCATCTACAGAATCAGAATTACACTTAGTCTGCGAAGTTTAAAAGTTCATGCTCTTGCACCAGAGCCTCCTCATTTTATATTCATAAAGCAAGTAAAATATATCCCAATGAGAGGTATTATCTAGAAGTAAAATATGACACTCAGCATCATTGGAATGGATATCATTAGAAGATCCATTTCCATATTATAGGGCCATTTCTGATCTCAGTAAATGACCCATATTAAGTGATTTGTAGATCTTGTTATAAAACCTCCTAATAAAAATTCCTTTGTAAGTATCCAACTCATTTCAACAAGAATTCATTAGCTTGTTTTACCAATGTAAGCAAGTTTAGAATTAAAGTTTAATACCAAAGGGTTTTGGAGATCACGGGAGACCACTTGCAGGGCTGAGATGAGAGATACAAATTTAGAAGTGAGAGAAGAAGACTTCAAAAAGTAGAGACTGGGCTCTAAAATAAAGGATGTTGAAGACCTGTAGCAAGGTAAGAAATAAAACAAAACAAAACAAAAATCAAGGATGTACTATTTTCACTGTGGATTTTCTTATTTTTGTATATTCTTATTTTTCAGTATATCCCCCAAAATATACAGCTACCCTCAATAGAAGCCAGTCATGATCACAAACCTAAACTTTAAATAAGTGGTGTTGAATGCACACAGAAATCTATTAATATCAGACTCTTTCTGATTTCAGAACATTTCTACTAGCTAGGATACTGCCATACCATTTGAATTTTGATTTTCAGTATAGAACCTAAGATTACTTCACTATTCCTGGATATTACTTCGTCTATTTAAGAAAAATTTTGTCTTTGTTTCTTTTCTTCCTCCCTCCCACTCTCCCTCTTTCCTTCCTCACTCCCACCTTCCCTCCTTCTTTCCTCCTTCTCTCCCTCCCTTGATGATGTGAATTTTGTTCTGGCGTAAATTGAATGACTCATCTGCCACAAAGTTGAATTCTAACACAGGACGGTGCTTGGTTTCACATAGTGTAATCACAATTTTGTGCATTTTAAAATTAAACAACACTGAGATCCACAACAGCAATGGAAATCATTAACATGTGGAGAACTACCATCGGTTGCCAAAATTCTTTCCACATCGGCTGCCTATACTTGAGTCCTCTGCAGCCAGAGGTTGCTTTGTTTCCTCCTTTGGAAGCTAGAAGAATTGCAAATGGTTGTGTGATATTTAAAAACTACAGGGATGCCATCCTCCAAAGAGAATAGACTGGGGCTGAACAGGTGTATATTCTGTGAACTTTGTTTTCCAAAAAGTCTGGTTGAGTGTTCAGCGTCCAACTAGCTACCAAGAAATATGCCAAGGTCTGCAAAGTGTAGAATGCCAAACGATGGCAAACTGCCCTTCCATGCATTTCAACAATTCATGCATTTTTTTCCTTTAAATAATAAGCCAATTTTACCCTTTAGATTCAACCAGCACAGCTTAGGGGATGACACATGCATAAGGTATACTGTCAGAGTGGTGCACTTTGTAAAATAGAAAGAAATGAAAATAAAATAGAAAGAAAAACAAAGCAGATGATTTGCTAGGAACTCTGTCTGACTTGTAGTTTCCCAGCCCATAACATTGTCTCTAGGGAAGAAGAAGAGTTCATCTCAGGCTGCAAACAGACAGTAAATGGTAAGAAGTCTCAGGTTCTGAGACTTGGATAACCACAGTAAGAATCCCCCATGTCAGAGCGTTGCAGAGCTCAGCTTTCCAAAGTGGAGATTTCTAACGAAGAGACAAGTTTCCCGGTGTAGTGAGGGAGTTGGGCTTACAGGATTTTTCATTTTGCTTACTTTCAGGGTGCATGAAGATTTTTCATTATCAAGTTTATTATTGTCAGATCTTGACAAAAATCAGATTTCATAAAATGTTAAAGAGTATCTACAACAATTTTTTAAAACACAGTTAAAAAGCTCTTCTCTTCTCCCTACCCCATTTAATTCATCAACCTAGAAGATCTGGTTAAAGCCCTCTCTTTAACAATTTAGAAATGGTGTGTTACCATGGACTTTTGTTTGAGTGATATAAAATAACTCTTTGGGTAGCCTTGCAAGAAAGCATGTAACTCTGTGTTATGCAAATGTAACACCAGGAGGCTGGGCACGGTAGCTCACACCTTTAATCCCAGCACTTTGGGAGGCCGAGGCGGGTGGATCACCTGAGGTCAGGAGTTCAAGACCAGACTGGCCAACATGGTGAAACCCCATCTCTACAAAAATACAAAACTTAGCCAGGCATGATGGAGGGTGCCTGTAATTCCAGCTACTCGGGAGGCTGAGGTAGGAGAATTGCTTGAACCCGGGAGGTGGAGGTTGCAGTGAGCCGAGATGGCGCCATTGCACTCCAGCCTGGGTGACAGAGCGAGACTCCGTCTCAAGAAAAAAGAAAAAAAAAAAAAAAAAGGTAACACTAACACCAGGAGGCCTTGGGATTATCCACCTATTAGTGCTGAGATTGAGAAGCTGTTAAAAGTGATCCTTCTTGCTCCAAGCTTGTGCAGGATATTTTTTGGTTAGAGCATTTTGTTGCATATTGACCATGTCCTTCATCTTCTCTTAGTTTATGTGTCAATTCACACTAGTCGGTTCAGCTCCTGGTGTCTATATGAAGAGACTGGCTGCCAAAATCTTTCATCACTCTGCCTGCAACTATGAAAAAGTTAGTTCTAAAAAATGCAAGCTTGCTGTATCGACTACCAATAGGATTGGATCAATTCTGCTCTGTCTGTTCCAAATTGTTGTGGTGTACATCTTTGCCATGCACGGTTTGTAGGAGTTATTGCATCTCTAATTTCCCACCAATGTTTGAAAACATATTTAGATTTATAGAATTTTATTGCTTCAGACAGAAAAAAGCATGTAGTTCTAACCAAAAGGTCCATGAATTCCGGCAATATCACTGAAAATCAATGGCCTTTAAGAGTATTTCCTATTTCTTACTATGGGTCAAAATTTAAGAATAACTCTGGCCAGGTGCGGTAGCTCACACCCTGTAATCCCAGCACTTTGGGAGGCTGAGGCTGGCAGATCACTTGAGCCCAGGAGTTCAAGACCAGCCTGGGAAACATGGCAACCAAGAAACTCTGGTCCAATTACAATTTTTTTTTTTCTGGTAGAACATCTGGAGAGGCCTCAGAAAAGAACCCATCTTCACAGAGAAAATGCATTTAACATAGCAGAGAGAGAGGAGAATCGAATTAGGATGAAGAAAATGGCAGAGGGTTCTCCAGGGAACAGCCTGGGTGTCTTGAGTGTACCACCTGGAAAACCAGTGAGAAATTATCATGTAGTCATAACTTCGAACTTACTGTTTCTCCTTTATTAATTCTATGTAGAGGTTAAAGAACATAAGCTATGTGTATGTGGCTGTCATAAGAAAGTACAACAAACTGGGAGCTTGAAACAACAGAAATAAATTCTCTCCCAGTCCTGGAGACCAGAAGTCTGAGATCAAGGTGTCTCAGGGCCACATATCCTCTGAAGGCTCCAGAAGAGTAGCCATAGGGCATGTTGTACAACTTTCAGAAATTCTCAGAAATCTTAGCTGCATTTCATTCTTTGACCCTCGATTTCCATCTTCCAATTATCTCTTTGGAAAATGATGTGGCTTTCAAAAAAAACCTTATAAATTGTGGTTTACAATTATTACCATGGGGTAATAAATACTCAACAGAAATTTCTAGCCAGTATCAATCCCTAATATGTTCTGTCCTGTGAACAAATACCCTGAAATGTCATTGGGAAGGACAGATTCGCTTTGTCTCAACCTTATAAGCATATACATCTTTAGCAATGGAAGTTCTTTCTTTTCTTTCTTTCTCTCTCTCTCTTTCTTTTTTTTTTTTTTTTTTTGAGACAGGATCTTACTGTCACCCAGTCTGGAGTACAGTGGCAGGATCATGGCTCACTGCAGCCTCCATCTTCTGGGTTCAAGAAATCCTCCCATCCCAGCCTTTCAAGTCACTGGGACTACAGGCGTATGCCACCATGACCGACTAATTTTTGTGTTTTTTGTAGAGGTGGGGTTTTGCCAGAGAGCTCCCTTGCCCCTTCCACTGTGTGAGGACACAGCGAGAAGGCACTGTCTATGAACCAGGAAGTGGGTCGCCACCAGACATTGAATCTGTCACACCTTGATATTGGACTTCCAGACTCCAGAATTGTGGGCAATAAATGTCTGTTGTTTATAACCTGCCCAGTATCTTTGGTGTTTTGCTATAGCAACCCAAATGGTCTAAGAAAATACCAGAGTCTATACCTAATAAAAACATCGTCTTCACAATTTATCGTACTTACCAATCAGGTGACTGTTTTTCCACTAAAATAATTACATTAGTCCTCTAATGGGTGAGTTAGGTCAATGAATTTTACTGAGTAGGACACTTTTCTTACTATTCTTGATAAGTTTCAGAAACTGGTCTTTCCAATTAGTTAAGCAAATTAAAAAAAAATTACTGTTACAGAGCAAATGTGTGTGGGGGGCCTTCTGCTAATTACTGGTAGAGTTTTTCATTGGATGTACATAGGTATATGGATACCTGGAGGTTCTTCATAAACACTTTATCAATGTAGCAAATATTTTCATTTTAGCTGGATTAATGACTCTACAAAAGAAATGCCTGGCAAAAATAAATTCTGATTCATTTCATATTAATTCCTCAGGAGTACCTAGCAATTTATCATTTAGGAGTGTTAGATCTTTATTCTATGGAATAGATCTACGAGATCCCTCTCAAAGAAAACCGACTGGTTCTGCTCATGTATTTCACAATTGTTTTATATAAATTAGCCCCATGGGACACATCATACATGTTTTATTTTATGTATAGAGGCCTAGACTGACAGTTAAAATCTGAATATATGAGATATATATAGTGTGTGTTCACACACACACATACACACATGCAGACACACACACACACGCACATATATATGTCACAGTTTCAAAACTTACATTGTAAAATTGTATTTTCAAAAATCGATAAGTTCATCCAAAGACTAAAAGCTGGATGTTTCCAGAGCTGGCTCTAGTAGGCAAAGCATCAAATAAAGAGATGTGAAAAATCATAACCCCAGATATCTAATTATAAGAATGAGCCTTGGTTTGAAGTGCCCCAGCAAGCAGCACAACCTTTAAAACACAACAATAATGGAAAAATCAAATAAGCACCCATTTCATATGCCAACTCCTCTTCTTCATCCCTTAATATAAAAATCATATTTTGAGATGTATGTGATTTTCAATTTCTTGAAGAATTAAAGCACCACCTCAATTTTTTTCACAGAGATAGCTACAGCTGATATCATACAAGGGGGCTGCTGGTGGCATGGACTGAGTCTAATGTGTTTGTGGTTCTGAGATACCCTGGCATCTATTTTGCTGGCCATATTGTCTATGAATTTGGGGGTATGATTTCTAGTTACTCTGTCTGTTTTTGTGTGGGAATTTGGCAATAGATGAAAACTATGCAGTTACTACCACGCCATCTTCCCAGAAACCTATCCAATTTTTACTTAAGCAATTGTATCATCTCAGTTTCAATATTTGATAAATAGCCTTAATTGAAATTTTACTCTATGAAAAATACCTAGGTGAAGAGTTATCTGCACCCCCATGTTTATCGCAGCACTATTGCTAATAGCCAAGATATGGAATCAACCCAAGTGTCCATAAATGGATGAATTAATAAAGACATTGTGTTATGCATACACGATGGAATACTACTTAGCCTTAAAAAGAATGAAATCCTGTTACTTGCAGCAACATGGATGGACCCAGAACACATTATGTTAAGTGAAATAAGCCAGGCACACAAAGACAAATACCGCATAATCTCATTTATACCTAGAAATAAAATAAGTCAAACGTATAGAAGCAGAGAGTAGAGTGATGGTTACCTACCAGGGGTTGGAGGTGGTTGGGGGATTGGGGAGATGTTGTTCAAAAACGTAAACTTTTAGTTAAAACAGAAGGAATAAATTCAGGAAATCTATTGTACAACATGTTGTAGCTAAAAACAACATATTGTACACTTGAAAATGGCTACAATCGTGGATTTTAAGTGTTCTCACCTTAAATAAATGAAAAGTATGTGATGTAATGCCTATGTTAAGTAGCTTGATTTAGCCATTCCACAATGAATACATATTTCAAAGAGGTCTGGAAAAGCACCATCCCAGGCATTTAATTATAAGAACGAGGCTTGGTTTGAAGTGCCCCAGCAAATAGCACCACCTTTAAAACACAACATTATGGAAGAATCCCATAAGCACGCATTTCACATGCCAACTCCTTTTCATCCCTTAGTATAAAAATCATATTTTGAGATGTATGTAATTTTCAGTTTCTGAAAGAATTAAAGCACCAGCTAGATTCTTTCAAATTATTTAGATCACATGGTACACCCTAAATATACATATAATTTTTATTTGTCAAATTAAAAATAAATGAATAATATGGGAAAGTCTTGAGAAATTCCAATTTTTATTAGTTGTGTTCCAGGGAACTATTAATCTTACAGAGATTTGTCCCAGCCAGGTCACATCTGGAAAAAATATCATGAAGATACAAGAATGTATTTTGATTTCCCTTATATGAGAAATTGTACTCCTTACCTTGGACTATCTCTGTAAAGGGGTGTGTGTGTGTGTGTGTGTGTTTGTGGACACACAATAGAGTGGACATTTGAAAGTTACATTTTACATTTTTGCCCCTGAATATAATCTAACCTCTCCAATGCAAATGTCGCTCCCTTATTATATTTTAGGACACTTAACAATTGCCATGGCAATTGCAAATAAATCAGAACATGAATATATAATATTATAACACTAGTATTTGCAGTAGAATGATGCTATTATTTGCAGTTTATAGGCTTGACTGCCCTAGGCTTTAGAGAATAGGATGTGAATGTGCAAATAGAACAAATATTACTGAAGCAAACAGAAGTTCCTCTGCCTCTCTGCCTACCACACCCAACATTGCTGCACACTTCTATGTGCTTGTCCATCTCCACAGATCAACCTACTTCCATTTGCTCACTGCTGTCCCTACTGCACCACTGAGAGCAAATATCACTCCCTTGAAACATCACAATTGCTAAGTTGTAGCAAGCACTTCCTATGTGTCAGACAATGTCTCCGGGGCATTATCTACTTTACCGCGGGAAGGAGATCACTTGGCACACGCAGTTGCCATCTGTGTACCAATGCAAGAAAATGGAGACTCAGAGAGCTCGAGGAACTTGTGCAAATAAGTGGCCTGTCCAGAGGCCGAACGCTAGCCTCACTTCCTCCAGTAACAGCACCCTGAGCTACTGCGTTCCACTGTCTTTCAAGAGTACATGCTTTGCCTTTTCTTCCACAGGTATTAGGTAGGTAGATGTTTATCTGTCTTAATGCACTCCCTATACACTGTGGTAGAAACGATTGCACTGTGTCAAAAACACGTATGTAATTATCAGTGTATCTGAGTATACTATACATTCCTCGAGAGCAGTGACCTAGATTGTCTTGACTTTGTGAACCTTTTTTATCTATTTATTTATTTTTTATCACAGCAGCTGCTAAAGAAAAGTCAGCATAGGCAGGCACAAATTAAGGTTCATGAAGTCTAAACAAAAAGAAAACAAATCAGAGCCTCGGTTAAGCTAGAGTTGTATCACTCCTGTCTGACTGATGCGGGAATCCCTGCGCAGCTGCAAAAACTAAGGAACACCGAGGGGAAAAGAAACGTTTAAGCCATCACTGACCTCAAAAGCAAGAAAGAGTAATTCCAAGGGTCGGAATAGAAGAGAAAATAATACTCTAAATTATAAGACGGAGGTGAAGCTTTGAAATGAAAAGGCCAATTATATGTAAAGAAATGAAAATACACGTAACTCCAGTCAATGCAAGACTACAGAACATGTAGGTATCTTTAAAAAGTTGCATAGAAATAAATGTTAACAAAGAATTTTAAACCACATTTAAATAGCATTCAAGATTCAGGACCCAAGAAAATATGTTTAGACATCCAAGCATGCAGATAATGTGCTGCTAATATGACTCTAATAGAAATAATTTCTAGAAAATATGCTTCAAAAACATGACAATTGGATGCATAAAGTAAGTTGTGATGTAAGAAGCAATATTAAGCCACAGACTAGTAACTGCAGTTGTAAATGTACATTTAAAAATTTTATTTTTAATTTTCGTGGGTACATAGTAGGAGTATATATTTTATGGTGTGGACATGAGATATTTTGGTACAGGCATGCAATATGTAATAATCACATCATGGAAAATTGGATATCCAACCCTCAGGCATTGATCTTTTGTGTTACCAACAACTCAATTATACTCCCTTATTTATTTTATTATTTATTATTTATTTTGAGACAGAGTCTTGCTCTGTCGCCCAAGCTGGAGTGCAGTGTGATCTTTGCTCACTGCAACCTCCACCTCCCAGGTTCAAGCAATTATCCTGCCTCAGCCTCCCAAGTAGCTGGGATTATAGGAGCCCACCATCATGCTTATTTAATTTTTGTATTTTTAGTAGAGATGGGGTTTCGCCATGTTGGCCAGGCTGGTCTCGAACTCCTGACCTCAGGTGATCTGCCCACTTGGGCCTCCCAAATTGCTGGGATTACTGGCATGAACCACCATGCCCAGCCTCTTTTATTTTTAAATGTACCATTAATCATTATTGACTGTAGTCTCCCTGTTATGCTATCAAATACTAGGTCTTTCTAATTTTTTTTATAGGCATAGTAGTAAATACAAAAGTTTAATTTTGTGGAGTATGTAAAAAGGTAGATTTAAAATACTGAAAAATGCTGCATGGAAGATAGAAGATGAAGATGATGTTTAACATGTTTTAAGACTCTTGTTTTTCAGGAGAAAATTAGGGATATTGATTAATACATATATTTTTATATATACATGTTAACATTGCAGAATTAACCATTAAAGATGAAATGATTAAAAATGAAAGTGAAATTCCAAACCAATAAAAGGGAAAAAAAGGCTGATAAACATTATCAATCTAAGAGATGGCATAAAAAAAAAAAGAGGAACAGAAAAGAAAACTGAAGAAAAGCATCATGTTATATTAAAAACATGAAATGACCAAATTAATAGTCATATATGTAATAAAAAAGGAGAAAAAAATTATCTCAGCAGTTGAAGTGAATGAACTAGAGCTATTATATATGATTTAATGTTGCGTGAAAATGCTGTAAGCAGAATATAGATTCAGTTGAATGTAAAAAAAAAGAGGAATTCTATCTATGATTATCTATGATTAATGGTTCCATGTATGAGTATTTTGAAAGTGTTCTCATTGTATTGGAATGATACAAGACTGATTCATGAAAATGGTTTTCTGGTGAAGGAGGGAGAAAGATTTAGCATAAGGTTAAAGGGATACTTCCTGTATCCCATTTTTTAAATATAAATATCTAAACAGAAAGTTAATATTTACATTTATTAATTCTAGATGGTGGCTACCGGAATTTCATCATTCTTGTTTCATTTTTCCTGTACTTACAAGTATTTTAAAACATACAAACATGTATCCATAGCAGGTAAGCATTAGAGGAACAGGACAATGAGTTAAGAATGAAATCTACCAGCATGTGACAGCTTGAAACCTCAAGCTTTCCTTTTCCTTTTTAAAATTTTTCATTTCCATAGGTTTTTGGGGAACAGGTGGTATTTTTTGGTGACATGAGTCAGTTCTTTAGTGGTCATTTGTGAGATTTTAGTGCCCCCATCACCTGAGCAGTATACACTGAACCCAAAGTCTTTTATCCCTCACCCCATTCCCACCCTTTCTCTCCTGAGTCCCTGAAGTCCATTGTGTCATCCTTATGCCTTTGCATCCTCATAGCTGAGCTCCCACTTATAAGTAAGAATATATGATGTTTGGTTTTCCATTCCTGAGTTACTTCACTTAGAATAATGGTCTCCAATCCCATCCAGGTTGCTGCAAATGTCATTAATCCATTCCTTTTTATGGTTGAGTAGTATTCCATCATATATATACCACAGTTTATTTATCCACTTGTTGACTGATGGGCAGGGGGCCGGAGAAACCACAGGAATTTCAATGACAAAGTGTGGTTGCAGAAAATATTCAAAATTGGAAAACAACAACAACAAAATATTCTGGAGAAAGACCACAATTTGGGCCACGTCCTCTCTCACTTTCAAGTTAACCTAAGCATGTGTGGTGATGAATAGAGGCAGAATAAGAGATAGCAATAGAAGACCCAACTGTTAATAAGTTTGTTAATTCTGGAAACCCAAGTTGTGCAAAATGTGGACAACATCTCAGACTTCATCAAGGTTCTGGGGAAAAAATGTACTAGACTAGGTAGGCACCTGATTCTTGTTGAAGGCTCTCCATAAATGCTGGTCAAATCAAGTAGGATTTTTCATCTATCATCTAACCTTCTCTGGAAACCATGAGGAGTCATTATAACAAGACACAACCTAAATGTTCATCAATGATAGGCTGGATAAAGAAAATGTGGTGCATATCCAATGTAGAATACTATGCAGCCTTAATAAAGAATGAGATCATGTCCTTTGCAGGGACATGGATGGAGCTGGAGGCCATTATCCTTTGCCAACTAATGCAGGAGCAAAAAACCAAATACCACATGTTCTCACTTAAATAGGAGCTAAATGATGAGAACACATGGACATATAGAGGGGAACAATACACACTGGGGCCTTTCAGAAAGTGGAGGGTGGGAGCAGGGAGAGGATCAGGAGAAATAACTAATGGATACTAGGCTTAATACCTGAGTAATTAAAAAAATCTGTACAACAAACCCCCATGACACATGTTTACTTCTGTAACAAACCTGCAGGTTTTGCACATGTACCCCTGAACTTAAAAGTTAAAAAAGAAGGACACAAATCCTAATGCTGTAGGGTATACTATGTTTGACACTAGATCATCCAATCACATGCCTGGTATTTATTATGTCATCTCTCTTTATTACATCACAACATATTATGTGTTAGCATTACTGCTTGAGTTTTACTCTAAGCTGACCAAAACACTTCGCTTTATCTGCTGGAGAAGATATAATACATGGTCCCATAGCATTTACTCTGAGGAGGCGCAGCAAAGTTGCAAAAGTTTGTTTCTAATACATCATTGTTAGTAGTTTTCTCTGAAACCTGAGTCTCCAAAGGGACTCTACAAAGGAGAAAGATAATCATGGTGTAAAAACAAAAACAAAAACAAAAACAAACAAACAAAAAAACCCCTGCCAGGCACTGTGGCTCACGCCTGTAATCCCAGCACTTTGTGAGGCCAAGGCGGGTGGATCACGAAGCCAGGAGTTCGAGACCAGCCTGGCCAATACAGTGAAACCCCGTCTCTACTAAAAATACAAAAATTAGCCCAGCGTGGTGGTTCACGCCTGTAGTCCCAGCTACTCAGGAGACTGAGGCAGGAGAATTGCTTGAACCCAGGATGTGGAGGTTGCAGTGAGCCAAGATTGTGCACTGCCCTCCAGCCTGGGTGACAGAATAAGACTCTGTCTCAAACAAACAAACAAAACAATTTATTGTATGAAAAGGCTCAGGCACAAAAACCGTAATCATATTAAAAAATGTAATATTGCAGATTGCGTACAAGAATAATTTAAACAACCACAGGTACGTGACCAAAGTGATATTAGAAGTCCCAAATTTAGTGGTATTTTTAAAACGACTGTCATACCACAAAATGCCAACGGAGATGCAGGAAAAGGTTTGATTATGAAGAAACAGCACACTTTGTAATGTTATTTCAGTTTGTTTGCCATTAAAGTATAGTTCATAAACAATAAAATGCACAAATGTTAACTAATGGCATGATGCATCAGTTTTACTAATTATATGTATGGAGGGTTAATTTGGAGCACTAACTTTAGAACGTTAGAAAGACCTTTTTTGAATTCTTTCAGGTTTAAGTGAATCTGATTCAACAATTTCTGCATGTATGAGTGTGTTTCAGCTGTTTGACTTAATCCTGAATTTGAATTCTACTGGGGCCTTAACCACTTTTTTTTCAGTGAGGTTTTTGAAAAAATTATTCTTCAGCCACCTTTACGTAAGTATTAGCTTCTTTGTAAGAAACCAAATCCCGTAATGCTGATTACTGAGAGAACTGTATTTGCATCTGAGTCCTGTTGAATCACAAATTGAAAGTATGTTTAATATTAGAATCTGATGTAAATGAAAAACCAAGGGGAAAAGAGCTCTGGAATGGGACTCTAAATGAAGACTGTCCTGCTGTAATTGTAATTCTATTGTTGAAAGAATATTATAAGCATATTCTAAACCTACTCCATCATTTGGGGAGCTGTAGTTTGGATACCAGAAAACTAGCTCTCTCTTTTTTTTTTTTTTTCCATCAGCTAAAAAGCCAGGATTGTTGATTTTTTTAAGTAAGACTGTAAAGACTGGGGTCCCTAGAGTGGACAATTCCCACTCATCTCAGGAATGTCAGTTTACAAAAGGCACAACCTCTCGTTATTCCTCTAAATTCACCTAACTGCTACTCCTGGAATACCAAGATACCAGGGCTTGTGTATCTTTCTGTCTTTTGAGTCACAAGTTCTTCTTTCAGCCTCAATCCATAGCTATTCCATGGTCATCCCAACAGGTAGAAAAATATTAATCAAATGGAAAGAGATCCTGCCACTAAACCTCGAAAACCATGGAAAACATTTACCATGAAACGGCCTTTTTCAGTACTCTACAAACAACATACTTAAACAGGTATCTAAAAACTAATATCCTTGGAGAAGGAGGTAAATTAGATACAGTCTAAAAACTGGAGAGGTTGAGGGTAGGGTTCACATAACCCTTCAAGGTGCACATTGTCTTCTGAAATGTTAAGTTTATGGTCGGCTCGCTGAAAGGCCATATAAATGATACGTTTAGCGTCTGTTAGCTGAAAGGCCATATAAAGTCCATTCAAAACTATAGGTTTCATTATTTCTAACTATTTTTTTGTACCCATTAACCAACCCCCCAACTACCCTTCCCAGGCTCTGGTAACCATCTTTCTACTCTCTATCTCCATAGTTCAATTGTTTTGATTTTCAGCTCCCACACATAAATGAGAACATGCAAAGTTTGCCTTTCTGTGTCTGGCTTAGTTCACTTAGCATAATGACCTTCACTTCTGTCCATGTTGTTGCAAATGACTGGACACAAATGATAAATACTTGAGGGGACGGTCCCCCGTTTGCCCTGATGTCGTTATTACACATTGAAAGCCTGTATCTTATGTAACCCATATCTTATGTAACCCATCTTATGTAACCCATATATAGATAAACCTACTATGTGCCCACAAAAATCGACAATAAAAAATAAATAAAACAAAACTATATGTTTCATCTGAGGCATTTTCATTCCCATCAAGTCTTTCAATACATTTTTTATTATCAAGAGCACTGACAGTCTTACAGCCCCATGTAATGTCAAAGAGATATGACTAATTATTCTTTTTAGTAACAAATTTATTATGTGTGCCCCTGTCTCACTACCCTTTGAACTCTCTGCTTTCCATATTTTCCCCCAAAGCTTTATGATTGTGCTGGAAAGTAAGAACTGCAGAGAGATACTCAGAAAGGTATGGACTTTGGAGCTAATCCAATCTGCATTTGAGCATTCTCTGTTGTGTGACCGAGGACGTGTGGTCAACCCATTATGAGCTTTGGTTTTCTCTTCTATGCTGAAGATAAATCGTGGTTTCTAACTCACAGAGGGAATTGTGAGAACCAAATCTTCTAAATTTTGTTTCCCCAAGCCTGGCACCTCCTATATGTTTCATATATTTGTGGGTGTTCTCATAATGATGATTTTAAAAATAATTGTGGTTATCTGGTATCTAAAGTAAAACTCACTCTTTTTATTGTAGGTTTGGCAAGTTTTGATAAAAATAGTAAGCATATTGACAATATAACCCATGCATAAAGTAGTGTCTCAACCTACACATCATGCTTTGACCTTTTGACAATAACCCCTTGCTATCACCTCAGCCCACCGGTACCACTAATCTAACCACTAATCTCTCCATATAGTGCATTATCCAGAATATTTTATAAATGGGTAATGCAATACGCACCCTATTGACATTGGCTTGTTTCACATAGGTTAATACAGTTGAGGTTCCCCCATTGTTGCATATATCAGCAATTAGTTCCTTTTGTATTGCTGGATGGTATTTCATTCTATACATATACTCCAGTTTTGTTTTGTTTTATTTAATCCTCAAATCCATTAAAGAACATCTGTGTTGTTTCCATTTTTTCATGATTACAATTAAAGCCACAATGAATACTCAATGACAGGTATTTTTTTAACCGACACTAATGTTTTATTTCTCTTTGGCAACACTTAGGAGGGGATTTCTGGGTCATATTGGGTCGGGTAGTGATATGGACAGGAGGCAGGGAAATACTGTGTAGAAGAGGGTGGTTCCCTGGCAAAAGCCACATCCTCAAGCCTGGAAACCCATGGCCCTAAATGGAAACAGGTATTCCTATTTTCACACCCAAATGTTGCCTTTTGGCCCACAACACCCCCCTATTTTGTACCCATATAAACCCCAAACCCCAGGCTCTATGAGCAGAAGAGCAGAGGAGCAGAAGAACAGCGCAGCAGAGAAGGAGAGAAGAAGAGAAGAGAAGGAGCATTTGAACATTGAGAGGAGTTTGGCTGGGGATGGTCAGAGAGGACATCAGCCATGTAACAGCCAAACTCCAGGGGAAGATTATCTTCCCACTCCATCCGCTTTCCAGCTCCTCATCCATCTCACTGATAGCCACCTCCATCTGGCAATAAAATCCCCTGCATTTACTATTCTTCAGTTTGTCTGTGTGTCCTGATTTTTCCTAGATGCCAGACAAGAACCTGGGTACCAAGAGGGCACTGAGCTGGTTAACACTTAAGTGGTCTGTGGATGGCAGAGCTAAAAGAGCACTGTAACACACCCACTGGGACTTCAGGAGTTGCAGGCACCCACCCCTAGAAGCTACCATGGAGTCAGAGCCCAAAAGCACTTGCTCCAGCTCCTGCGTCTGCCTGTCTGTGTGATTCCCCTTCCACAAGGGGTTTGAGCCAAGGCAGCAGGACAGACATGCCACACCCCTGTTACACGTCCTGCAGGGTAGGTCAGGGAACTCTCCTGTTTCAGTAGTACTTGCATATTTAGTTTTGTAAGAAGCCACCGCTCTGTTTTCCTGTGCTTGTACCATTCTGCGTTCCCACCAACAACATATGAGGGTTCTCTGCTATTCCCCCTCCTCACTGACGCTTCATATCATTAGGGTTTTGTTTTAGTATTTTTGTTCTTGTATGTTGATTTAAATTTTAGACATTCACACTCATGCGTGGTAACATTTCCCTGTGGTAGTAATTTGCATTTCCTTATGGACTAAAGATGTTGAGCATCTTTTCATGAGCCTATATTCTGTAACATCTTTGGTAAAGTCTCTATTCAAACAACTTGCCAATTTTTTAATTGGATTGTTGGTTTGGTGTACCAGACTGTGCATTTCTTAAAACGGAATTTTTTAAATGGGCTTGATTGAATGATTGCCATGGAGTACAGGAAGTCCCTGTGCAACTCTCAAGCAGTTCCTCTCATTATTAACATCTAATGTGGCTGTGCTGTACTTGTCAAAACTAAGAATCCGACATCATTGACACAGCACTCCTAAGTACACTTCAGACCTTTGGTCAGATTCCACCGGCTTTTTATGAACTTTTTTTTTTTTTCTGTCTCAGGATCCCATTGAGGGATCACACTGCACTTACTTGTCACCCCTCCCCCATGTCCTGTCTGTGGCCCTTTCTCAGACTTCCCTTGCTTTTTCATGACAGTCTTGAGTACTGTTCAAGTAGTCTGTGGAATATTTCCCATGCCACATTTGTCTCCTGTTTGTCTTATCATTAGAGTGGGGTTAGGGAATGTTGGGAACAAATACCACAGAGGTAAAGTGCCCTTCTCATCCCCTCACCAGCATAGAGGGATAGATAGATAATAAATAGATAGATAGATAGATAGATAGATAGATACATACATACATACATACATACATAGGTAATAGATACATGAGACATAGATAAATGATAGATGATAGATGATAGAAGATACATAGATACATGGTAGATTTTATAGATAGATATAGATATATATAACATACTATATTATATTAAAAACAAAAAATATTGCTAATTAATGTTATAAAATATATATTATATATTATATATTTAAATATATTATACATGACATAATATAGAATATAAGGTATAAAATTGTACATAATATATGTATAACTATATATAGTATACACAATGAATTATATACAATTATATTCATATTATATGATTGTGTACAGTTGACCCTTGAACAGGGCGAGGCTTAGGGGCACCAATCCCCTGTATGGTTAAAAGTTCACATATAGGCTGGGCACGGTGGCTCACGCCTGTAATCCCAGCACTTTAGGAGGACAAGGTGGGCAGGTCGCTTCAGGTCAGGAGTTCAAGACCAGCCTGGGCAACATGGTGAAACCCATCTCTACTAACAATACAAAAATTAGTCAGGCATGGTGGTGTATGCCTGTAGTCCCAGCTTACTCAGGATGCTGAGGCAGGAAAATCACTTGATCCCGGGAGGGGGAGGTTGCAGTGAGCTGAGACTGTGCCACTGCACTCCAGCCTGGGTGACAGAGTGAGACTCCGTCTCAAAAATAGTTCACATATAGCTTTTAATTCCACCAAAACTTAGCTAGCAGCCTACTGAAATCCACTGATAAGTGGATCCCCATAGTTTAAACTCATGTTGTTCCAGGGTCAGCTGTGTATATTGTATATAATACTCATTATATATAGTATAACACATAATAAAACTATTATTATTATTTTCTTAAGGCTACAGAGGATCTTCAGCTGCACAGGATTTCCTGCAACTGAAGACTTTTGTTCCACCTGCAAACTGCAAACCAGGAGTGACTTCCCATCAAGAACTATGAAGAGTCTGGGAGTATATCCTGTTTGCAAGTTAATAAAATAGCTTGCTGCAATGCTGCCATTCTATGGATGCTGGCAGAAGACACAGAACTTTTAGGTCTAAGACTAGAGACTTGTTTCCAGCAAAGCCATTGCCAGAGCATCAGCTTCTTTTTCTCAGGACCACAAGGGGGTGCTGAGGATGAACTTGGATGGGAACCTACACCTGCTATGGGCTGCCTTATAGGAGGGAGATACAGAGCCTGGGAAAAGTCGGCCACTTCATAACCCCCGATAAGCAGAGCCTGCTCTTTGTCCTGGAGGAAGATGTCACCTGCTCCTTCAAGGTCGAACATGTAGTAGAGCCACAACCCTGAGAAATACTCTAGGGAAAGAGTGGTCAGCACCTGGCATTCTTACTTAGCACACCCATAAGATATGGAGGACAAGAGACTCATGGAGAAGAGTCTCTGCCACTACTGTTCAACTCTCCCAAGACATCATCTTGGGGGCTTTTTCAGTTCCCTCAACTTGTCCCCAGTCTTCCTAGTAGGTAACAGGTAAAGTTTGTGAAGACTCGGTGACAGCTGCAAATTCCTCTTGTGGCTGCATCTCCCAGAGGTCCTACAACTTTATGCTAGTCCACTGTCAGCCTCAGCAAGCCCTTTAAGACTTTCTCCACATGTGTCTTATCCATTTGTGTGTTTTCTGTGTCTGTTCAAGGTAAGATGTACACACATCCCATCTCACCTTAGAAACGCCTGCCTTTCCTTGTATTTCAGCCTGATTGTTTGCACTATATATTCGTCAGGGTTCCCCAGAGGGAAAGAACTAATAGGTTCTATGTCTATATGAAAGGGAGTTTATTAGGGAGAATTGGCTCACACCATCACAAGGTGACACCCCACCATAGGCCATCTGCAAGCTGGGAAAGACAGAAACTGGTAGTGGCTTATTCCAAGTCCAACAGCTTCAAAAGCAGAGAAACTGACAGTTCAGCCTTCAGTCTGTGGCCAAAGGCCCAAGAGCCCCCGGCAAACCACTGGTGTAAGTACAAGAGTCCAAAAACCAGCCAGGCACGGTGGCTTACACCTGTAATCCCAGCACTTTGGGAGGCCAAGGCAGGTGGATTGCTTGAGGTCAGAGCCCAGAGTTCAAGACCAGCCTGGCCAACATGATGAAACCCTGTCTCTATTAAAAATACAAAAATTAGTCTGGTGTAGTGGTGGGTGCCTGTAATCCCAGTTACTTGGGAGGCTGAGTCAGGAGAATTGCTTGAACCCAGAAGGCAGAGGTTGTAGTGAGCCAAGATCACACCACTGCACTCCAGCCTGGGCGATGGAGTGAGACCCTATCTCAAATAATAATAATAATAATAATAAATAATAAATAATAAATAAATAAGAGTCCAAAAGCCAAAGAACCTGGAGTCTCATGTCCAAGGGCAGGAGGAACAGAGTGAAGCATCCAACATGGGAGAGAGATGAAAGCCAGAAGACCCAGCAAGCCAGCTTCTCCCACCTTCTAACCATCTGCTTTGCTTTAGCCACACTGGTAGCCAATTAGATGGTGCCCATCCACACTGAGGGTGGGTCTTCCTCTCCCACCCCACCGACTCAATGTCAATCTCCTCTGGCAACACCCTCACAGACACACCCAGAAACAATACTTTATCAGCTGTCTAGGCGTCCCTCAATAGTTGACACCTAATATTACCCACCATACCCTAAAACTGGAGTTTTCTGACAGATTCAAGAAACTTTAGATTTAGTTTATGATGTGTCCTTGATTTTGCCGTGATTGTTGGAGCGATGATCTTCTTACAAGCTTTCTACATCCTAAGTTTAAGCTAGAAGGCTAAACTTTTTATTTTGTAAAGAAGGGCTTCAAGTTGATCTGTTTAAACACTAAGTTTAAATTGCTGGCTTTCAGTAAAATGTTCAAATGCGTTTTTTAAAGATAGACATATCCTTTAAAATAATTAGTCTGAGTGAAGTTGTAGTTTCTGTCCATAAATTTATTATATGTCAGGAATATTTATTAACATGGAGAAGGGGATAGAGACCAAGCTGATGGGTAGGTGACCTTAGATCTAGCACCGGAGGTGGAAGAACAACTTACAGAAAGAACTGAAAGTAATCTCCTTTAGTCTCCATAGGGCTACACAGTATGCAGTCTTTACCACACAGTAGGTGCTCGATCTAGCTTCAATGAATGAACGAGTTACTTAATTAATAGTCTAATGCCTGTACTGTTATGTGTGGAAGAAAAATCCAGCCAATACGATTTACAATGCTGTCTATAACCACTTCACTGAATCTGGGAACTAAGTGAATGCTCCAAAAATATTCCCAGTTATGTCTTTTTCCTAGTTCTAACCTGGTCATATTAGCATTTCAAATTCATCTCTGATGGGTGAAAATCTAATTCTTTTCTCCCATCTTTTTTTTTTTTTTTTGGTGGTGTTCCATTTTTTTAATGTACAGGAACTAAAAATTCTGTTCAATTCAGTGAAGGGTCCATTAACTTAATTAGGCTAAATGCATCTCTTTTCAGCTGGATTCAACTTCCAGCCTCAATTGTGCTTCTCTTTGTCCCACCCGGGTAAACATTTCTTCACAAAAGCTATATTTGCTCTCCTCCTCAGCATCTTTTCGGAGAATGCCCCTTTTCTGGAATCAATGCCCATCACCAAATATCTGTCTGGAAAGACTGCATTTAGATATTTATGTTTTCATGGCACCCTAAACATTGAACAAATAGAGATGATTGAAGCATTTGCATGGTTTGAACAAATACCATGACAAAGTTGTGGTTTCGGCACCTCCATATGAACGCTCATTATGCACAATTGACCCTCTCCAGGTGTTGGCAGGTGTAGTTAAAACAAAGCAAAGCCCTTGAGGGGGTCACTTGAAGATGCCAGATTTTTAAGGAAAATTTCACTTCTCAGCAACTCAAATCAACATCGCCACCTGCTGGCCATTGTCTGATATGGCATGCCCCATGAAGATGGCACTAAGAGGTTATGCAAATGTGCATTGAACATTAGCAAGGCAACTTTTTACAATGCATATTAACATGTCCCGCGCTTACATAAAGTATCATGCTCGATGCACGCATAAAAATAGTGATAGCCCATGCGAAAAGCATCATGGGTGACCACGGAACGCACATTTCTAGGAATACGTAGAGTTCTTGGACTTACCTGCATATTAGCATCACCTGAAACCTTTAAAATTTCACATTTCCGCAGGTGCATTTCAAAACACTTAAGTAAGTCTCTGATAGTGGGACTCAGAGGCATTTCTTTCTCCAAAGCTTCCAAGTGATTCTAAGGTGCAGCCAAGCTTAGAAACATAATTGAGCCTTTCTCTACTGCATGGCTTAGCTGAGAATGATGTTGACATTTGAGCTACAGATTACATGGCCGAATGTTGAGGTAGGTCTGTTGTAATTAAAGAGAGGTTTGGAAACCTCGCTGGGCTAAAAGCCAGGCAGCAACATTTCTAGCATTACTTCTGTGAATTATAGCTGCTTGATGTGGGGCCAATACACACTTTCATCAGATCCTATTTCCCTTTTTTTTTTTTGACGGAGTCTCGCTCTGTCGCCAGGCTGGAGTGCAGTGGCGCGATCTCGGCTCACTGCTACCTCCTCTGCCTCCTGGATTCCAGCGATTCTCCTGCCTCAGCCTCCCAAGTAGCTGGGACTGCAGGCACGTGCCACCACACCCAGCTAATTGTTGTATTTTCAGCAGAGACGGGGGTTTCACCATGTTGGCCAGAATGGTCTCGATCTCTTGATCTCGTGATCCTCCCGCCTCGGCCTCTCAAAGTGCTGGGATTACAGGCATGAGCCTCTGTACCCGGCTCTATTTCCCTTTCTTTAAGGGTGCACTGGGCTGTGGGCTTTCTAAGGGATTTAACAGTTCGGAGTTCTGCTTATCTCTCTGTTTGAAAATAATTATGGCATGAATCAGAGCAGAGATGAAACATTTCAGAGTTAGTTTAAGTTAGTAGTTGTATTTCAGAGCATCTATTTCGTTGGCAATAATGTTACATGAGGACATACAGAGCAGGTCATTGTCAGGCCTCTGAGCCCAAGCCAAGCCATCGCATCCCCTGTGACTTGCATGTATACGCCCAGATGGCCTGAAGTAACTGAAGAATCACAAAAGAAGTGAATATGCCCTGCCCCACCTTAACTGATGACATTCCACCATTGTGATTTGTTCCTGCCCCACCCTAACTGATCAATGTACTTTGTAATCTCCCCCACCCTTAAGAAGGTCCTTTGTAATTCTCCCCACCCTTGAGAATGTACTTTGTGAGATCCACCCCTGCCCACCAGAGAACAACCCCCTTTGACTGTAATTTTCCATTACCTTCCCAAATCCTATAAAACGGCCCCACCCCTATCTCCCTTTGCTGACTCTCTTTTCGGACTCAGCCCGCCTGCACCCAGGTGAAATAAACAGCCATGTTGCTCACACAAAGCCTGTTTGGTGGTCTCTTCACATGGACGCACATGAAATTTGGTGCCATGACTCGGATCGGGGGACCTCCCTTGGGAGATCAATCCTCCGTCCTCCTGCTCTTTGCTCCCTGAGAAAGATCCACCTACGACCTCAGGTCCTCAGACCGACGAGCCCAAGAAACATCTCACCAATTTCAAATCTGGTAAGCAGCCTCTTTTTACTCTCTTCTCCAACTTCCCTCACTATCCCTCAACCACTTTCTCCTTTCAATCTTGGCACTACACTTCAATCTCTCCCTTCTCTTAATTTCAATTCCTTTCATTTTCTGGTAGAGACAAAAGAGACACGTTTTATCCGTGGACCCAAAACTCCGGCGCTGGTCACAGACTGGGAAGGCAGCCTTCCCTTGGTGTTTAATCATTGCAGGGATGCCTCTCTGATTATACACCCACGTTTCAAGGGTGTCAGACCACGCAGGGACAACTGCCTTGGTCCTTCACCCTTAGCAGCAAGTCCCGCTTTTCTGGGGAAGGGGCAAGTACCCCAACCCCTTCTCTCCGTGTCTCTACCCCTTCTCTGCTTTTCCGGGGACAGGGCAAGTACCCCAACCCCTTCTCTCCGTGTCTCTACTCCTTCTCTGCTTTTCTGGGGACAGGGCAAGTACCCCAACCCCTTCTCTCCTTGTCTCTACCCCTTCTCTGCTTTTCTGGGGCAGGGGCAAGTACCCCTCAACCCCTTCTCCTTCACCCTTAGCGGTAAGTCCCGCTTTTCTAGGGGGCAGGGGCAAGTACCCCCCAACCCCTTCTCCTTCACCCTTAGTGGCAAGTCCTGCTTTCCTGGGGCAGGGGCAAGTACCCCTTAACCCCTTCTCCTTCACCCTTAGCAGCAAGTCCCACTTTTCTAGGGGGCAAGAAACCCCAAACCCCTTCCCTCCGTGTCTTTACGCTCTCTTTTCTCTGGGTTTGCTTCCTTCACTATGGGCAACCTTCCATCCTCCATTCCTCCTTCTCCCTTAGCCTGTGTGCTCAAGAACTTAAAACCTCTTCAACTCACACCTGACCTAAAACCTAAATGCCTCATTTTCTTCTGCAACACCGCTTGGCCCCAATACAAACTTGACAATGGCTCTAAATGGCCAGAAAATGGCACTTTCGATTTCTCCATCCTACAAGACCTAAATAATTTTTGTCAAAAAATGGGCAAATGGTCTGAGGTGCCTGATGTCCAGGCATTCTTTTACACATCCGTCCCTTCCTAGTCTCTGTGCCCAGTGCAACTCGTCCCAAATCTTCCTTCTTTCCCTCCCACCTGTCCCCTCAGTCCCAACCCCAGGCGTTGCTGAGTGTGTCTAATCTTCCTTTTCTACAAACCCATCTGACCTCTCCCCTCCTCTCCACGCCAAGCTAGGTCCCAATTCTTCCTCAGGCTCCACTCCTCCACCCTGTAATCTTTTTATCACCTCCCCTCCTCACACCTGGTCCGGCTTACAGTTTCGTTCCGTGACTAGCCCTCCCCCACCTGCCCAGCAATTTACTCTTAAAAAGGTGGCTGGAGCTAAAGACATAGTCAAGGTTAATGCTCCTTTTTCTTTATCCCAAATCAGAAGCGTTTAGGCTCTTTTTCATCAAATATAAAAACCCAGCCCAGTTCATGGCTCGTTCGGCAGCAACCCTGAGACGCTTTACAGCCCTAGACCCTAAAAGGTCAAAAGGCCGTCTTATTCTCAATATACATTTTATTACCCAATCTGCTCCCGATATTAAATAAAACTCCAAAAATTAAATTCCGGCCCTCAAACTCCACAACAGGATTTAATTAACCTCGCCTTCAAGGTGTACAATAATAAAAAAAAAAAAGTTGCAATTCCTTGCCTCCACTGTGAGACAAACCCCAGCCACATCTCCAGCAAACAAGAACTTCCAAACACCTGAACCGCAGCAGCCAGGCGTTCCTCCAGAACCTCCTCCCACAGGAGCTTGCTACAAGTGCCAGAAATCTGGCCACCAAGCCAAGAAATGCCTGCAGCCCAGGATTCCTCCTAAGCCGTGTCCCATCTGTGCGGGACCCCATTGGAAATCAGACTGTTCAACTCACCTGGCAGCGACTCCCAGAGACCCTGGAACTCTGGCCCAAGGCTCTCTGACTGACTCCTTCCCAGATCTTCTCGGCTTAGCGGCTGAAGACTGACGCTGCCCAATCACCTCGGAAGCCCTGTAGACCATCACAGACACTGAGCTTTAGGTAACTCTCACAGTGGAGGGTAAGTCCGTCCCCTTCTTAATCAATATGGAGGCTCCCCACTCCACATTACCTACTTTTCAAGGGCCTGTTTCCCTTGCCTCCATAACTGCTGTGGGTATTGACGGCCAGGCTTCTAAACCTCTTAAAACTTCCCAACTCTAGTGCCAACTTAGACAATACTCTTTTACGCACTCCTTTTTAGTTATCCCCACCTGCCCAGTTCCCTTATTAGGCCGAGACACTTTAACTAAATTATCTGCTTCCCTGACTACTCCTGGACTACAGCTGCATCTCATTGCCGCCCTTATTCCTAATCCAAAGCCTCCTTTGCGTCCTCCTCTTGTATCCCCCCACCTTAACCCACAAGTATAAGATACCTCTACTCCCTCCTTGGCGACCGATCATGCACCCCTTACCATCTCATTAAAACCTAATCACCCTTACCCCGCTCAACACCAATATCCCATCCCACAGCATGCTTTAAAAGGATTAAAGCCTGTTATCACTTGCCTGCTACAGCATGGGCTCCTAAAACCTATAAACTCTCCTTACCATTCCCCCATTTTACCTGTCCTAAAACCAGACAAGCCTTACAAGTTAGTTCAGAATCTGCGCCTTATCAACCAAATGTTTTGCCTATCCACCCCGTGGTGCCAAACCCGTATACTCTTCTATCCTCAATACCTCCCTCTACTACCCATTATTCTGTTCTGGATCTCAAACATGCTTTCTTTACTATTCCTTTGCACCCTTCATCCCAGCCTCTCTTTGCCTTCACTTAGACTGACCCTGACACCCATTAGGCTCAGCAAATTACCTGGGCTGTACTGCCGCAAGGCTTCACAGACAGCCCCCATTACTTCAGTCAAGCCCAAATTTCATCCTCATCTGTTACCTATCTCAGCATAATTCTCATAAAAACACAGGTGCTCTCCCTGCTGATCGTGTCCGATTAATCTCCCAAACCTCAATCCCTTACAAAAGAACAACTCCTTTCCTTCCTAGGCATGGTTAGTGTGGTCAGAATTCTTACACAAGAGCCAGGACTGCACCCTGTAGCCTTTCTGTCCAAACAACTTGACCTTCCTGTTTTAGCCTAGCCATCATGTCTGTGTGCAGCCGCTGCCGCTGCTTTAATACTGTTAGAGGCCCTCAAAATCACAAACTATGCTCAACTCACTCTCTACATTTCTCATAACTTCCAAAATCTATTTTCTTCCTCATACCTGACGCATATACTTTCTGCTCCCCGGCTCCTTCAGCTGTACTCACACTTTCTTAAGTCCCACAATTACCATTGTTCCTGGCCTGGACTTCAATCTGGCCTCCCACATTATTCCTGATACCACACCTGACCTCCATGACTGTATCTCTCTGATCCACCTGATATTCACCCCATATTTCCTTCTTTCCTGTTCCTCACCCTGATCACGCTTGATTTATTGATGGAAGTTCCACCAGGCCTAATCGCCACACACCAGCAAAGGCAGGTTATGCTATAGTACAAGCCACTAGCCCACCTCTCAGAACCTCTCATTTCCTTTCCATCGTGGAAATCTATCCTCAAGGAAATAACTTCTCAGTGTTCCATCTGCTATTCTACTACTCCTCAGGGATTATTCAGGCCCCCTCCCTTCCCTACACATCAGGCTGGAGGATTTGCCCCACCCAGGACTGGCAAATTACCTTTACTCAACATGCCCTGATTCAGGAAACTAAAATACCTCTTAGTCTAAATAGACACTTTCACTGAATAAAGTAAAGGCCTTTCCTACAGGGTCTGAGAAGGCCACCACAGTCATTTCTTCCCTTCTGTCAGACACAATTCCTCAGTTTAGCCTTCCCACCTCTATACAGTCTGATAACAGACCAGCCTTTATTAGTCAAATCAGCCAAGCAGTTTTTCAGGCTCTTAGTATTCAGTGAAACCTTTATATCCCTTACGGTCCTCCTTCTTCAAGAAAAGTAGAACGGACTAAAGGTCTTTTAAAAACACACCTCACCAAGCTCAGCCACCAGCTTAAAAAGGACTGGACAATACTTTTACCACTTTCCCTTCTCAGAAATCAGGCCTGTCCTCAGAATGCTACAAGGTACATCCCATTTAAGCTCCTGTATAGACGCTCCTTTTTATTAGGCCCCAGTCTCATTCCAGACACCAGACCAACTTAGACTGTGCCCCAAAAAACTTGTCATCCCTACTATCTTCTGTCTAGTCATACTCCTATTCACCGTTCTCAACTACTCATACATGCCCTGCTCTTGTTTACACTGCCGGTTTACACTGTTTCTCCAAGCCATCACAGCTGATATCTCCTGGTGCTATCCCCAAACTGCCACTCTTAACTCTTGAAGTAAATAATCTTTGCTGGCAGGACTATGCTGAATCTCCTTAGGCACTCTCTAATCAGATGTCCTAGGTCCTCCCAATTCTTAGACATTTAATACCCATTTTTCTCCTCCTTTTATTCGGACCTTGTATCTTCCATTTAGCTTCTCAAATCATCCAAAACCGTATCCAGGCCATCACCAATCATTCTATACGACAAATGTTTCTTCTAACATCCCCATGATATCACCCCTTACCACAAGACCTCCCTTCAGCTTAATCTCTCCCACTCTAGGCTCCCACGCCGCCCCTAATCCCGCTTGAAGCAGCCCTGAGAAACATCGCCCATTATCTCTCCATACCACCCCCCAAAAATTTTCGCTGCCCCAACACTTCAACACTATTTTGTTTTATTTGTCTTATTAATATAAGAAGGCAGGAATGTCAGGCCTCTGAGCCCAGGCCAGGCCATCGCATCCCCTGTGACTTGCACGTATACATCCAGATGGCCTAAAGTAACTGAAGATCCACAAAAGAAGTAAAAACAGCCTTAACTGATGACATTCCAACATTGTGATTTGTTCCTGCCCCACCCTAACTGATAAATGTACTTTGTAATCTCCCCCACCCTTAAGAAGGTCCTTTGTAATTCTCCCCACCCTTGAGAGTGTACTTTGTGAGATCCACACCTGCCCACCAGAGAACAAACCCCCTTTGACTGTAATTTTCCATTACCTTCCCTAATCCTATAAAACGGCCCCACCCCATCTCCCTTTGCTGACTCTCTTTTCGGACTCAGCCCGCCTGCACCCAGGTGAAATAAACAGCCTTGTTGCTCACACAAAGCCTGTTTGGTGGTCTCTTCACACGGACGCGCGTGAAAGTCATTAACAATGTTCAGTATTTTAAAGAGTTCCCTCAATAAATAATACTCATTGAACCAACTCGATTTTTGAAAAAAAAAGGAAGAGTCCACTGATCGTGAAAACCTCCCTTGACTTTCTTGTCTAAAAACTTTTCAGATAGACTAGAACAAAGTTCTACAGCTAAAATGAACATAAAATCACCTGACCTATTTGCTTAACCTGCAACCACCCAAGGGGTTCACCTTGCCTGCTACCTAGACAGAGCCGATTCATTAAGACGGGAATTGCAATAGAGAAAGAGTAATTCGTGCAGAGCTGGCTGTGCGGGAGATCCGAGTTTTATTATTACTCAAATCAGTCTCCCCGAGCATTCAGGGAGCAGAGCTGTTAAGGATAACTTGGTGGGTCGGGAGAAGCCAGTGAGTCAGGAGTGCTGATTGGTCAGAGATGAAATCATAGGGAGTCAGAGCTGCCTTCTTGCGTTCAATCAGTTCTTGGGTGGGGGCCACAAGATCAGAAGAGCCAGTTTAACTATCTGGGTGGTGCCAGCTGATCCATCAAGTGAAGGGTCTGCAAAATATCTCAGGCACTGATCTTAGGGGCAGTTTAGGGAGGGTCAGAATCTTGTAGCCTCCAGCTGCATGAACTCCCAAACCATAATTTCTAATCTTCTGGCTAATGTTAGCCCTACAAAGGCAATCTAGTCCCCAGGCAAGAAGGAGGTCTGCTTTGGGAAAGGGCTGTTACCATCTTTGTTTAAACAATAAACTATAAGCTAAGTTTCTCCCAAAGTTAGTTTAGCCTGCGCCCAGGAATGAACAAGGACAGCTTGGAGGTTAGAAGCAAGATGGAGTGAGTTAAGTTAGATCTCTTGCACTGTCTTAGTCATAATTTTACAAAGTGGTTTCAATCCAACAGATAAGAAAACAAGTGGAGGAAAACAAACTAAATGGAACATCCAATAGCCACTTACCAGTACAGGAATTTACAAAAATCAACTCTCAGGCTGTCTTCTGGGATTATAAAATAGACAATGATGAAAACACAGATAAACCTGGAGGGATTATGTGCAGTGAAATCAGCCAGGCACAGAAAGACAGGTACTGCATGATCTCACTTCTATGCAGAATCTACGAAAGAAAAATTCATAGACATGTAACCGCCAGGCCGGCACGGTGGCTCACGCCTGTAATCCCAGCACTTTGGGAGGCCGAGACTGGTGGATCACGAGGTCAGGAGATCGAGACCATCCTGGCTGACATGGTGAAACCCCGTCTCTACTAAAAATACAAAAAATTAGCCGGGCGCGGTGACAGGTGCCTGTAGTCCCAGCTACTCGGGAGGCTGAGGCAGGAAAATGGCGTGAGCCCGGGAGGCGGAGCTTGCAGTGAGCCGAGATGGAGCCACTGCACTCCAGCCTGGGTGACAGAGCAAGACTCCATCTCAAAAAACAAAAAAACAAAGAAGTGTAACCGCCCAAGGGGTTCCTCCTGCCAACTGCATAAATACCAAGGCATTGTATAGTAGAGAGAGAGTTTAATAGACAGGAGGCTGGCCACACTACGTGGGAGATGGAATTCATACTCAAATCATCTTGTTAAACGCTTGTAGATTAGGCGTTTTTCAAGGACAGTTTGGGGGAAGAGGTAGAGGTGACCAGGTAATTGGTGCTTGCTGCTGATTGGTTAGGGCAGACATTAACTTATAGGGGTTGAAGCTGTCCTCCTGCGGGCTGGATTGCTTCTGGGTGTGGCCACAGGGGCTGGGTTGTAGGTCCAGGTGGAGTCGTGGGTGTAAGACATGCAAAAAGACTGGCAAGATATCTCAAAAGGCTAATCTTCAACAGTGGTACAGGAATGCTTGGGGAAGCGGCACATCTTATAACTTCTGGAATAATGGCTCCTCTCCTCCCCGCAGCCCCCTGGCCTCCCATCAGCTTTACAAATGTGGTTGAGTTTGGGGGTAAGCCCTATTATCATTTAAAATGTAGCCTTAATGTTTTCCAAAGTTAATTTGCCCCACTAGCCCAAAATAATTAAGGGAGAGGCAAGATGGAGGTTGGGTTAGCTTAGCTTACTGTTAGAATTTTCTCACTGATATCACTTTTGCAAAGGTGGTTTCCGAAGCAGAGAGTAGCATGATGGGTGCCAGGGACAAAGGAGTGGAGAAAGAGAATAAGGAGATGTTGATTGAAGAGGAAAGTTCTAGTTAGACAGAAAGAATAATTTCTTGAAATCTATGGCACAGCATGCTGGCTCTAGTTATTAATAATGTAATGTATATTTCAAGATTACTGAGGGAGCCGATGTTAAATGTTTGACCCACCCACACAAAAATACAAATAAGAAAGTGAAGTGATAAACATGCTAACTAGTTTGATTTAATCATTTCATCATGTATGGATCTATCAAAACATCACATTGTACTCCAGAAATAGATACAATTATGTCATTTAAACATAAATAAAATAAAATAATACTTTTATTTAATAATAAATAACTTAATAACAATAAATTTACAGAAGATGTAAGATTTGAGGTTCTTCAGCCTCATTTTGTTACCAGAAAGGGGTCCCGATCCAGAGCCCAGGGGAGGGTTCTTGGATCTCGCGCAAGAAAGAATTCAAGGCAAGTCCATAGAGCAAAGTGAAAGTGAAAGCAAATTTATTAAGAAAGTAAAGGAATAAAAGAATGGCTACTCCACAGACAGAGCAGCCCCGAGGGCTGCTGGTTGCCCATTCTTATGGTTATTTCTCGATGATATGCTAAACAAGGTGTGGATTGTTCGTGCCTCCCCTTTTTAGACCATATAGGGTAACTTCCTCGCATTGCCATGGCATTTGTAACTGTCATGGTGCTGGTGGGAGTGTAGCAGTGAGGACAACCAGAGGTCACTCTCATCACCATCTTGGTTTGGGTGGGATTTGGCCTGCTTCTTTACTGCAACCTGTTTTATCACCGAGGTCTTTATGACCTGTATCTTGTGCTGACCTCCTGTCTCATCCTGTGACTTAGAATGTCACAGGATGTCCCAGAAATGTCACCTCCTGGGAATGTAGCCCGGTAGGTCTCAGCCTCATTTTACCCAGCCCCTATTCAAGATGGAGTTGCTCTGGTTCAAATGCTTCTGACAATTCTACCTCCTGTGAGTTATGAGACTGTGAATAATTTGCTCATCCTGCTTGATGCTGTATTTTTTATATATAAAGTGATATCATTTTAAAGGAACTTGCTGGCAGATTAGATGAAATAAGGTATAAGAAAATGTTGTTTTTATAAAAAATCTGTAATGTGTTATAAAGTACCATTGACATGTAAAGTGCTATGCCCACCTGAGTATTCTATCAAGTAAACCGGAGAATCTGAAGATTTATATACACAATTTAAAGCAAGTACTTATTCAGAATATTATGTGTGCAACATACTGTGATGGTCATATTTAAACACAAAGTGGTTAAGTTCCCTAAAAAGTATATTACCTAGGTGAAATTTATCAATGTGTTATAAGAATGACAGGAATAAAACCAGTTTATCCAGTCCTATTGATTGGTAATGGGACAAGCAGAAAAACATTCTTGTTAGATTAACATTGGACTAAAAGTAAGTTCAGGTTTGATATATGCCCTTCTATAAGATTTTATGTACCTGCAATGAGGTTTTTGGTAATTTTTTTTTCCTATGTGATTAGTCTTCATGGCAAAATCCTAAAATTATTTTATAGGTCTTCAAATATGTTCCACCCCCCTTCAATACTGTTTCAACTTTTTACCAATGATCAGGTTTTCACAAAACTCTTACAATATTTTTGCAAGGTATAATATTGTTGTGTAACTCACAGCAAACTAGACTTCTATTTGATAGACCCCATAGAGAGTGGTGGTCCCAGAAGACTATAATAACCTTATTTTTAACATACTGTGTTTCTGTTTAGATATATTTAGGTGTGGAAATACCTACCCCTGTGTTAAATTGTCTACAATATTCAGTACAGTCACCTGTTGTACAGGTATGTAGCCCAAGTGTGTAGTAATCTAGAGCATTTAGGTTTGTGTAAGTGCACTCTTTGATGTTCGCACACTGATGAGATCACCTCATGATACATTGTCAGAATGTAACTCTGTAGTTAAATGATGCATGACTGTATTTTAGATGTTTCTACTTATCAGCTGATATTGGAGGGGAAAACACTGAAGGATATTCTGATCTTTGAGGATGTTGGCAGGTGAAACGGATACTGTTTCTTATTTGCCCCCAAGTTGCACAACTCCCTGAATAAGACCCATAAGTCTATATTTGCCAGTCTTCTTGCAAGGTTTTCAAAAACCGACCATCCTAATTTAAAGTTGACTGAGCTGCAAGCCTTTTCAAAGGTGTGTCTTCTCCAATATTGACTATGATGAAAACTGCCACCCCATTCATTCATTTATTATTATCATGTCTCCTTTTTTGGTTTTTGCCTCTTTTAGGAGTCTGTCTCTTCTTTGCGATCAGTCCTTTGAGAGTAGGAATCTGCCTCACATATTTTGATTTCCCCATGGCCTTTCACTTAATAGATGTTCAATAAATCGCTTCACAATTAAATGAACAGAGGAGGGAAAGAATAAGGGAATAGGAAACTACCTGAGGAAAAAGTGGAACAAATTTATTGAAAGTTCTTTTGCTTTCTACACAACTATATAACAATTATTCATACACTTAATCTCTCCTGATTTCAGAGATATTCTCATGAATGAAAAATGCAATTTGATCAATGCTTACCCAGGGAAATTAAAAAAGAAAGATTGTTCTTTCCTTACCTAACCTTGGCTATAAATAGATTACTGTTACTTTGTCACAGGATTTGGGCTATTTCTACTGTTGGGGAAAAATTCGATGCAATTCCTTTCACATGCAGCAGAGTCATGATAAAGTATCCCTTTAAGGCAATCATTTCTTTTTTCTTGAGCAACCCAAAATGTCTGCTCAAAAAAGAGACTTTGGAAAAACCTAAAATGCAAGTTCCACATTTCCAGCTATTCACAGTTGAATTAATAAGCTTGGTCCAGTGAACTACAGTGCAGTAGATGGAAATCATTTACATTAACTTTGTTACTCTCTGGTAGAGAATAATGTGCCTCAATCCACATCACTAGAAAAGGAGCCAGATCAGCTTCGCTGTTCACATAAAAAGCTAAAAACCAAGACACAAGCCATAACACTAGTGTGTATATTCTGAGTAAGCAAATCACGACCGAATCTCACAATGCTTTGAGCTTCTTAGTAGTTTCTTTTGCATAGCTGTAGGTATACAGGGCTATGAACAATAAGAGGTTATTTGTTGATTACCTGACCTCTGTGATTTACCCAGAAGGCAGTCTCTGTTTTTGTTTTCAAAGTTAACGTGTCAATGTCCTCTAGCCAAAGCACACCAAGAACACACATGTAGTTGAACAAGTTGGGTTATTACTTGGTTCAGCAAGAGAGAACAATCATCTTGGGTGTAGTTAGGCTAAATAAAGACATCTTCAAACATGTCATCTGATCGGAATCCCCAGAACCTAGAGGTATGTGACTGCATGGGGAACGGCACTGTGCAGATAAGATGTAGAAAGGATCTTGAGATGGGTGATCACCCTGCGTTATCTGGGTGTGCCCAATGTAATCACAAGAATCCTTATGAAAGGGAGATAAAGAGAGGTTTGGACACACATGGACAGGAGAAGGCAATGTCAACATGGAGCAGAGAGAGTTAAAGATGCCGGCCTTGAAGACTGGAGTGATGGAGCCACAAATTGTCCTCCCCTAGAGCCTCCAGAGGTCAAACACCCTGTGAGCCTATTCTGACCACACTTGCAGTAGGCTGGAAATACTGTTAAAATGTGTATATATACATATATTTATACACACATATATAAAAAATACAGTATATTTATAAATATATAAATATTTTTATGTAATATATAATGTATAATATATTAAAATATATGTATTAATTATATTATATATTTATATATGAAAAAATTATAGATATATTAATATTTAGGTAAAATTTATGTGATATAAATATATATTAATATATGTTAATATGAATGTATTTGTTTTAGATATTTATATAAATATATATAATTATATATAAATATAAGTATATATTATATAAATGTAAGTATATATTTTATATATCTCTTTTATTCCAATGAATTTATTGCAATAAAAGTTTCTCTTTCATTGCAATAAAGCACATATAATATAAAACTTAACATTTTAACCATTTTAAAGTATATAGTTCAGTGGCATTAAGGATATTCACAAAATCGCTCAACTACCACCTCTATCTAGTCCCAGAATACTTTCATTACCCAAAAAGGACCCACTCCCCTGTCCCCCTTCCCAACCCCTGGCAACCTCCAGTCTGCTTTCTGTTCACATCAAAAAATGAAAACCAAGACACAAACCAAAACCCAAGTGTGAGTTCTGTGTAAGCCAATGAGGAATTTATTTCCCAAGGCTTTGAGCTTCTTAAGTAGTTTCTTTTACATAGTTACAGGCATAGAAGGCAATGAAAAATAAGAAAATAAGGCGTAGAGCTGGGCATGGTGTCTCACACCTGTGATCCCAGCACTTTGAGATGCTGAGGTGGGTGGAGCTCTTGAGGTCAGGAGTTCAAGACCAGCCTGACCAACATGGTGAAACCCCATCTCTACTAAAAAAAGAATACAAAAAATTAGCTGGGCCTGGTGGTGCGTGCCTGTAATCCCAGCTACTTGGAAGGCTGAGGCAGGACAATCGCTTGAAACCCAGGAGGCAGAGGCGGAGGTGGAGGTTGAGATGAGCAGAGATTGCACCACTGCACTCCAGCCTCGGCAACAGAGCCAGACTCCTTCTAAAAAAAGAAAATGAAACGAAGGCATAGAGGGCAATGTAAAACATGTATGTGTGTGTGTGTGTGTGTGTGTGTGTGTGTGTATACACATACATATATATATTTATATTTTTTATGGTAAATGCTTTTTATTATGTAATATTTTGTAGTCATGCTCAATCAGCAAGGTCAACAGAAACTTGTAAAGTTTCGGCTAAGTAAACTTGCACACTAATCCGTATACATTTTTCAGTGCAGTAACATTAAAATAATCCTTTTATCCTTTATTTATACAATTCTGCAAACTGGGGAATAAATACAGCTGTGAACACACAAGAAGTTATTTTCTTAAAGCCAGTAAGGCTAACAGAGAGTAAAATTTATTGATAAGCCAAAGACTGACCCTTATCCTAACAGCATGAAACTCAAAGTAGCTCTTGGTCAGAAAAGTGCAGTGGAGGGTATGGCAAAGTGACACTCTATGTTCTCCTTGGTCGTCTGTCTCTGTCTCTGAGAATGTCCTTATTTTGGGCATTTCATATAACTAGAATAATGTGATATGTGGCCTTTGTGTGTTTCTTCTTTCACTGACCATGATGCTTTCAAGGTCCTACCACACCAGGGAAACCTTATCTATCGCTCATGAGCATGGAAAGTGACATGGTACAGGTGCTGTGGAAGACAGCTTGAAGATCCCTCAAAGGGACAAACACAGAATTACTGTATGACCCCAGAAACATTCCTGTTTTACTATATGTTTTTCCTAGGAACACTTTCTAACAAATTTTCTATGAACCTCTGTTCTGAATATGCTTCTAGGGAATGCAAAGCAAACACCAATGCCAATGCACCCACTGAATTATGCAAAAAAAAAAAAAAAAAAAATCACATTGCTAACTGTCAGAAGTTCTCCACAAAGGGTGTAGGTAAAGCTTTCCAACTGTGCTCATCCTATGGTTGCAAAAATTCAAAAAATAACAGGCATTTTGTTGATCAGTGAGTGTAGAGATCTAAAATCAAGATAGGCCATGTCATGCTGTCATAGGGCAATTCTCACCCCATATACATCACAACTTCCAAAATGTTGCCGATGTTTCTTTTCTTTTTTTGCGACTGAGTCTGGCTCTGTCACCAGGCTGGAGTGCAGTGGCACGATCTCGGCTCACTGCAAGCTCTGCCTCCTGGGTTCAAGCAATTCTCCTGCCTCAGCCTCCCAAGTAGCTGGGACTACAGGCACGCACCAGCACACCCAGCTAATTTGTGTATTTTTAGTAGAGACGTGGTTTCATCATGTTGGCCAGGATGGTCTCAATCTCTTGACCTCATGATCCACCCGCCTCAGCCTCCCAAAGTGCTGGGATTACAGGCATGAGCCACCACACCAGGCCTGATGTTTCTTATCTCATTGTTGAAGCTAAGCCCTCCTTCACGTCACACTTTTAATACAAATCACAGCCTAGTTTGATTTCTCTTCTTCCTGTATTGAATGAGAATTCCTCAAATGTCTACATGCCTATTGCAATGCTTGCTGCCGGTTTTTAAAGACCTATCCTTATATACCCTTGTGATATTTCATGGCATAAAACATATATTTAAAAATAAATACATATATTTTTAAAATAAATGTGTATATATTTTGAAAATAATTATATATTTAAAAGATAAGTATGTATATTAAAAAAATAAATACATATATTTAAAAAATAAATATATTTTAAACATATACATTTTAAAATAGATATATTTTAAAATGTATATATTTTAACATATATTATAAATAAATATATAATAAATGTTTTAAATATATATAAATATATATTTTATAAATATATGTATAAAAATATATTTAAATATATATATTTTAAAAATAAATATATATTTTTTGAAAATGTTGATGTTGATAAAAATGTTCTGGGCCTAGATAGAGGAGCTGCTTGCAGGATATTGTGAATGTACTAAATGACACTGAATTGTATACTTTAAAATGGTTAAAATGATAAATTGTGTGTTATGTGTATTTTATTGCAATGAAAGACAAAGATACACACACACTTAAATATTTTTAAAATACATTTCAGCAATATAACATAGATATATTATATCTATATTATGTCTACTTTATATAAAAATGATATATATTATACAATATAAATATATAATATATAAATAATATAATATATCTAATATATAGTATTAGATATGTAGTATATATAGATATATGTATACATTATCTATATATAGATATATAGTATATATAGTACTATAGCTATGTAGTATATATATAGATATATAGTATATATAGTATATATAGATATATATGTATATTAGATATATACATACACATGTATGTGTATATGTGTATATATGCATATATATACATACACACCTATGTGTATATGTGTATATATACGTGTATATACATACACACCTATGTGTATAGGTGTATATATACGTGTATATACATACACACACACAGGGAGAGAGTGTCATAAAGTGTTAAATCAACAGAAGACAAATAAGGTAGCATATAATGTCTGATACCAAATATGTAAATCATTTCTCTCTGTTCAAAGAAGAAGAAAATTAGACAAGAGAGCAATGCTTTCAGACATTAAAAGTGATTATTTTAAAGTGTTAAGTTCATGAATGTTTTGTTTTGTTAAAAAAATTTTCTTGACTTGGTAGATATTCGGGTTATGAATACAGAAGTTTGAATTGAACTGGAGCTCCTTGTGGATGAGAAATATTGACTGCTGGAAAAGCAAATCCAATAAGACTGCATTCGGTTCACACCTCTCACAGAGAGTACAGATATGCCCCAAGTCCTGGTAAACCTATAGGATTTCATTTGGAGCTTGGCACCACATGCTGAAATACATGATCATATTTATTTCCAGAGAAACGTGTAGAGTCATAAACGATCAGGAAGTATCATCTCAGGGAAATTTTAGTAATAACTTAGAGATTCTTAACCCAGAGCAATAATGAAAAATATAAAATGAAAACTACCCAAAAAGACATGAGCACATTTAATATGGACATACCCTTATATATTCCAACATTACTCATAAAATCAGAATCATGTGAAGGTTGAGGTTTGATCTCAAATCCTTGGGAGTAAACTCTTTGAAAATCTAATTTAAAAATCAGGCAATACACAGCAAAATAGGTTTTGAAAACATACTGGCTTGAATTAATGTCCTTGAGGTAAATATACCTTTCTTTGAACTAATTGTAACATTTCAAGATTTTGCATAACAATGTGTCTCTTAAAATTCAAGGGCCAGTTTATGAATAATGCAAAAAATAGATATGATACAAGAAAGAATGAAATTGGAACTGCAGAAGAATGAGAAGTTTGGAAAAGATTAGCCTTGTGTCCTTGAAGTGTCCTGGAAATTCTTGGGTATGTGGGAATCCTAGCGCTCCCCTATAAAAGCATTAACTGCACCAATAATTAAACCTAGGATGATTAAACTCATGTTTCCATGAGTTAGCCTTTATAATAGCAGGTCTTCCAACTAGGTTAAGCAGAAATGAATTTATTACCTTGTGGTTGTTAGTTAATGGAATTTGTGAGCACTTTAAAAGTTAATATGGATGTTTCAAAACCAGAAGTGACCCAGGCAGGAGAAATATCCAAGCCAAATGCAGAACTGTCCCCATAAAAACCCCTACTAAGAGACGCAAGTCACAGAACCCCTGGCCAATGACAGCTGTCATCACTCAGATCTCACTCTGATGTAGCTGTCTGACGTCACTTAACCACAACCAAGATCCTAACTCAAGTAAAAATGGGGGAAAATACAGTGTTTAGTGATCACCTTCTAGTATACATGCAGACTTCACGGGGCTGAAGTGACATGGAAAGACACAGTATTTCATAAAAACATTCCCATAAGGAAATTCAACAATACATACAAGAGAAAAAAAAGTTAACTTCAGTAAGAACCTGTTAAATATTAATCACAATGGGTGTGAATTTCAACTGTGTTCTATGAGAAATATATGTAAATCCTAATAATATATGTCTTAGTTCAGGCTGCTGTAACAGGATACCATAGACTTGGCAGCTTAAACAACAGACTTGTATTTCTCACAGTTCTGGAGGCTGTAAATTCAAGATTAAGGAACCAGCAGATTCAATGTTTGGTGAGGGCTCGTTTTCTGGTTTGCAGATGGCCGCCTTCTTGCTGTGCCCTCACATGGCGGTGAAAAGAAGTTCTGGTGTCTCTTCCTCTTCTTATAAAAGCATTAATCCCAATATGGTGTTCCATTTTCATGACTTAATCTAAACATTATTACCTCCCGAAAACCCCACCTCCTAGTACCATCCCATTAGAGATTAGGGCTTCAATACATATTTTGAAGAAACAGAAACCTTCATCCATAGCAAAATTTATTAAATATTTATGAGAATGTGTAATAATTCTTACAGATACATTATCAAATAAAACTGAAGGATGTTATAGCCTTGTGGCTTTTAAGAAATATATAGACATGATGAAACAAGGCACATTTTCAAATAAGATTGGTCCTGCAAAATTCTACTGCTATTTAATTTGCAATGAGAAGATAAATTCCATCAAGGGGAAAAAATCAATAGCAGAATCTACAGCAATTTAAGAAGAAAAAGGTTTTATCAAAAGTACAAAAGTGACTGCATTTAAAAAAAATAATAGGCTTGTGATTCCAGCAAGTGGGTTTAACTGGCAAGAATTAGCAATTTGGGGAAGAAACAATCTTTGTTTTGCACAGATTAGAATAGGAATACAGAAAAAGAAATGGTAACAATATAAAATAGATTGAGAATAGGCATATTACAAATTTGACTGAAAATACCCATTCACTCACTCAAAGCAACATATATTTACTGTTCAGTATTTATTTATAATTGCCATATAAAGATAGTAAAAATGGATATATCAATATAGATCTCATGCATTCTTAAGGAAATAATAGCAAAAGAGGAACATTTTCTGTGATGGTGGAGAGAATTTTAAAGCCCCTTGGAGTTCATTTTGTTTTATTAGTGGAGGTGTTACAGAGAAATAGAACATTCATCAAATAGCAAATCAATCAAATAAAATTACCTGATTATCCAGGGTGCTACCTAAAACTCCAAAACAATGTGGAAGAGGGATTATAGTTAATCACAAAAGATTTCCTAAAGGCACTAAGGAAATGCTGACGTCATTTGTTACATAGGGCTGTCCAACACAGTTCCTACCTCCAAACATGGGAGAGGAGAGACAATGAACAAAGGTCAGGTGAGTGGATTTTATATTCCAGTGTAGATTATATTGAAGTTGTGCAGGACTTGGAATACTAGAAAATATTAGCTGAATGACAGAAGGTGATTTTCAGAGATTGGCATGTTAGGAACAGAAAAGAAGAAGGCAATACAACTTTCGTAATGGAGATTCTTGGTTTGGCCATAGCAGGGAGAGATGGAGGAAGGATGAAAGCAAGCTTCCTAAGGAGAAGAAGCATAGGAACTCAGGGGTATTGCCAAAAATAAAGACAAGGGCCATGCTAGTTGTAATGATAATAAGCAAAGAATTGAATCATCCAAACATTTGGTACAAAGAGCTGGGTTGAGATAGACAATTATAGCAAGAGTATTTGTGCTAGAGAATGAAAATTGGGTGCTTTCAAGTACAGAGTGGAAAATGGATAGGTAGCATCTCAAATAAACAAAGAAGACACACTCATTCAGCCTCATAGAATGAGAGATGAAAGAGAAACATGATATATCTCTTCCTAAGTTACCCCAAAGCTGACGCACAATTGCAGAAGGATGTCCTTATTCCTCTGCATAAATCCCAGAGAGTGAAGGCAACAGTGTTTTCCCAAGGAACAAGGCTTCTGCAGACATTTGTTGGCCTTTGTAGTTCAGGAAAAATCATACATGAGTTTGTGTACTTAATTATCAGGTATCACACATTGATCATATATGGAGCACAGGTTTGAATTCCAGAATTGTCATAAAGAAAAGCAAGTTAGGCTCTGTTTCTTGTTGACATGCTACATGCTCCAGTGAAATGAAATCTGTCAAACTCAAGCACCCGACATCAGTCTCTGCATTGAGAAACATCTGGAGATTATATTGAACAGTTTGAATATTCTGAGAGGTAAGCAGGAAGTGATCTTATTATTGATCAATAGAGGAACCAATAGTCTGTGTGACCAAGAGATCCTCTCTCTACAAATATTAGCCAGGGCTGGGTGTGGTGGCTCACACCTGTAATCCTAGCACTTTAGGAGGCCAAGGCAGGCGAGTTACCTGAGCTCAGGAGTTTGAGACCACCCTGGGCAACATGGTGAAACCTCGTCTCTACTAAAATACAAAAAAAATTAGCCAGGTGTAGTGGTGGGTTCCTATAGTCCCAGCTGCTTGGAAGGCTGAGGCATGAGAATCACTTGAACCTGGGAGGCAGAGGTTGCAGTGAGCCAAGATTGCACCACGGAACTCCAGCCTGGACAGAGAGAGATTCTGTCTCTAAAAACAAAAACAGAAAAAACAGCCAGATGTGGTGATATGTAGTTGTAGTCTCAGCTACTTGGGAGGCTGAGGCTGGAGGATCACCCTATCTCAAGAGGTCGAGGCTGCAGTGAGCTATGACAATGCCACTGCACTCCAGCCTGGGCAACAGAGCAAGGACCTGTCTCAGAAAACAAAATGGAAGAATAAATAAAGTACTTATTGTTTAATAATACAGAGACTTATCAAGCAATGGCTGATATATATATGTGTGTATATATATGCATGTGTATATATATGCATATATGTGGATATATATCATATATATAGTCCCAAAGGTTATAATGAAGCATAGAGAGAAAACTAATATATCACACTTGATACTGGCATTGCATATCAAGTAGGGGAAAAGGTCTATATTAAGTAATGGTGCTGAGAAATTTAGTTTTTCACATAAAAACATAAATAAGTGAAAATATGCATGTCACTTAGGTTTCTGTAAATACTCTCTATGATGTCAGTACAATGGTAAAACTGCTTACTGATACATTTTTCAGAGTGTATCCCCCTTATTAAGCAATGTATGCCTTTATGTAAATACATATGCTCTTTGATTTATGATGGGGCTATGTTCTGGTAAACCCATCATAAGTGGAAAATATTGTATTGAAAATGCATTGAATACATCTAACCTACCGAACATCATGGCTTACGCCAGCCTACCTTAAAATGTGCTCAGAGCAATCACATTAGTCTACAGTTGAGCAAAACCATCTGGCAACACAGTTCACTGTGGAGTAAGGTCACTTACCCTCATGATCTCAGGGCTGACTGGGAGCTCTGGCTCCCTGCTGTTGTCCAGCATCCAGAGAGAATGTCCTACTGAATACTGCTAGCCCCAGAAAAGATCAGCACTGAAAATTTTAAGTACGGTTTCCCCTGAATAGAATCATTTTTACACCATCATAACGTCAAAACACCATAATTTGGAGAAACTGTATGTGTGTATAAGCACACACACACTCAAAAACACACACTCACATCTCAACATGAATATACCTGGAAAACCTAATGTTAAGTTAAAAAAGCAAGTTATGTAAAGATATGTATGGGCTGATATTACTTATGGAAGATTTAAAAACAAAATATACTTGAGGCCAGGAGTTTGAGACCAGCCTAGGAAACATGGAAAAACTCCATCTCTACTAAAAATACAAAAAATATTAGCTGGATGTGGTGACACAGGCCTGTAATTCCAGCTACTTAGGATGCTGAGGCATGAAACACATTTGAGCCCGGGAGGCAGAGGTTGCAGTGAGCTGAGATCGTGCCACTGCACTCCAGCCTGGGTGACAGAGTAAAACTCTGTCTCAAAAAATAACAAACAAAAACAAAACAAAAACTATATATATAATATATATATATGTGTGTGTGTATACATAGATATGGTTTCATAAGATTATAATAAATATGGTATGTTTTAGTTTTTGGACTTACATAGAACTGTAGAATAATTTACAATTGGAAGTAAGTATATATCCAAATGCCTAGAAAAGTCATAGATAGAAATGGGTGAATAATATATATATATATAGATAATAGATATATAGAAAGAGATATCCTACATATATGTGATATATAACATGTGTATCCTACATGCACATATATACATATAAATACACATACATATAAGAGAGAAAGAGAGAGAGAGAGAAAGAGAAAGAAAGAGATGGGGCCAGAGACCTGGGTTCTGTCCAAGGCAAATGATGATAGCCACCACGATGTGAAATATATACCTTCATTGTACAAAGCCACTCAGAATTTGCAGTGTATAAATAAATGCAGCTGCTATTTACTCCAACTTCATACAGTTCTCTTCTACATGTTTGAAAAGTGCAGCAATGTCCTGGGTCCTTTTATATTGATTTCAATAATTTTGAGTAAATTCCCAGAACTTAAGATACTGTCAAACTCAACATTAAAACAGAAATATATTCTAAAACAAAGCAACATTTTTTTACTGAAGTATTTGAGCAGATCATTGAGTTTTCCTAATAGCCATATGGCCTCCAAGTATCCATATATCAATATTATTCTCAAAATGTGAAATACTTTTGCAATATGTGCCATGCCATGATAGATTAGTCACGGTAAATAAATTATTTATCAATCTCAGTAGAAGAAAACAAGGTTAGAAAAAAAAAAAACTGGAAATTTTTTCCTGAAGTCGTGAGTACTAGATTTTAAAGAAAATATAATGAAATAAATATAGATCAGCTTTTAGAATCTACACAATATATGTCAGTGGATTTATTCAATAAGTTTATATTTTCTTTAGTGGCATGTGATTTTCTGATGATAGGCCAACTTCTGGTTTCAATGCCAAATCTTGTAACATCTTAGTAAACATTGAAAAGATAAACAAAAACTCATTTAAAATCGAAAGAGCTCATGTATTCATATGCTCAGGAGATTTTTTAAAATGAAAAAGAGAGTTATGCATTTAAGGATACTTTAAGGGGTAATTATTTTCTAAACCTTTATTTCTCTCCTGCCCCAGTTTAATGAAGAAATAAGTCCTGTCCTTGAAGCTTGATGTTCTCATGAATATTCTTCAACTATTAGCCATTGGGTACCCCTTAAATTGAGAATTCTATAAATGGTGCTTGAAATTACATATTCAAACAGTACAACCACTAATTCTTTTAATTGTTTATATTGACCTTCCTTTTCCAAGAAAATCATTCTCCCATAGAAAGTACAACATAATCTTTCCCTGACTAAAGAAGAGTCAATTAGATTTAATTTGTTCAATCAGGGATGATAAACAGATTATAATTTGCCTTACAAAAGGAAAGGCATCATTATGGTGACTTTTGGTGGTGTTATAAAATATCCTAATGAATTACAGTTGAGGGAAAAGATCAACGTGCAAGTATAGCATAATTGTTTTACTTAAAAATGTAATTTTTCACATGGATACTTTTGGCCACTTCTGAACTCAAGAAATGACATGCTAATCTATTCACAATCAACAAATATTTACAACATAGAGAAGTTGAACTCAATATTTTTTCATTGTTTCTAATTAGGCAATTGTAAATCAATAACCACACCCACAATAAAATTAGCATTTTGGGAAGACGTAATGCTACGAAGCCAGTAATGTACCTAATAAGTGAGTCACTTTGAAGAACGACGAACTCTGCCAATTTCAAAGCCATATTTATAATTTCAAATGTTCTTCATTCCATTGGCTTGCAGAAGGGATTGATATCTTTAAAAAACAGATCTTCACTTTGGGAGGCCAAGATGGGAGGATTGCTTGAGTTCAGGAGTTTGAAACAAGCCTAGGCAACATGGCAAAACCTCATCTCTACAAAAAATACAAAAATTAGCTGTTTTGGTGGCATAGGCCTGCAGTCCCAGCTCTTTGGGAGGCTGAGGTGGGAGGATCGCTTGAGCCTGGGAGGTGGAGGCTGGAGTGAGCTATGATTGCACCACTGCACTCCAGCCTGGACAATAGAGCAAAACCTTCTCTCAAAAAAAAAAAAAAAAAAATCTAATCAACAAACTATGTATCTGCTCATTGGTTTCTATTGGGGATTCAAAGTATTATTCATTATCATGTTGAATGAAAAGAATCAGTGTCACGTAGGAAAAATTGGAGAAAAAGAAACTGGTACATGAAAAATTAGTCACCCATTCTCCAAAATTATTCACTATATACCCTAAAGGGATAGAACAGAGGAAAATACTTCAAAGATGTTCATATTGAGTTTGCATCCTTTTTGCATACACTCTGTGATCTAGAATGAAATAGGATGTTTTTAAGGAACTGGCTGTCTTGAAAATACACATTCAATATACGTTGAAATTTTACAGATAATAGGTGGACATTTAGGACATACCATTGACTGGAGATGTATGTTTGCAATACTAGTCTGTTGATGCCAACTTAAACAATCTAAAAACTTCTATGGTGCTTGGAGAAATTAACTGCTGGTGTACTCTTATTCTTAGATAAATATTTGACTGACCATATGGAGTTAATATAAAGTCGCTTGAACCCGGGAGGCAGAGGTTGCAGTGAGCGGAGATGGTGCCACCGCACTCCAGGCTGGGCGACAGAGTGAGACTCTGTCTCAAAACAACAACAACAACAAAACATCTTCCTAAGTTATCAAATCCTTAATAGTAACATCACTGTTTGCTAACATTTTGGAGACAATATAAGAAAGACAATCTGCAAGAAGTCAACTGTTTATAAATATGTTTAATCTATTTGAAAGGCAGTGAGATTGCATCATGCACTAATCACACAATCCTAAAATCCCACTTCTAAGTGTCTATCAAAGAAACATGAAAACATATGCCTACAAAAACTTGTACATGAATTCAAAGCAGCTTTATTCACAATATTAAAAAAAAACACTAAAAGCCAACCATAGATTCATCAACTAGTGAATGAATAAACATTTATCCATTTCATGCAACGAAAACTCTTCAGCGTATCAAAGGCAAAAAAAAAATAATAAATGCGACAACATAGATAAATCTTAAAAAAACACTATGCTAAGTGAAAGAAATCAGACACAAAAGTGTGCATACGTGCAAGATGCCATATATATGTAATTCTAGAAAAGGCAAAACTGGAGGAATGGGAAATGGATCTGTGCTTGTCTGGGGCAGGGAGTTATGAAAAAGGATTGACTGCAAGGAGAATAAAGCAACGTGGTAGGATGCTCCAACTGGTTTGCCTTGTTTGGCAGCAGTTACACAGAATAATAAAATTAACAGAACTCATAAAATTTACACTTTAAAAAGTATTTTATGAAAATTATGCCTCAGTAAAGCTGGAAACTGTACAATAAAGCTGAAAAGTGTACATTTTACATGAAACTTTCATGTTTAACTTTGTGCATTTTAATTATGTATTTGTTTATCCATCCACCCACTTTATCTATAATCTCTCTATCTACCTAACCATCCATCTAATCTATCTATCTATCTATCTATCATCTATCTATCTATCTATCTATCTATCTATCTATCTATCTATCTATCTATCTATCTATATCAGCCTATCATCTATCTATCTAAATTATCTGTCTATCATACATCCATGATCCACTATCTATCATCCACCCATTTATTATGTGTGTGTTTATGTATCTGTCTCTCTCTCTATTCATCCATTATCTCTTTATGCTATCTAGCTAGCTATCTTGTATCCATCATCTATTTATCTGTCATCTATTTATCTATCTACCATCCATCCATTTATCTATGTATCTATCCATCATTCACCCATTTACTATCTGTCTATGTCTATCTCTTTTACTATGTGTCTATGTCTTTTACTATCTATGTCTATCTCTTTATCTCTCTATGTATCTATCTACTCAATAATATACCCATGATCCATCTATGTATCTATCTGTCATGCATTCATTATGTATGTATGTCTCTATGTATGTGTTTATATAACTATGTGTCTATCTTATTCATCCATTATCTATCATACATCCATATATTTATTTATCTACATATCTATCCATTCATCATTTATCCATTATCTATCTATCTATCATCTATCCATCATATCTATCCATCAATCTATCCATCCATCTAGATATTCATCTATCTAATCTATCATCTATTTATCTACTATTTATCAGTCGTCTATCTATCCATCCATCCACCTGTCCATCTATACATCCACCTATCCATCTATCTAATCTACCTTCTATGTATCTAATCTAATCTATCTATCTATCTATCTATCTATCTATCTATCTATCTATCTATCTTTCACTCTGACCTAAGTGTAATCCATGATATATAAAATGATTCTGCTCTACCCCCATAACGAAAAAATTCAGGTTTGCAGTCAATAACTGGGGCAATCTTGTCTCCAACTTCTATTTAACCTCCTTCTCCCCTACAAAAGAGACTCAGTCACCTCTTTGGTATGCCCAATTAGTTTTCTAAGTGTTTTCTACAACCTGTCTTCATGTGATAGACTTCAAATAAAAATGGAGTCTCCTCACTACCTGGAAGGTTGGATTATTCACAAGGACCCATTTTCCATGCAGCGCATATCTTTTCCATCTTGCTCTTCTCACTCTTTGACCACGTATGAGCCTTGTAACTGAGCTCTACAATGTATGTCTATCCAATTTAGCATATTTCTCTTTTACATATGAGAAAGCAGGTTCAAGGAGATTAAGAAACATATCTACAGGCCGGGCGTGGTGGCTCACGCCTGTAATCCCAGCACTTTGAGAGGCCGAGGCAGGCGGATCACGAGGTCAGGAGTTCGAGACCAGCCTGGCCAATATGGTGAAACCCCGTCTCTACTAAAAATACAAAAAGTTAGCCGAGTGTGGTGGCGGGTGCCTGTAGTCCCAGCTACTCGGGAGGCTGAGGCAGGAGAATCACTTGAACCCAGGAGGCAGAGGTTGCAGTGAGCTGAGATGGCACCACTGCACTCCAGCCTGGGTGACAGAGTGAGACCCTGACTCAAACAAAAAAAAGAAACATATCTACATAACGAGTAAAGGTCAGATTCAACTGAATTGAAACACTGTGCCTTGCCCAACACAGTAAAGTGGGAAATAGAACATCATGTCTTACATAGCCCATGTCTGCAGTAAAATGCATTGTGTTAATTTTATACCCATTTCGGATATTGCTAGCATTTTATTGTGTCAAAGCCTATCATTGATATTTCCTTATAGCATCTTTTTAAAAATGCATCATATTTTCACCTAAAATATGAAAAAGTGCTATTAAAAATCTATGTTATTATAGAGTAAAATTTTATTTTACTCTCAAGCTCTGTTGGCCTTAGCATAACTATCTAGGTGCTTTTGTTACATAATGCATGGGGTTTTCCTGTTCAGTTTTTAAGCTTGTTGGTAGGAAACCTCATTTCTATAAGAAACCAAGGGTAATAACTCCATTTTATAAATTTTCATCACAACCCATGTTCTATTCGGGTAATCTGAATCAAATTGTACAGATATGATACAAGTCTTACATACTAAGAGATATATTTAACAAAATAAACAGTTTAATTTTTCTATATTGATCTATTTCTTTCCACAAATAAGATTTAAGTAAACATGCAAATTTAACTGAACATGGACGAAAACTTGAATTGATAATCTTAAGTAACACTAATGCTTCTTGCATATTCTGATGTACCTAGAGGAGAAAATTCCTCAAAATCTTTCTTTTTAAAAGAAATCCTTCTTTAATTTTAAAGAAATCTTATTCAAAAATTTATTTTATTATTGATTAGCTAATTATAATTGTTTATATTTATGGGGTAAAGAGTGACATTATGCTATATGTATAAAATGTAGAATGCTTAAAATCAAACTAAATAACATAGGCATTACATCAAATACCATTTTTTGTGGTGACAGCATAGGAAAGGTACTCTCTTGCAATTTTGAAATATACATAATATACTGTTGGTGGGCATGTAAATTTTACAGGCATTATGGAAAGCCACATGGAGGTTTCTCAAAAACCTAAAAATAAAATTATCGTATGATCCAGCAACCCCACATCTAGGTATATATCCAAAGGATCTGAAATCAATATGTCACATAGCTATCTACACTCAAAATCTTTGTCATCATAGACCTGAATTTAACTATTGGTAGTTAATATTGTCTTAGTCCATTTGGGCTGTGTGATGGTTAATATTAATTGTCAACTTGATTGGATTGAAGGATGCAAAGTATTGATTCTGGGTATCTCTGAGTGTTGCCAGAAGAAATTAACATTTGAGTCAGTGCACTGGAAAAGGAGGACCTACTGTCAGGAAGACCCGCCCACAATCTGGGTAGGCACCATCCAATTGGCTGCCAGCTTGGCTGGAAAAAGCAGTCAGAAGAAGGTGGAAGAAGGTGACTTGCTGAGTCTTCCAGCCTTCATCTTTCTCCTGTGCTGGATGCTTCCTGCTCTCAAACATCATACTCCAAGTTCTTTGGCTTTTGGCCTCTTGGACTTAACCAGTGGTTTGCCAGGGGCTCTCGGGCCTTTGGCCACAGACCAAAGGCTGCACTGTCGGCTTCCCTGCTTTTGGTGCCTGGACTGAGCCACTACTGGCTTCCTTGCTCCCCAACTTGCAGAAGGCCTATCGTGGGACTTCACCTTGTGATCGTGTGAGTCAATACTCCTTAATAAACTCTCTTTAATATATACATCTATCCTATTAATTCTGTCCCTCTAGAGAATCCTGACTAATACAGGCTGCTATTACAAAATATCATAAACTGGGTAGTTCATGAACAGCAGACATTTATTTCTGACAGTTCTGTTGCCTGAAAAGTTCAAGACCAGGGTGTCAGGATAGTCAGGTTCTGGTAAGTGCCACTTTCTGGGATGCAGACTGCTGACTTCTCTCTGGATGCTCATATGGCGAAAAGGGCAAGGGAGCTTTCTGGGGTCCCTTTTAGAAGGGCTCTAATCCCATTCATGAAGCTCCACCTTCATGGCCTCATCACCTCCCAAAGGCCCCACCTCCTAAACCAATCACATAGATGATTAGGTTTTCAACATACGAATTTTGAGGGAACACAAACATTTAGACCATAGTAAGATATTATGTCATGTTAATAAATTCTTGAATGAGCAAAAAATTCTTGAATGAGCAGTCCCTTATATTAACATCATCAATACTTTACTGTGAATTTCTTAAATACAGTACACAACTGGCAGATTTTCAAGCAGCGATGTTGGGCAGAATATAAAGGCAGTAGGTTCTGAGACTTTGAGAGAACCCAAAACCAGAAGAAGCAAACTTAAAACAGAAGACACAGTAATATATGTTATGAATAGTCACATAAGTATAGTGTTTGAGGGATTTCTTGGATGAGTTGTATATTAGTCTGTTCTCATGCTGTTAATAAAGACGTACCCAGGACTGGGTAATTTATAAAGGAAAGAGGTTTAATGGACTCACAGTTCCAAATGACTGGGGAGGCCTCATGATCATGGTGGAAGGCAAATGAGGAGCAAAATAGTCACATCTTAGATGAAGGCAGGCAAGAGAGTGTGTGCAGGGGAACCCCCCTTTATAAAACCATCAGCTCTTGTGAGACTTATTCACTATCAAGAGAACAGTATGGGAAAGACCTGCCCCCCTGATTCAATAACCTCCCATCGGGTCCCTCCCATGACACCTGGGGATTATGGGACCTACAATTCAAGATGAGATTTTCGTGGGGACATGGTCAAACCATATCAAGTTGCAAAGGCCATTGTACAACCTCAGAACACTGATATATCTGTCAGATACACAAGGTGATGCTTCAGTAAGAAACAATCCTCCATCTCCACAGTGTAAGTCAACCAAGGTTTATCTCTCACTCACTCTTCCTCCATAGCAGGTTTCCAGGTGACAAGGAGACATTGTCACCCAGAGAATTCAGAGATACAGTCACATGGCTGTGAAATCTCATAAAAAAATACTGCAAAATTTTCAAAGTACTTAGCAACAACAGTGTCACTGTCGAAAACATTAAAAGTATTTTCAGTAGTTTTGCTGATAGAAGGCAGGAGAGGAAATGGTATTTAAGAAAATGAGCACCAAATAATGACATGTCTTTAGAGAACTGTAGATGAGGAGAGGGATTCACTAGGCACCATGATGGGTGTGTAGGATATTTGAACATATTTAGAATCCAATTCACCATTACAATGGGAATTGCAGCCCTTGTAATTGTATTTCATAATATTTTTCCTACTTCTTTTGCCTCTTCACTATATTGACGAATTAAAATACAATAGTATTGAGGCTATTTGCACAGAGAAAGGCTCATTTTTAAAACATTAATTATCCTTTCTTAAATATTAAGGGAAGATTGCTGGGAAAATATCATCAGCTTCACTAATTTTTGTGCTTTATTCATCTCTCTATTGATTGAGTCAGGATCATCAGTTTTAGAACTGAGTCAATGAGAGAGGGCTGAAATTTTGTTTCTTATATTAAAATTTTCATTCATCAGCTGGAGGACACAAAGCAAGTAGGCACCTACTTGTTCATTATAGTGCAGTGATTCATTGGCTGTCTTTCTGGAGACAAGGAGATGTGGAATGAGTAGGATCATGATATTGTGTGTGTGTGTGTGTGTGTGTGTGTGTGTGTGTGCATGTGCCCACACCAAAACATTGGAGCCACAGTAAATACTTGGAACTGCTCCTCCTAAATTTACAAGACTACAGTGCATAACAGAATGGTCAACCTTTTATTCTCAATATTTCTTAAAGGTTCCTTTTTATTTTCATCCTAAGAAGTAACTATTCAAATAGAATTGGTTCCCAAGTATGATTAGAGAAAAAAATATTCAAATGCACAGAATCAAAATTTTGAAATATAAGAAAAAGGACTCATTTATTTAAATAAGATCATATGGCACATATAAGGTTGATGCAAAAGTAACTGTGGTTTTTGCCATTAAAAGTCATGGTAAAAGTAGTAACTATATCTATACAACTATAACTATAACTACATCTATATTTATACTACATCTATATATATAACCATATCTATATCTATAACTATACTTCTACAACTACCTCTATATCTATACATCTATAACTACATCTATATCTATATCTATACTACATCCGTATCTATATATCTATAGCTATATCTATATAACCACATATATAACTATGACTATATCTATAACTACATCCACACCTATATCTATAACTATAAATATATCTATAACTACATTTATATCTATAACTACATCTAAACTATATCTATACTACATATATATCTATAACCATATCTATAACTACATCTATAAGTACATCTATATCTATAACTACATCTTATCTATATCTATGTTACTTCTGTATCTATATCTATGACTACTTCTGTATCTATAAATATATCTATAACTACATCTATATCTGTAACTACATCTATAACTATAAATATATCTATACCTATAAATATATCTATATCTATAACTATATCTATATCTATAGCTACATCTAATCTATAATTACATCTATATTTATAACTATATCTATAACTACATCTATATCTGTAACTATATCTCTATCCATAAATATGTTAATTATATCGGTATTTATATATCTATGCCCATACCTATACCTATATGTCTATAGATCTACATCTATATTCCTATATCTATATCTATTCAACTACCTCTATATCTATATATTTGTCTCTATCTCTATCTACATATCTATAACTATCTATAATTACAACTACATCTATAAACATATCTACATATATATTCATAACCATACCCACACCTATATGTATATATGTATTCATATATTTATATATTTGTAACAATATATACATCTACATCTCTGTTATCTATGTCTATACCTACATCTATGTAGCTATATTTATATCTATCTATATCTAAATAACTACAGTCATCTGTCACTTAACAATAGGAATATGTTCTGAAAAATGAGTTGTTAGGCTGACTTTGTCATCATGGGAATATCCTAGTGTGCACTTACACAAACCAAGATGGGATAGCCAAACACACACCTAGGCTGTATGGTGTATCTTATTGCTCCTAGGTTACAAGCCTGTACAGCATGTTCCTTTACTAAATAGTATAGGCAGTCGTAACAGTATGGTAACTATTTCTGTACCGAAACGTATTGCAGGGTAGTTGCAGAGAATGGTATGGTAAAACAGAGAAAAGGTATGGGAAAATATGGTCTCATAATCTTACAGAACCACCCTCATATCTGTGGCTCATTGTTGACCTAAATATAATTATGCAGCCCATGATTCTGTATCTAAATCTATTTATATGAATACATCTGAGTCTATATAACTATGATATCAATTGGATGTATGTTCCTGCCAAATCTCATGTTGAATTGTAATCCTCAGTGTTGGAGGTGGGGCCTGGTGAGAGGTGTTTAGGTCATGAGGATGGATTTCTCATGGTTTGGTGCTGTCCTTGAAATAGTGTGTGAGTTCTTATGAGATCTGCTTATGTGACACTTCCTCCCTACCCCACTCTGTCTCTTGCTCCTACTTTTGCCATGAGACGTGCCAGCTCCCGCTTTGCCTTTTACCATGAGTAGAAGTTCTCTGAGGCCTGCCCAGAAGCTGAGCACATGCCAGTACCGTGCTTCCTGTATAGCCTTCAGAACCATAAGCCAATGTAGCTTTTTTTCTTATAAATCACCTAGCCACAGGAATTTTTTATAGCAATGTAAGAATGGACTAATACATATATCTATCTATAACTATCTCTATCTCTATCTCTATGTCTTTGCCATAACCATCCATGAATGAACAGTGGGCATGCTACGTTTTCTGATAAAGCTTTGCACTGTAATGCTATTTGGAGCTCCCTAGTGCAGGCTTTCCTAGAAATGAGTTTTTCTGTGTTCTCCCTTATTCAGTTCCTTCTTATTCATTCATGTAGAACGGCAGGAGTGGCTCCTTGCCTCATTGAGCCACTGAGATTCCCTTGAATACTCTGGGGCCCACTTGCACCCACTGGCCTACTTTTAGGGCTTTTCTGGTTGGCTGCTGCCAACATCTCTTTGCAAGTGTATCCATTTTCCTCCTGATAAAAAATCTGTAGGGACATAGCAGAAGAAATAACACCAATCACAATCTTTGCCTGTATTGATGAAGACAATAGATGCATAGAAGGTCTGAAAGCCAGACTCTAACTTGAGGTCAAACTGTTAGAAACACATTGAAGAAAACAAGAAGATTCTTCCACTTTAAATATTTTCTGTATTTTTTCCTTATAGAGTTGATTTTTCTTTGCCGACTTTGAGGATTTTATAACAATAATTAAGACGGTGCCAGCAATGAAGATATTTCCTATGTTAAGAAATTACTACCTTTGTGTTAGAGCAGTACCCTTCCTTCCTTCCTTCCTTCCTTCCTTCCTTCCTCCCTCCCTCCCTCCCTCCCTCTCTCTCTTTCTCTCTTTCTTTCTTTTTTTCTTTCCTTCTCTTTCTTTCTTTCCTTCCTTTCTTTCTTTCTTTCTTTCTTTCTTTCTTTCTTTCTTTCTTTCTTTCTTCCTTTCTTCCTTTCTTCCTTCCTTCCTTCCTTCCTTCCTTCTTTCCTTTCTTTTTTTCTTCTTTCTTTCTTTCTTTCGACAGAGTTGCCCTGTTCTCCAGACTGGAGTGCAGTCACACGATCTTGGCTCACTGCAACCTCTGCTTCCCGGGTTCAAGCAATTCTCCTGCCTCAGCCTCCCGAGTAGCTGGGATTACAGGCACCTGCCAGTATGCCAGGATAACTTTTTGTATTTTTAGTAGCGATGGGGTTTCACCATGTTGGCCAGGCTGATCTCAAACTCCTGGCCTCAAGTGATCTGCCCGCCTTGACCTCCCAAAGTGCTGGGATTACAGGTGTGAGCCACCACACCCGGCCACAGCGGTACTTTTCAAACATTATTGTGTGTGTGCATATGCATGTGTATGAATGTGTGTGTGTGCATGTCTGTTTACTCATGCAGCAAACATTAGGGCTACAGTGAATAACCCACCTTACTTTCTCTGAATCGTACAGGGCAATATTGCATAGCAGAATGGATAGCAATGCATTTTAATATGTTGCACTTAGGTGTCTTCAAGATGGCTCCTATTTCTACAGGTCTTGGTGGACCTAAGCTTTTCATTATCTCCCAAGTGACACTGATGATATTAAGAAAAGAAAAAAACAAAAACCTAAAACAGGGGCCAGAAAGTTATTAGGTTGGTGCAAAAGTAATTATGGTTTTTGCCTTTCTTTTCGTTTTCTTTTTCTTTTCTTTTCTTTTCTTTTTTTTTTTTTTGAGACGGAGTCTCATTCGGTCACTCAGGCTGGTGTGCAGTGGCTCACTGCAACCTCCGTCTCCCAGGTTCAAGCAATTATCCCGTCTCTGCCTCCCAAGCATCTGGGACCACAGGCATGCACCATCATATCCAGCTATTGTTTTTATTTTTGGTAGGCACAGGGTTTTGCTATGTTATCCAGGCTGCTCTCAAACTTCTTAGCTCAGGCAGTCCCTCCACCTCGGCCTCCCAAAGTGCTGAGATTACAGTCACCACACCCTGCCCAATCTGTTATTTTTTTACAAGCTATCTCTTGTGTTTTTATGACAATGACTGTTGTTGTAAAGACCCAGTTCTCTTATTTATATCTTTGAATATATTAAGTACACTTAATTAAATATATTTTTCTGTTTCCTTGATCAACTCTTCACTTAGATGGAGTTCTTTGGATTATCAAATGTATAATTTCTATTGCATGATGGGCATTATTTTCAAATGGTCATTGATTTTGAAGACACATGCATCAGTTTGGTTTATGGCTCTTGAATGCATCAATAATGCTTAGCTGTTCATGTTAAGTATGTGTTCATCATTAAGTTGAGATTCTCTTATCTCTCTGATAGAGCCCTTGTTTAGACTTTCTGGTGTGGGATGCACATTTAGCTCTTGGCAGATTTTATGCTATTTAGATGGGTGATAGATGTTAGCTTTCAGACTCTTCATTTTTTTAAACTCTTGGTTTAGGTTCAGGGGTACCTGTGTAAGTTTGTTACATGGGTAAATTGCATGTTGCAGGGGGTTGGTGTACAGATTATTTCACCACCCAGATAATAAGCACAGCACCCAATAGATAGCTTTTTGTTACTCATTCTCCTTCCTCCCTCTATCCCTGAGTGGTCCCAGTGTTTGTTTTTCTCTTCTTTGTGTCCATAGGTGCCCAGTTTCGAAAATAAGTTTGCATGTTCTCTGTTCTCACCTGGAGTCAACCATCCTCAACATTGCTAATCTAATTCATGTGAGTTTGCTACCGGATCCATAAGTCCAGATTCTGCTCTTGTAGTAGCCCAGGTTCCCATACCTAGTAATCTGCCTTCTCCTTTTTCCCTTTCCCTGTTTGCAGTGCCTTGCTTCTTCACACTTAGCAGAACTTCCTGTCATGCCCAGCATTCTGATGCTTCCTCCAAGTTCTGGCTTCTTTCCATCTGTTTCCTGTCTATTACCTGTATGTGTGGTCTTCCTGAGAAATCCTCATACTAAATACAGTCATTGCTATATACATAAGTGTGTGTACGTTTATATTAGGTTGGCGGCACCAACTTAATACAGTTTTAATCATTTCTATATGTTCAGTGCAGAGATATAAAGAACATACCATATACTTAGTTTATTATCAATTTATCTTCATCAACTCACTCTTCATCTTTGCTCTCCTTCTGTAAATTAATTAGAACAAATGCGTTTGTACCTAGATATAGCCATTTCCACATACTTCAATGCAGCTATCATGTTTTTTACTAATCCCAGTAGTATCTTCCAGATGGAAAATTCTTTGAGGTTCTTCAAATTAATTTTTTTTTTACGGATTGCTCAATCATGGTGGCCATTTCAACAAAATAACTTAAAGAAATATTTTAACTCATAGGAACTAAGCTATCACCCAATGTGCAGTTTCTTTTGTTTCCTCAAATCTCTGGGTGCCCCCAAGAAGATTAAATCTTTTGAGCATTATGTACTTTTCGGAGCATCTAAATTAATGGAGCATGCTGAGGGCTTTTTTTTTTTTTTTAACCTAACGCATCTATATGCATTTATTAGACCCTGACTGCTGCAGTTGGATTGGTGTGAAGGAAGGAATAGGTCTTTACCCAAACAGGATGGCAGATCACAGACATAAACACACACCCTGCCAGATTTTATGAAGGGGAAAATAACTCATTCCAGTAAGATGTTATCATGGATTTACACCAAGAGTTACTGCCTAGAAGGACTACAATGCAATCCCCTCTCCCACATATTTCTAACAGAGCACCCTGCCAGATTGAGCCCAATTCTCTGTGGCTGTATCATCCCACACATTCATTTTTCTTCGTCCTGCTTTGGTGCCATACAGATTCTTTCTGTGACTTCCCTTGTTCATATTTCTTTGCCTCCTTGTAGGATTTTAGATAAAGATAGTTTACTTCGCAAATATCAATGTTGTTTAACTTACTCATGCTAGACTTGGTTTTCTGATACATTTTGCCATCTGTCAAGAAGCCACAAGCACAGACTTATGCTGTTCATTTCTATTCACTTAACAGAGTAGTTCTTTTCCATGGAGGACCCTGAGATTATATGACACTTTTCAATTTATGCAGAACTGTGCAATCATCTTTTTTGAAACAAAATGCTTGCTGGGCAGACACCTCAGAGGTGGTACAAAGTGGCATAGACAGCCTTAGATGTGGCATCAGACTTTTCTGAGCTTCAGACCTAATGGAGCATATTTCCTTTATGGCTACTTATCAGGGCTGTAGTTGAGGGAATCTGAGAGGACACGTCCCATAATTCTGTGTAAATCAAAAACCCTCCTACAATCTCAGGGACTTCTGTGTAAAAGAACTACTCTGTAAGTGAATGAAGATGAATAGCTCAGGTCAGTGCTTACAGCTTCATGACAGATGGCAAAATTGCTCAGGAAATCAAGTCTATCAAAGCTGTGTCCAAAAGAGTTCATAGATTTCAATTTTATGACTGAAGGACTGCTTTAAATCAAAATCATATTTTGCTGCAAATATTAGTGTTGTTGAGAAAGTAGCAAACTTCGTTCCAGAAATCTCTTGGGAGATATATATATATATATATATATATATTTCCTGGGTAACTTCTGATTCTTATTCATAGAGCTGAGTCTCTCAAATTTGTGCAATGAATTTATTCCTCAAATGAAAATAACTCACCAATTTTTTTGAGAAGGGTTTGGAGGAATAGGTGAAAAAAAACCCCACATACACACACAGGCATACACATGCACACACTGCTATACATATAGAGATAGAGAAAAATTAGGTATCAGTAACGCGTTAAGGAAGATGAAAGGTAGAAGAAACCATGGCCAGTCCTTTATTTTCAAAATGATTTCCAAAGTGGACAATGGGCCCAAAATCTTGTCCTCAGCCTCCCAAAGTGCTGGGATTACAGGTGTGAGCCACTGTGAGCTGGAAACCATTGTCCTACGTGAATTAAGGCAGAAACAGAAAACCCATTACTGTATGTTCTCACTTATAAGTGGGAGCTAAACATTGTGTACTCGTGGACATAAAGATGGGAACACTAGACACTGGGGGCTATTAGAGGGAGAGGGAGGGGGGCAAAGGTTGAAAAGCTAACTGTTGGGTGCTATGCTTAGTACCTGTGTGATGGGATCAATTGTACCCCACACTTCAGCAACACATGATATAACCAAGTAACAAACTTGCACATATGCCCTCTGAATCTAACATAAAAGTTGCAAAAGAAAAAACAATGTAGCAAATGAAATCCTCTTCCTCTCTATTTTCTGGAAATTGGATTCTGCTGGACTGGGGACAGCAGAGCTTTATTGAACAAGAAGCCCGCAAGACACAAGTCTTCTGAAATGTTTTCCCACCGTGGTGATTTCCTCCTGGGAACCTGTTTTCCTAAACAGGACAAATGCACTCTCTTCAGGACCCAGTGAGGCATGGACTTGCAAAGGCAGCCTGTGTTTTCAAACTCAAATCAGGATGACAGCAGAACCACTGCAGATAATGACTCTTCATTTGAGAGGATGAGCAGTTTTATTCTGAAAGACATGGAAACCTCAGACCCAGAAATATTAGTTAATGTTTAGAAGTACTTAAGCTTAGAAGAGTGTTGAGTAAATCCTTGCTATGCCTTCAATAAGTTTTCAAGATTATTTCTTGGTATCTAATCAAGTCTTACTGTTGTATCTGGCAACACTCATCTGCAACACTCTAAGCCTCCTTAATAATTTAAAGCAAAAAAAAAAAAAATGCATTGAAATAAGCACTACAGTACTCGCTTTTACCATAAATCCAATAGATTTCTGTTGAATATCTATTGGCAATTCTATAAACACCTTCAAAAATTGTTATGGTCTACATTAGCAAATGAACTGGGTACATATTAACAAATGTAGCTTGTCCTGTGTACATTTTAAATAATTTCATTCCAGGATAATTGGTTGTAAGGTGCTTCAAATTATATTCTTTGAGAAAAGCAGATCAATTTCAATTTAAAGAAACATTAAGAGTTGCAGGCTGTGCCCAGAATTGATGTTCGTGTTGTAAATCAAATCTCATTTTCTGCTCAGAATTACTAATTTATTTTCTTCCTATCCTAATGCCTACTTCATCACAAATAAAAATGGGTATATGATAAGATGTGCCTGTATAATTTGATTTGCAATTTCGGACATTTAACATTTTTTAAATGTTACATTGAAAATCTCCCTTTCTTGCTATCCACACAATTCTGATATGTAGCTGATTTAAGAGGCATGAGGAAATTCACACTAAAAGTCTACATTTTGAGGATTGTATATGTGTGTGAGGAGGTGGGGGTCTCACTATGTTGCCCAGGCTGGTCTTGAATCCCTGGGTTCAAATGATTCTCCCTGTAGGTCTCCCAAAATGCTGGGATTACAGGTGCGAACCAGGCCCTTGAGGATCTTAATATTGGTTATCTTGACAATTTTAAAGCAGACAGCATCTGAACTCTTCTTCTATCTTCTAAACATGTTCCAAATTCTACCACCTCAAGGAAGTTTTCTAGAAATTATCGATGAAAGTGGTTCACATATGAGAAAGTAATGCCTAGCATTTAGTAATTCCTAATATTCTAGAGAATCTTGTTTGATAGGGATTACATTATTTTAACCAAAGTAATTGTTAAGTTGTGAAAACAGAGAAGGCTACTGCTAAGATTGACAATTAATTGAGACAGGAATTGTGCCTTTATGTTGCCCAGTTGGGTCAAAATTTTGCCTTAAGAGTGGAAGTATCATTTTCTCCTATAACAAATTACACTTTCGTAATTCCACAGTTTAATACATTATCACTGCATCAGAGTAAACTGCTACATTTTTTATTTGACAGTTGACACAAAAAGTTTTCCTGGGCAGATATCTCCATTATTCGACACTTCTGAAGGGAGTGATGCTATTTTCTAACTTTTTAGAAAGAAACAATGAAGAAGAAGAGCACAGTTTGGGGAGCTTTTGATATGGAGACAGGAGATTTCTAAAGCAGTTAGAATATCAGACAAATATAATCTGTGTTTGAAAGTAGTAGGAATTCAACTGAAAAATAAATCCCCATGAACAAAAGTGCTGTACAGTCCCAAGAGTATAATCACGCTGTAATTACGTAGCCCTACAAATATGACACTGTAATGGTGGATCCATGTCATTATACATTGGTCCAAACCCACGTTCTGTACAGCACCAAGGGTGAACCCTCATGTAAACTATGGACATTGAGTGACAATGATGTGTCAATATAGGTTCATCAACTATACCAAATGTGCCACTCTGGTGGGGGATGTTGATAATTGCGGAGGCAGTGCATGTGTGAGGGCAGGAGATATGTGCGATCTCTCTGGACCATCCACTCAATTATGCTCTGAACCTAACACATATCTAAGAAAATAAATTCCTTATAAATGATGTATAATATACTATGCACTCATTTAAAAAAAAAGTAAAGACCTAATAACAACTTGAAATAAATTAATTCATTCATCAAATAATTTCAATGATATTGTGTTAGTTGCTGAAGACTCAAAGACAAAACACCAAGTTGTCTAGGAGATGGGGGTGTTTATGTGATATTGTACTTATTAAGTCTATTACATTAATTGCCCTCATGACTGGCAATGGGGGATCTGTTGATTTCTTTATATTTTCTAATTAAAGACATCTCAGAATCTCACATTTTTTTTTTTCAAATGAATGCTTAGTCTTTCACATTGTTTCTTAATTTCTGTTTTCATCTCTCAAAGAGGGTGGAGTGCATGTGTGTGTGTTTGTGTGTGTGTGTGTTTCCTGGGAGTTATATCTCAAAAGGCATAGGTGTCATTCATTTTTATACAAAAGTGGAATTTAGAAACAATAAAACCTGGACGTGCGCGGTGGCTCACGCCTGTAATCCCAGCACTTTGGGAAGCCGAGGCGGACAGATCATGAGGTCAGGAGATCAAGACCATCCTGGCTAACACGGTGAAACCCCATCTCTACTAAAAATACAAAAAATTAGTGGGCGTGGTGGTGGGCGCCTGTAGTCTCAGCTACTCAGGAGGCTGTGGCAGGAGAATGGCGTGAACCCGGGAGGCGGAACTTGCAGTGAGCCAAGAAAGCGCTACTGCACTCCAGCCTGGGCGACAGAGCGAGACTCCATGTCAAAAAAAAAAAAAAAAAAGAAAAGAAAGAAAGAAAGAAAAAGAAAGAGAGAGAGAAAGACAGAAAGAAAGAGAAAGAGAAGCAATAAAACCTGGCAGCTCAAAACCAAGAGAATTCTGTACTAGCTTAATTATAGCCTATGCAAATGATGGCATGCACATCAGACCCAAAACAGCATTTAAAATTCTCTCCTTTTTCAGTGTCTGCCAAAGAGAATGGCATACACCACAAAGTAAAAATTAAAATGCTTGCAAGGGCATTAATAGGCATTTGCTAATGGCAAAATAATGACTTCAGACCTTATGAAATGTTTCCTTATAGAAAAGAAATGCACAATCTCTGACTGTTAACTCTGTTCAAAACCTCAGATCAGATATACACATCAATTTGAATGGTGGAGACCTAATGTAGCCTGATAAAGCATGCCAAAACTGGGATCCCTATGGAACCACCCCTGATAGGGAAGTGTGCTCATGAGAGAGGACTTCCTAATTATTGGAAAATGTATCTTTGTCTTGGAGAATCCACAGGCTTTTACAAATCACTGTGTACTCTTTGCATACCATGCACTTTCCAATATTAGTCCTAATTATAGGGGGAAATTAGGTAAGCCTTTTCTTGGATCAAGAACCACCCAGCCCCCTCATCCTTTTACATTGCTCCTTTATTTTATCAGCTGTCCCCATCAATCTCCTCAGCATTTCCATTCTTGCTACCCACTCAGCTGGAAGGTTGGTTGCTACAGTTTGGATGTTTATCTTCCCAAACCTCATGTTGAAATTGAATCCCCAATGTTGGAGGTGGAGCCTAACGGGAGGTGTTTGGGTCCTGGGATTGGATTCCTCTTGCATGTCTTCATGCCATCCTTGCAGTAATGGGTGAGTTGTATTAGTTCCTGCAAGAGTTGGTTCTTTAAAAGAGCTTGGCAGCTCACTTGCGCTCTCTCTTGCTTCCTTTCTCACCACGTGATCTCTGCACAAATCATCTCCCCTTCTGCCATGAACAGAAACAGTCTTAGGCCCTCACCAGGTGCACAATCTTCCAGCCAGTAGTATCATGAGCCAAATAAATTTTTTATCAATTACCCAGACTCAGATATTCTTTCATGGCAACACAAAACACACTAGGACATTAGCCAAGCTCAGTGAATAAAGAGAGTCACTTGCTGAACATTCTAGACCCATAAGCATTTGAAGGCTCTAAAGCCTCTGTTTTGAATGCAGGGTGTCTTCATGTATTTTATCTGAATGAGGTTTACCTGCAGTGCTTGTTGAAGTACCAGATTTTTTAGGAGCATTTCTCACCCATCATCAAAGAACTAATTCTCTTGGTGTAGAATGCAAGGATCTTTATTTTAGCAAACTTCCCAAATGGTGTAGTGAACACTACATTGGGAAAAACTTTTCCAGAAGGCAAATGATAAATTTTTTACCTTCAACCAGACGATGTGTGTGCTCGGGTCTGCTGGGTAGAAATTAGAGAAGGAGGAGAGGGCATGGCCCTCATCTTGTGTCTTAGGAGTCAACAATAGACTCCTCAATATTCAGGGTCCTTCTAATTTGAGTTTTCTATTTAAAATTATTGTTTATCTCTTGTAGCCAATGTATCTGAGAGTGGGCAGGTTAGATCACTCTGTCCGAGCTGAGGCATGAAGAAAAAGTGTGTTCCTTAAGAGAGGTAAGATTTGGCACAGACATTTATGTAGATTAAAAAAAAAAAAACTATTCATGACCAGCTTTGATTGAAAATATATGTGATTCACATTTTCATTAGTCTCAAACTGCCACATATTAAGATATTTGTGTTAAATACTCAATATATGAGTTTGTTTGGAAATAGCACTAGTTCCTTTCATTTAGAAAAATATGGAGAAGAGCTCTGGCCTGAGAAGCTCTTGGCCTCTGGTGCACACAAACTCACACACAAACATGCCATAACCCCAATAACTTTCAGTAGTCTATATTGACCAAAGGGATTTCTAATTTCTGGGTATACTTTAACTTCATTAAATCATCTCAGCATTTTGGACTAACTGTATTTATACAAAAATAAATGCGTGGAAACCACAGAATTCATGTCTTTGCTGTTTCTTAGTTTGTAAGCCTAAGACACCTATTATTTTAAGCCAGGCACAGAAAAACAAACGGCGTATGGTCTCATTCATAAGTAGAATCTAAAAATCTTTATATCACGGAAGTAGAGAGTAGAATGGTGGTTAGCAGGGGATGTTGGGGGTTAGGGAGATGTTGGCCAAAGGATACAAAATTTCAATTGGACAGGAGGAATGAGTTCAAGAGATCTATCGTACAATGTGGTGGCTACATGTAATAACATGTTGTATTCTTGAAAAATGCTAAGAGAGTGGCTATAAAGTTTTCTCACCACAAAAATTATAACTATGTGAGGTAGTACATTTGTTAATGAGCTAAATTCAGTTATTCCACATTGTATATATACTTCAGACCATCATGTCATCCATGGTAAATATATGAAATTTTCTTTGTCTATTTAAAAAAGAAAATAAACATGTAAAAATATATATCTTTCAGAAAATATTCACCAACCCCAAGTTATAATGTTAGTCAAATGCGGTTTCAGAGTGATAAACTAGAAAAGCATTTAGAAAAAAAAAAACTATATATATATATTTTTTATTTTGGGGAAGACTAATATAGACATGCAAATGCATACATGATTGACTGGGCAACTTTACCTAATTTTTTGAAACCAGCTTTCTCATGGATGTGTATAGGAGTAAAAATAAGAGACTTGATATTCACCCAAAATAAATTGTGTGTATCTTCTATGTGCTGGTGGATGTGTGTTAGGGCTAAGAACTGAGAACTCTCCTTTATGATTCTTTACTTGACAGGAAACATATCTATATTCCCGAAATCCAAGCATATGTCATTGCTGCTCTCAGCACAATAAACAAATTGCTACATTAACCATTTTTTAAATGGGTTGGGTGTGGTGGCTCATGCCTGTACTGCTAGCACTTTTGGAGGCTGAGGTGGAAGGATCACTTGAGCCCAGGAGTTCAAGACCAGACTGAGCAACAAAGCGAGACCTCCTCTCTACAAAAATAAATAAATAAACATTTAAGAAAATAGCCAGTTGTGGTGGTCACTTGAGCTAGGGAGGTGGAGACTACAGTGAGCTGTGATTGCACCACTGCACTCCAACCTGGGTGACAGAGTGAGGCCTTGTCTCAAGAAGTGAAAAAAAAAAAAAGAATTTTTGATACAGTTCCCAGAAAGTGGTTTTTAGGAAAGCAATACCCTATTCCCTATTTTTGCCTTTAATTCCCCTTTCCTTTGTTTATTGTAAAAATTCACAGAGTACACCATTAAGACCCTGCTCTCTGGCCTGAGAAGCTCTTGGCCTCTTGTGCACACAAACTTACAGAGGCATCACTCCCAAGCATGCTTCTCAAACCCTGTATAGGGTGCTCATGCTTTGGGTACCTATGCACATTATCTCCATTGCTCATTCTCCCAGAATAAACTTCTTCACAAAGTTTCTCTGGCAAACTGCTACATCTGGTTTATATTGGCACATGGATGTGCAGAATTTGATGCATCATAATATCTGGGTCATGCACACTGATGACTGGCCCTCGGTGGTGCCTTTCATTGAGTTTCATTTAGTTATTTAATTTGATATTGCATACAATGCAGTAAGCATCTACAAACCACCACACCAAACAAAAGTCAATACCATGACAATACATTAATTTATTCAATGATCTCCTCACAAACCCATCTTTCCCTTCTAAGTTAATCATCATGATTGTCTTAATTCATTTGAGCTGCTATAATAAAATATCATGGACTTGGGTGGTGATATAGTTTGGCTCTGTGTCCCCAACCAAATCTCATCTTGAATTGTAATCCCTACATGTCAAGGGAGGGACTTGATGGGATGTGATTAGATCTTGGGGCTGGTTTTCCCCATGCTGTTCTCATGGTAGTGAGTAAGTTCTCATGAGATCTGATGGTTTTTAAGAGGCTCTTCCCCTTTCGCTCTCTCCCTCTCTCTCCTGCCACCAAGTAGGACACACCTGCTTCCCCTTCCACCGTGACTGTAAGTTTCCTGAGACCTCCCCAGCCATATGGAACTGGGTCAATTAAACTTTCTTTCTTTATAAATTACCCAGTCTCAGGTTGTATCTTTATAGCCGTGTGTGAAAACAGATTAATACAGGTGGCTTATAAACAACAGACATTTATTGCTCACTGTTCTGGAGGCTGGAGGCTAGGATCAGGTTCCCAACATGGTAGGATTCTGGGGAGGATCTTCCTGGATTCTTCCTGGTTGCAGACTGGCATCTGCTCATTGTAATTCTATCCTTATATAGCAGAAAGAGGGCCAATGAGCAATCTGGGGTCTCCTTAATAAGGGCACTCATCCCATTCATGAGGGCTCCACCTTCATGATCTTATAACCTCTCAAAGGCCCCACCTTCTAATATAGATGCTCCTTGACTAACATGAGGTTACATCCAAATAAACCCATCATAAGTTGAAAATATTGTAAATAAAAAATGCGTTTAATATACCTCACCTACCAAATGTCAAAGCTGAGCCCAGCCTACCTTAAACATGCTCAGAACACTTACATTAGCCTATACGTGGGCACAATCCTCTAATCTGATGTCTATTATTTATTAAAGAGCTGAAAATCTCCTGTAATTTTTTGAATCCTCTACTAAAAGTGAAAGATGCAGGATGTATGGATACTTGAAGTACAGTTTCTACTAAATGTGATCACTTTCATACCATCATAAGTCAAATCATCCTAATTTCCAATTGTCTGTACTATCACCTTGGGGTTTAGGACTTCAGCATATGGATTTTAGGAGTGACACAAACATTCAGTCCATAAAAATCATGAATCTTATGTTTAGGATATTCTTCCTTCCTTTCTTTCTCAAATGAGGCTTTGTTTGACTGGCATTTATTTTTAAACATGCATATGCTTTTATTCTTATTGCCTTAAATTTTCCAAAAAAAAAAAAAGTAAACCTCAGTTTGGAATCTTGTTGAGCTCATGATTTTAGTTGAGTAAAACCACTGCAGCGTTTCCCACAGTGCTGTGCTATGTGTGATAATGAGTGGCACATGAAGATTTGTTATGTGAAGACACTGTGATATTATCAGAGGTGACCTGCATGGTCTCTGGAGTTTGTGTTTGTGAGCCACGCTGCTATAGGCATTGTTCTACATTTTTTCCATTGGCTACCGTATATGTTTCAATTTCTACTGGGTATACACCTAGGAGTGCTGTGGTTAGCTACAGGCTCTGGGGATGTTTAGATTTACAGATCATGTTAAACTGTTTTCCAAAGTGGTTGCACTGATTCACTCTTCTCACTCAGAATTCATCAGGGATACTGTGGATTCACATCAGAACTTAGGCTTGACTATCAGCTGATTTGTTTCTATTTGCCAAACTTGTAAAATATCATCTGGCACATATCTTCATGTCATTTCTAATTTCAAGATAATGTGGCTGAGTGTGGTGAAGCTCACACCTCTAATCTCATCACTTTGGGAGGCCAAGGTGGGAGGATTGCTTGAACCCAGTAGTTCAAGACCAACCTGGGTAACATTTTGAGATCCTTTCTCTACAAAAAATAAAAATAAAAAATTAGGCAGGCATGGTGGTGGCCGCCTGTAGGCCCAGCTACTAAGGGAGCTGAGGTGGGAGGATTGCTTGACACCAGAAATTGGAGGCTGTAGTGGTGAGCTAAGATCTTGCCACTGCCCTCCAGCCTGGGCAGCAAAGTGAGACACTGTCTCTGAAGATAAAATAAAGGTTAAAAAAAAAAGATAAAGACAATGTGCTTCCATTTAAGGCAGTGTTTACGCTCTTGTTTATGTTCTTTTACTCCCTTAAGTAAGTTCCATTTGATTTCTAATTTACAGCATATTTTGTGATATGAGAATTAAATATTATCAATGATTTTTCTTGTTCCATTTAGAGGATCCTATTTTGTCTCCTAATCCAAAACTGAGATAAATTTCATTTCTAGACTTTTTAATAAGAAATCTCTATTGCACAGAGACAAACCCAGATGGGTCATGGTATATTATTATTTATACACCGTTGCATAAAACTTGTTAAAAATGTCTTTAGATGTTTGAAAGTAATTCATAACTGAAATAGACTTTTTTTTTTTTTTGAGATGGAGTTTCACTCTTGTTGCCCAGGCTGGAGTGCAGTGGTGCAATCTCAGCTCACTACAAGCTCCGCCTCCCGGGTTCAAGCGATTCTCCTGCCTCAGCTCCCCAGGTAGCTGGGATTACAGGCATGGTGAAATCGATTTTTGATTTTCTTTTCCTTTTTCAAAGTCTCTGTCAAGTTTCAGTGTTAAGGATGACACAACAGCCTTAAAATATGAGTTTGGACTCTTCCATTTCCTTTTTTTTTTTTTTTTTTTTTTGTGGTTGCATAAAACTGGGATGATCTGTTTCTTGAACATCCCATAAAAGTTATCTGGGCTTGATGCTCTAAACTGTTGAAAGACTTTGAGCCACTCCTTTTTTACTTCTTAGTAAGCCAGCCTTCACAAAATTCTGGAACCTTCCCCTAACCTTTGCCCCTATGTCACAGTGTTTGAAGTGTGGTATTTTGTTCTTTTTAACCTGTATTTTATCTCTAGTTTTGCCCCCTTCTACATTTATGTTTATTTGTTTTTGTCTCTTTATTCCTTAGTCAGTATTGCCTCACATGTGCCTCTTTTCCTAGTTGTTTTTCAAAGAACAACTGTTGGTTATGTTAAGTTTCTCAACTGCACTATTCACTTCATAATTTATATTTTTTATTTATTCTCTTATTTATATCTTTCCCTTCATATTCTTGTGATGTGTGCTATTGTTTTTTTTACTGGGTTTTTGTGTATGGGGGGAGGGTTTGTTGTTGTTTGTTTTTTGAGACAGAGTGTAGTTCTGTTGCCCAGGCTGGAGTACAGAGGTGTGACCAGGGCTCACTGCAACCTCTGCCTCCCAGGTTCAAGCAATCTTCCCACCTCAACTTTCTGAGTAGCTGGGGCTACAGGTGAGTGCCACCATACCTGGCTAATTTTTGTACTTTTTGTAGAGACAGAGTTTTGCCATGTTGCCTACTCTGGTCTCTAACTCCTGAGCTCTGGGTGATCCACCGGTCTCAATCTCCCAAAGTGCTAGCATTACAGGTGTGAGCCACCATGCCCAACCCTTTTTATTGTTTTCATGTGAGCACTTGGATCACCACTTTTGAATTGCTTCATTTTTTGCTTAAAATTTCTAAGGATATAATTCCTTCAATGAACTAATTTTACTTAACATAATATTTCAACATTTAGTATATCCATTATTATTTACTTCTAATAATACTTTAAAATTTTGCACGATTTCATCTCTAACCTATGAGTTGTTTACCTAAGCATGTTCATATTTTTATTTAGTATGTGGGAATTCATTTTCTACTTTCTTATTATTAATTTATAAATTAAAGTAAACTAATGTCAAAATAATATGAATTAAGAGTTAGACAGAAAGTATTATCTCCATGATACTTTTTCTTTGATATGTGTAGAGGGTTTTTTATGGCCTAATAGGTGATCAATTATTGTAATACTCTAAATGCTTAAGAAATAAAGTGTCGATTAACATGGTCCATCTCACACCCACACACCTTATTATTAGATATCTTTGTGCATTGCTTCAAAGTATTTTAGTTCTACCTCCAATACATACTACTTTGGTGATCAACTCCATGCGTGTCTTATTGAGTTCAGGCAAGTACATTAGCATCTTTTTGAAGCTGTAGAATTCTGTAAGCTCTCAGGGACAAACAGCAAATGCTGAGGGAGTTTATACATTTAGGGGCCAGTTTAGCAAATGAATGATGGGGACTTAAAATCAATGCTTGTACATTTAACCTTTTCATCCACAAATGTGCAGTTGTGAGAAACAATTTGTAAATTTCCAAGTCTCAGTGAAATGAAGCATCAGTCACCAAATTTGCTAAAAATTCCTTTTGTTAGCTCTTCCATCTTTCCTGTCCTGTTACAGGTAGTGAGACAGGCATGAGCAGAGCAGGAGAGGGCTCTTCCCCCACCCGCCAGGAATGTCAGGCAAGAATCGGGTGATGGTGTGACAATTATCATATTGTGTCTCTCAAAGGGATAAATTGGCAGCTGGCACCAGGAAGAGGCCATTTTCTAACTGTCCACACCCGTTGCACTAAAGTGTCAATTGAATGCAAGCAACAAGGAGATGCAACTTCCCAGCCATGTTCAATAAGAGACAAAATGGCAGAGTGTGACCTTCCAGGGGCACTCCACCAGAAAAGGGAAGAAAGCCTCAGATGGGCATGCATACAACTTGCTGAACACACTGCGTGTGCTCGGTTCCCAAGGCTAAGGAGGGCACTGCACATGTGGAAGAATAAATTGTCAGAGGTGCATCGGTTTGTGTCTATTTTTTCCCAGCTTCTCTCAAGCTCCAAACTTCTATGCCACCTGGATTTTACTAAGAAGAGTATGTGTCTCCCAATCTGAGTGAAGACAGGTGAGGAGGAGTCACTGTGTCATACCACAGCCACGGTGGGAGAGAAATAAAAGCAAGTGTTATCTTGCCGTTTCTTAACTATAAAGCCATTCAAGGCTGCCCCAGGATAAAGCCACCCTCAACTGCTTCATCCCATGAACACCCATTCATTGTGCCCTGCATCACTCAATTTTGTTTTTACTTCTTGTCCTCTCCACTTTTGAAGAACTGATCATTGGAAAAGTGGCCAGCAGCTTAAGCACTCCAGCGCCTTGTTCAGAACACCCGCTGTTTGATGGACGATTCTGCTCGGTGGTGCCTTTGCACACCACGTATGTGATTCATCTCCCTGGAGTGCTCATAAGCTACACTTCCCCTAGGAGGTGGAACAGAAAGCCCTTTTCACCAGGTAGTTAATCAGTCCCTTGTCCTTGCAGTATCTGAGCTCATTCTGTTGGTATATGCATTGAATATTGTATCTTTTCATATATAGCCTTTTCTTCTAGAATAGGATGTCAGCCAGAAGTGATAGCTCACGTCTGTAATCCAGGAACTCTGGGAGGCTGAGGTGGGAGGATGGCTTGAGGCCAGGAGTTGGAGACTAGCTTGAGCAATACAGACAGACCCTATCTTCAAAAAAAAAAAAAAAAAATGTAACCAGGAATAGCAGCATGCACCTGTAGTTCCAGCTACTTAGGAGGCTAAGGTGGAAGGATCGCTTGAGCCCAGGAGGTCGGGGCGACACTGAGCTATGATCACATCACTGCACTCCAGCCTGGGCAACAGAGTGAGACTGTGTTTCTAAAACAAATAGATAATAAAAAAATAGAATAAAATATCCATTAAAGACCACCATCAGAAAATAAATTCAAGGGATTTAGGATCTATGTTGAAATGACAATGAGAGGAACCCCAGAAAGTGAAACAAAACAAGGCAAAAGAAACAAAAGGTATGCCTAAATGCTCCAAATTGCTCAATCTATGAAAGTGATTTTGGGGAAAAAATGCGCACACTGCAAGCATTTTAGTTCATTTGTTATGGATAGACACGGTCGGGTAGCCCTAAAAATTAAAGTGATCACTTTACAGACTTGCATACAAAAACAAACGTCCTCTGGCTGACTTGTCCTTTTTATTTTCCAGGGACTGCATGTCTAATTGGCTGGGGGCCTTAGGAAGAGCTTATATTATTTTAACCTTTTATTTTTTTTTATTCATTCTCTGACTTTTCAAATCTAAAGCCAGAAAAACCATGAAGTTCTTCAGGGAAGAAGGGTAGAATCTGAACATCTTAAAGCAAGTAATGTGAAAGAAATGGATAATTACCACAGAAGAAAAAAAAATCATGAGTAAATTTACTGTTCATATTTTTATGATTAAATAGAAGCAAAGATTAGTGACCACTAGATCAATTCCAAATAATTATTTGCTAGTGTATAATATGAACCTGTGTGTAAATTATTATAATATTTTCCGACCTATACTAGATCATTATTATTTGACCTATAACAAAAAATATAGGGCGTGGAAATGACTCAGATACCAGATTTTGTACTAGGAGCAGTTTCTTTTAAATTCCAATTTAATTTTGGTTCTTGCTAGTTCCAGCATGCACTTTGAACCTCTCAGCAGGACCCTGTGATTTTAGAGTTGAAAATCTCCACATATAAGGTCTCTGTTTAAAATACTGGCTGGTGAGGCAGGAGGAAAATCACTTGAACCCAGGAATTTGAGGTCGCAGTGACCTATGATTGTACCACTGCACTCCAGCCTGGGTGACAGGGCAAGATCCTGTCTCTAAAAGAATGATAAAAATAAAAATAAATAATAGAGGATCACTCAAGCTCAAGAGTTTGAGACCAGCCTGGACAACATAGAGAGACCGCATGTCAACAAAAAATAAAAATTAAAAATAAACAGATAAGTACTGAGTGGCCCCAGTGAAATGATTTCTTTCACTGGAGAAATCATTCATTGTATTTCATTTTTATTGTACTTAAAATAGTGCTTTAAAAATATAAATGTGTTGGATTGAATTTTTCAAAGTAGTTTTACCTAAATCTACTCACGCAAATGAATGTTCTCTGCCATATCGGTTCCCCATGGAATTTGAAATCCCCTTCCGTTGATCTTGACAAATTTCAAAGAGATATGAAAGCCTCCTCCAGATATTATGATGTGTTTGTACACATATGCTCTACCCACAGTCCTAGCACATCCTGTCAATTTGGCCACACAGTCACATTATGGAAGGACAAAGATCCATCTTCAATTTGCTCCTTCAACCTCACCCAAGCTATATCTTGAGTCCAACCCAATGTTTTCCTGCTGGAAACTTGCAGAACAAAGATAAGATTCTCATAGGTGTAATCCATGATCTTCCCAAAATGGTGTCCAACATGACCATGAAACATCACAGATGGAATCTAGAAGGAGGCACCACCAACATGACCTAAAAGGAAGCTTAGTTTTGTTGCTCTTCTGTTTAAATTTGACATTATCTGCCCTCCCACCACTTTTCTGACATAGACGTATATTCCTCATCATTTTCATGTGCAAGACCCTCTCAGTCCCAACTCTGGTCTCTGCATACTTGTATTGCCTCCACAAATGTGCACCTGCCTTCCCAAAACCCGTTTCTCTAAAATGCTACATTAATCATTTACTGTGATTGTGCCAAGTGATAAAGAGGACACACAAAAGAGTAAAGACTAGGGTTTTTCTCCTTGGGCTGCTCATAGCAGTTGAGGTATAGGGTCATGTTGCAGGGTATTGCAGTCGAGGCTAAACCAATCGTGCCTAGGAAATATTCAGGCATGGTGACAGTGACATGGATGGACCACAAGGCAGGGCTTCCTGAGGTTCACAATTAAGATGGAATCCTAGATGAGTGCAAGTTGACTCCTAGACAGGAGCTCTTTTTGCTCCTCTAGGAAGCAGCAAGCCTGACTCATCCCTGTTTCCTCCCCTCATCCCGCTGATACATTTCTGCAGTGACCCTGCTGTCTACATGGGGCTTTGATGTCCAGCGGGTCCTTGATTCTGGCTGCTTTACTCTGCTGCCCACCCAGCATAGCCTGTCCCTGTGCACGCTAGCAAAGCTCAGACCCCAGGGCAATGCCTGCCCCACCACAGCAGACAAGTCCTTCCCTGACCCTGCTGTCATTTATGAGTCATGAACACAAAACATGGTGGCCTTTGTCTACAGCCTATAAATGCAAATGTTCCAGTCAGCCAACAGCCAAAACATCACATTGCCTACATCACAACGCTGCTTATTTATTAAAGCAAAACACAACACTTTATGTGGCTGTTCATGGAGGCAGGCAACCAAACACAGAAAAGGAAAAAACAGAATTACTCACTACTGATGGGTTCTATTTTATTAACAGGTGAAGACACACTATTAATTTTACGATTGAAAATGTTATGAATGAAGAGAAACTGACAACTATATAATTAGCAAGAGGAAATCTGCTTAATAACAATTTCTTGATTATCAGAGGAAAAAAAAATCTCATAAAAAGGGCCCATCCTGGCCATAGGATTTGAACATAACAAGAATGGTGGTGGTATTTGGAGACATTTAAAACCATTTACATACAGAAGGGCAAATAGACAAGTCCTATTCCACTAACTGGTCATTCAGAACATGTTTATGGGAAGCTAATTTACAATTCAGTGACTTTATAAATATATCTTCTGTAACTGAAATTAAAGGCAAAAACATTTCTTACTATTCTGCCCTCAAACTCTCCATTTTCTGGGTCCTTGGTCTTTGCTTTCCTGACCATCATTAAATACAGAAGCACCAAATACAAATCTCAAATAGACATGTGTTAAATGACCTGGTAAAATAGCCTAATCATGTAGCTGGGCCCTTCCTAGAATATTTTATGGATATAATATTTTTCAAGATCGCTTAATGCTGCAGATTTGGTTTCAGTGATTTAAGCACTATCACTAATGGCAGGACTTTTGCTTTCTCTCTGCAGTGCCTCCTTTAAGAAGGTATCAGGTTTAAACCCTGGAGAAAGACATCCAAAAAAAAGGACAAGGCTGTGGCAACCAAGGAAGCCCTGCTATGACTCTCTGCTTCAAGCCAAGTCAAATGACCCCTAGTTGCTCCTTGATCACAGAACAGGTAACGACCCAGAAGGTGCAGGTGCAGTTCAATGTGCCTTGTGGTACTTGGACACACTCCCTGTACTTAGGAAGGTACCCAATCTCATCTACTTCTGGCAACAGGTGTCTATGAGCACACTCTCAAAAATGTTCTTACCCACCCTTTGGGGTCATTCTGCTTTTCCATAAACTCTGGATAATTTTTAAGAAGAACAATGGCATTTAAGAGTTTGTAAAAGCCTCTCTTCAATCTGACTTATTTATTTACTCTAAGAAAGCCTCCTAAAATGTTCTTTTCTCAAATGTGCTATTTCTAATGTAAAGGAAAAATCAATAAACCCATATGCATTTAGTCTTCATATGAGAACTCATATATTTTTGTATCAGTTGAAATGCAAACTCAGATTTTTATTTCTCCCTCAAGGAAAACCGTGGACCCTCCGTAAAAGATGTTAGTTTATTTTGTTTTCAAAAGAAAATGTAATTCTTTCTATTTTGAATTCATCCCTATTTTTAATCTTCCCTTTGGGAAAAGGAAAGGCAGGAGGAAAATTTTGAGGGGTGTAACCACCAGATTATGACTCAGTACTAAAATATCCAGATAGAAATTACTCAGTTGTTTTAAACTTGAGGGAATATATGTGACATACTTATTGAATATCCAGAAATTTTCTGAGGAATCAATAGGTAAGTTACAGCTTCTTAGATATGCTTCAATTACTTGACTTTTTTAGTAAAAATGTTTTCAGTTCTCTGATTAATTGCCTGACTTCTGCAAATTGTCTGGCCACATCATTTATATCAGTTGCAACAAAGTGCTAACAGCCTGACAGGCAAAGTGATTGCAGTTCTTGCGAAGCTTAATGGCAACTATTTCAAACTGAAATTTAAAAAAAGAAAAAAGGAACTAAAAGAAATTGTTTAGCTATAATCTAAGGCAAAATACTGTTTAATTGCTACTTTGTTTGACATATATAATCTTAAGGTTTTTTCATCAACCTATGCAACGAAAACCTAAAGGACGTTAGATGAAAAAATATATATATAAAAATATATATATTTACATATGTATTTATATTTTAATATTTAAATATAGGAACATGTGTTTATGAATTTTATAAAATATATAATATACAAATATTTTTATACAAATAACGTAAATAATATATAAAAATATATTCATATATTATATATGTAAAAATTTAGGAAAATATGTATTATATATTCATATCCACATAAAATCTATAATTTATTTTATATATGTTATATATTATATCTATTTTATATTTATATATTATATTTATTATCGCTGTCTCTCTCTCTCTGTCTATCTGGAGATCTGGAGTTAAGGTATCTATAAAAGCCTCATAGATCAGTGGTAACTCTACGCATGTAAACACAATGCTCATTCCTTTCCTAATGTCTATATTAAGGAGGCAATAACAGTTTGACCAGGTGGCAATAAAAAAAGGTGTAGAATTATATTTTAGAGATAATGTTAGATTGGTCTTAGGTAGAAAAGTTGTAGCTTTCCCATGTAGCATACAATGGGAGTGATCTAGTTAGTACCATTATTTCATATTGACAGTTTTTAAAAAAACAGATGTCTTCTGAGTTCAATTTTATTTGCATCTTTAACCCAAACACTAGCAGTTAAGATGAATTATGTCTACTTTCCTATAATATCCAGTCTCTAACACAATTAATTCCTACTGATGTCTTCAGTTCTTTCATTTTGAGCTTGATCTTGGTCGAGCTCATAAACGTGGATATTGTCTTGGCTACCAAATCTCATGTGATAAGAGATTAATAAGACAGCTATACAGCAATGGCCTTCTCCTATAAGATCATTTCTGAAGACTACAGGTTTCTCCATCTATGACACATTATAAAAGCCCCAAAATGGTTGACATCTTGCACCCTGACAAGGTGGGGCAAAGGGGGATTATTCTGCTACCTAGACTATTCCAGACCTTGCTTCCCTGCTCTCATTCACTTTCTTCTTCGTATCAGAATTTGTAAGATATTCCTCTGATTTGTTAATATACAATTCTCTGCCCCCAAGCTCAAATCAGTTTTCCTTACTACTCAAGCTCAGCTCCAATTCAGGGTACTTTGAAGTCTGACATTTATCAGGCCTAGAGAACTTGTTGTTATGCCTGAAATTAAAAATGAAATCCCTTGAGATGTTGTATCTTAAGAACAAAAAAAAATAAAAATAAAAAAGTCTTTAGATTTCTTTAGGAATGGAATTCTAGGGTAAAATAATCTGTTCCCATGCATTTCATCTAATTTTTATTCTGCAGTAGTAATTTATATTTATTACATAAAAGACAAAAATAAAGCACCCTAACATTATTTAATAAATAACTCTAATTTTTAATTTTTTAAAAAATGATGAGAATTAGAAATGTAAAATTAAGTATGAAAACAATAACAGCTAGCCAAGTACCTTTTATAAAAATTTAAATAATGAGTTTTATTATTCCATTAGCTTCCAGAAACCTCTTCATTATTAAAAATAAATTGTTATACATATGACCTGAATTCTTTTAAATTTATTATAAAAAGTTTTATGATCTAGACTATGGTCTAACAGGCTAAATGTTTTCTGTTGTCTTGTAAAGAACTATTATTGGGTTGACTTTTCTCTCAATATTAATTAAAGTCAAGTTGATTGATAGTGTTAATCTAACCTCTTTTTTCCTTACTGATTTCTCTATCTGCTTTTTCTGTCAATTATTCATGTAAGGCTATTTAAAATTTCCACTTAAGTTGTGAATTTCTCTGGTTGTCCTAGTACATCTATAAATTTTTGATTTGTGCATTTTCAGGCTCTGTTATTAGGTGCATAAAAGTTTAGGATTTTATGTTCTCTTGTTAAACTGACCCTTTTATTGTTAAGAAATAACCCCTATTACTGAGGATATTCTTCATTGTAAAACATCCTTTTTGCTATATTAATATAGCCACACCAAATTTTATTTGATTAGGACTAGCATGATATAACTTTTTCTATCATTTTGCCTTTAATCACCCTGGGTCTTTATATTTAAATTGTGTTTCTTTTAGGCAGCATACATTGGGTCCTGCCTTTTATTCAACTTGAAAAACTGTTTTTTATTGGTGTTTTCAGAGCATTTACATTTTAGATTATTATTTATATGGCAAACTTTGAAATACCATCTCCTATTTGGTTTCCATTTATTTGTCCCATTTTTTTAATCTCTTTTTCTATTTGTGTTCTTTTCTACCAATTGAATTAATTTTATAATTCTATTTTGTCTGTTTTTAAGTTTGTTAGTTGTAACTCTTTGTATTGTTATAGTGGTGGTTGCTTTAGGGTTCATAGTACACATAATTAACTCATCATAGCCTATCTATTTTCCAGTGATGTCACACTTCACATTACTGGAGTATACTTATCTAATAAGAAGATTACCAGAATACACTTGCATTTCTCTCTTCCTGAGCTTTGTGCTAATGTCATTAATTTTACATTTACATATGTTATAAACTCCAGATCAGATCATATTTGCTTAAAGGATCAATTATCCTTTATGGAGATTAGTAACAAGAAAAACATGTATGCACTTACTTATGATGTCTGCATTGTTGTCATATTTGTTTAAACAATCAATATCTTTTAAAGAGATTTAAATAAGCAAAAGATCCAACACATTATTAATGCAGTCACAAATTCTAGTGTTCTTCATTTCTTTGTATAAATCCACATTTCCATAGCCACACCTGATATCATTTTCCTTCTGTTTGAAGGATGCCCTTACCACTTCTTGCAGTGTGGTCTGTGCTATTCAATTCTTTCTGCTTTTGTATTTTTGAACATGTCTACATCTTCTCTGATTTTAAAGAATGTTTTTGCTAGTTGTTTGATTCTAGATTACCTTACACTCCCACCCCTCTCCAGTTCATTAGATCATTCCACCGTCTTCTTGTGGGCATTATTTTTCACATGAAATTTGCTGTAATCATTACTTTGACATGTGGTATGTAACCTGTCTTTTCTCTCTGGATGCTTGTAAGATTTTCTTTGAATCATCACTTTTCAGCACTCTGATTATGGAGTACTATGCATTTCTCCTAAATACTTCTTTGGCATCATCTACAAATTTTATAAGTTGGAGTTTTATTTGTGATTTTGGTGCTTTGAGTTGGCTGAGCTTCTTGAATCTATGGGATTATAATTTACATCGAATATGAAAATGTTTTGTCATTATGTCTTCAAATATGGTTTCTGTGATTTCTCTTTTTCAGGAATTCCAATTACATGTATATTAAGGTACTTAAAATTTTCCCACAACTCGTAGATCTTCTATTCACTTTTTAAAATCTCTCTTCTCTGTTTTTTTGGGGGGTAGGGTTTTTATTGCTATGTCTTTAAATTCATAAGTCATATTTTTCCTGCAAATTCTAATCTCCTGTTAATTCTGCTCAATGCAATTTTGATCTCACACATTGTAGATTTTATATCCAGATGTTTGATTTGGGCCTTTTATGTATCTGTGATGTCTTTATCTAACTTTATGAACACATGAAATACAGTTATAATAACTGCTTAATGTTATTGCATAATCTAACATCTGTGTCATTTCTGGGACCATTTTGATTGATTGATTTTTTCTTCATCTTATTTATTACATTTTTATACCGTTTCCCATAATTAGAAGTTTTTCTTTGGATGCCATACCTTGTAAAATTTACCCATTTGGAGTTGAATATTTTTGTATCCTGTAAGTATTCTTGAGTTAACTTCTAAGATGCATACGTGATCAAATAGACACAGGCATGTCTACCAGGATAGACTACATTCTAGACCTGAAAATACATTGTATTAGTCCATTTTCATACCGCTATGAAGAATACTTGAGACTAGGTGATTTATAAGGAAAGAAGTTTAATTGACTCACAGTTCCACATGGCTGAGGAGGCCTCAGGAAACTCACAGTCATGGCGGAAGGGGAAGCAGGACACCTTCTTCACAAGGTGGCAGGAGAGAGACAGTATGCGCAGGGGAAACTGCCCCTTTTAAACCATTACATCTCATGAGAACTGCCTCACTATCATGGGAACAGCATTTGGGAAACCGTCCCCATGATTCAATCACCTCCCACCAGGTCCTTCCCTCGACATGTGGAGATTACAATTCCAGGTGAGATTTGGGTGGGGATACAGAGCCACACCATATCATACATCTCAAAAAATTAGAAGAAAATCCAAATGACACAATGTATGTTCTCTGACCACAATAGCATTAAATTACAAACAATAATTAAAACATGTCCAGAAAATGTCCAAATATTAGAAACTGAATAGCACAGTTGTAAATTATCAATGGAAGAGTCAAAGAAAAAAAATCAGAAATCAGAAAGTAATTTGAACAAAATGAATATGGAACCACAATGTATGACATTTGCAGGATAACACTAAACCTGTACTAAGAAATTTATGGCTCTGAATGACTATATCAAAAGAGAATGAAGATTTTAAATCAAGGAGCCCTGGCTTTCACTTCAAGAAACCAGAAGAGGAAAAGCAAGTTAAACCAAAAATAAGCAGGAAAAAGAAAATAATATAAGGGAATAAAAATGAAATAGGGTAGCCAAAGCAATACTAGAAAGCTTGGAGTAAACAATATACCAAAATGTTGTTCACATTCTGTATTAATTAGAGAAATGCTAGTTCAAATGAAAATAACATAGGAACTGTCAACATCGTTGAATTTGCAAGCATATAAGTAAGATTGCCAAACCCAACTCTTTTTTCCCTTTCTTTTCCCCTAACCATGACTTTGTAGAGTAGAATTTTTGTCTACTGCCTCCAAGTAAGGCTGCTGTGTTGTGCTCTTTCTGACCTATCATTTCTTCTTTGCCGAGATCTTCATCTTCCCTTTATGCTAGTGTTCCTCCAGCTACATCCCTCACTTCCCCCTGTTTCCTCCCCACACTGTTTCCCAGGGCACCTTACCTAAAATGACTAGCTTAATTATTACTGAGGAGACCAAAGATCACCTGGTGGCCATCAAGCAGACCATCCAGAGGCCAGACTCCTTATCTGAGGAATTCAGAAATAATTAGACTCCTCTATTCTCTAAAGCTGGTATAGGGTATCAGGCTTCTTTTCCCCCAAAATTATAAGTAACTAGAATTTCTGGTTACTCTAGAATGCATGCATGTCAAAACTCATTGTGCAACCCTTGCTGACATTAAGGCACCAAAATGTCTACAAATGTCATCATTTATCATGACCTACATGGCTACTATGGTGCAAATTACCCTTCAGCTCCTGCTTTAAGGTCCTTAAATACGGATAAGGAAAATCCACCACGGCGAGCTCAGTCCTCTCTTGCTGAGGCACCCACTGCACTCTTCTGCAGCATTCTTTCTATCCAATAAAACTTTCTTTTTTAAACCCATACTGTTGTCTGTAAATTGTATTTCCTACCCTACTGTCTGAGAGCTGACCACTTTCCAATGTTAGGGCTCTGACACCTTGCCGGGCAATTACCTCTTGGGTAGGGTTCCTTCCAAACTATAGCATATTCCAACATCTCACTGAGATTTTGATTCAACCCAAATTCCATCCAATGTCAAATATCCATGTCTGCATGCAACCTCAGCTCAACAAGTGTACTGTCATATTCATGGTTTCTTTATTGGTTAAGAAAAACCCACCATTTTTTCCTAGAGTGGACAGGTACTCCATATAAAGAATTGTAGAAATGCAAATAATTTTTTGGTTCTAGTCTGTCAGTAGTGAAAGTACCTAAGCAATTTTGGGTATAAAAAAAGAAAGTTGGACCTGGCGCGGTGGCTCACGCCTGTAATCCCAGCACTTTGGGAGGCTGAGGCGGTCAGACCACGAGGTCAGGAGATCGAGACCATCCTGGCTAACATGGTGAAACCCCATCTCTACCAAAAATACAAAAAATTGGCTGGGCATGGTGGCACACTCCTTTAGCCCCAGCTACTCGGGAATCTGAGGCAGCAGAATCGCTTGAACACAGGAGGCAGAGGTTGCAGTGAGCAGAGATCGTGCCACTGCACTCCAGCCTGGACAGCAGAGCGAGATTCTGTCTCAAAAAAAAAAAAAAGAAAAAGAAAAGAAAGAAAGTTGTCATCTAGTTACCTTTATCATAGCTAAGAACTATGTAACATTATATAAGCATCATTTACTTGTGCATATACTCATGAGTTTACATATGTAAATATATGACAAATATGTGTATACCTCTATATGCATATATTTATATCATATATGTATATTATATATACACACATATACACACACATATATTTGGCTTATTGTATTTTGTATGTGTGCTTGTATATATACATACACAATACGATTTAGCAATGCTTATAATACAATAAGCAAAAAAATCTCAGATTGAATTGCAATGGCAGCATACCTTGGTCCATAAAATTTATAATATTTCAAAAAATTCTAGGTAGTTGGAAAGCAAGAACTGAATAGTACAAAGGAGATCATGTCAATGATGCAAAATTATCCCCATCAAGTAAGTTCACAGAATGCTTACCTCATTAGAGAAGAATTTTCAAATTCATAGATGCATATTAATGCACTGAGTGTTCCTGTTCCCCTTCCATATCCTAAATTTATATTTCAATTTACAGCCTTCCTATTTATTCTGCATTTTTACGTTTCCTTCTTTTATTTCCAATTCTAAAGAAATAATTCCATTTTTACCTAGTTAGTTCATTATTAGTGGCCTAGAATGTTTGTTAGCACACAAAACTATACATGCCAGAAGGCAACTGTGGGGACGATTTAAAATTAAGCCGACATTATAATTATCAATGTGATACCATATTTAACTTATGGTTTCCTAACAAAAAAAAAAAAAAAAAGGCTTCAGGAACAAAAACAGAAAAGCCGAGAATATCCTTTAAAACACTATTAACTTCAAAGCCTTGTATAGATATATGCCATAAAAATCTAGATAGCATCCTTAATCATGCTTCTAATTGTTGTCACCTGAATCACCAAGGGCAGAAATGCTATCCTATTTCCCCAACTCTTCACATATTTTTGTTTGAATCTTCTTGGTAATTCTAGGGAGTGCAGGAGCATCCCCTACAGGAAGCGCCAGGGCCAAGTTTAATTTAAACGTTTTCATGGTATCTTTCTCATCTGCTAATTTGTATTCACCCAGTGTGTTAACAGTAATTGTGAGAGAATTAGAGACGGCTACTGCAGTGGTTTGTGAATTACGTCAATGTTTCAGCCCCTAAAAGGATTCTGCAATTTTGTCAAAGGATTTCAAAGCACATGCTGAAATACATACTAGGATTTTTATTTGTTTGTTTGTTTCTATGTACCACGTTTTGTTTATACTAGGTTCTCAAACATGTGTCTCTCTCTTTAGAATTGTAAAATTAAGCTTACATGTAGTTAATTTTTAGAAAGAGAAAAGAAATTCAGGGAGGAGCACATTCCCTTGTATTTCACGGTCAGCTTTAAAAGCAGTCTTTCCCTAAAGCAGGAAAAAACGAATCAGTCTAAGAGCAAAATAAGTTGTAGCAAAATACTCTGTGCATGGTGTGTTTGTGTGCAGGTGTGTGTGAGCATGTTTGTGTGTCAGTGTGTTCATGTGAGTATATGTGAGTTGGCAAGTGTGTGTTTGCAAAAATTCTATCAGTGAGAAAAATCGAGTTTGCAAAAATTCAATCATCAGTGATAAAAATTATAACAGTAAGCTGAGCTAACCCACCCCTCATCTTGCCTTTCTCTTAATTATTCCTGCGCTATTGGGCCAAGCGAACTTGGGAAGACATTTAGGCTACAGTTTAAATGATAATAGGCCTTGCCCAGAAACCCAACCACAGTTGTAAAGCTGATGGGAGGCCATCGGGCTGCAGGGAGGAGGACAGCCTGATTCCTGCTAAGGCACAGACATGAAGGATTGCCAGCTGTTATTCCAGAGGTTATAAGATGTGCAACTTCCCCAAGTACTCTTGTAAATAACATCACTATTGTGGAACCTAAGATTGGCCTTTTGAGATAACTTTTCAGTCTTTTTGCATGTCTGATACCCATGGCTCCACCTGGACCCAGCAACCCCCCCTCCTGTGGCCCCACCCAGAAGCAATTCAGCCTTCAGGAGGACAGCTTCAACCCCCTAAGATTTCATCATTGCCTTAATCAATCGGCAGCAAGCACCTGTTACCTGCTACCCCGACCCCTTCCCTTAAACTGTCTTTGAAAAGCCCCTAACCTACAAGCTTTGGATGAGATGATTTTGTTACAAGAAAGGGGTCCCAATCCAGACCCCAAGAGAGGGGTTTTGGACTTCACACAAGAAAGAATTCCAGGTGAGTCCATAGAGTAAAGTGAAAGCAAGTTTATTAAGAAAGTAAAGGAATAAAGAATTGCTACTCCATAGGCAGAGCAGTGGTGTGGGCTGCTCAACTGGATACACTTATGGTTATTTCCTGATTATATGCTCAATGAGGGGTGGATTATTCATGAGTTTTCCAGGAAAGGGGTAGGCAGTTCCAGGAACTGAGAGTTCCTTCCCTTTTTACACCATATAGTATAGGGGAACTTCCTGACATTGCCCTGGCATTTGTAAACTGTCACAGCGCTGGTGCAAGTGTCTTTTAGCATGCTAACGCAGGATAATTAGCCTATATGAGCAGTGAGGATGGCCAGAGGTCACTTTCGTGGCCATCTTGGTTTTGGCCTGCTTCTTTACCGCATCCTGTTTTATCAGCAAGGTCTTTGTGACCTGTATCTTGAGCTGACCTCCTATCTCATCCTGTGATTAAGAATGCCAGACCTTCAGGGAATGCAGCCCAGCAGGTCTTAGCTGCATTTTACCCAGCCCCTATTTAAGATGGAGTTGCTGAGGTAGGAGAATCATCTAAGCCTACGAAGTCAAGGTTGCAGTGAGCTGTGGTAGAGCCTGGGTGATAGGGGTAAGACCCTGTCTCAAAAAAGCAAAGAGGAAGGTGCCTGGCTCCAGAGTCCCCAAGAATGCCTTTCAAGACACTGTTACTACAGATCAAGAGACTATAATCTTTACTTTTCCAAGTTAGCCTTAATTTTTAAAATAACATAGTACTTTTTAATTATGGTAAAATATACCTAAAATAAAATTTACCATTTTAGCATTTTGTTGTTGTTGTTGTTGGTGGTGGTGGTGGTGGTTTCTTTTCTTTTCTTTTTTTCTTTTTTGAGACAGAGTCTCACTCTCTCACCCAGGCTGGAGTGCAGTGGCGCAATCTTGGCTCACTGCAGCCTCTGCCTCCCAGGATTAAGCAATTGTCATTCTCAGCCTCCCAAGTAACTGGAATTACAGGCATGCACCACCACGCCTGGCTAATTTTTCTATATTTAGCAGAGATGCGGTTTCACCATGTTGTTCAGGCTGGTCTCGAATTCCTGGCCTCCAGTGATCCGACTCGCCTCGGCCTCCCAAAGTCCTGGGATTACAGGCTTGAGCCACTACGCCCAGCCCACTTTAGCCATTTTTGAGAGTTTGGTGGTATTAACTACAGTACATTCATATTGTGCAACCATCACCACTATCTATCCCCAGAACTCTTTTCACCTTGCAAAGCTGAATCTTTGCACTCATAAGAGTGCAAACAATAAGTTCTCATTTCTCACCCTCCACTGCACCAGCTTCTGGTAACCACCATTCTACTTTCTGTCTGTGTGAATTTGCCCATTCTAGATATTGCATAGCAGTGGAATCATAATATTTGTTGTGTTGTGTCTGGCGTCCTTTACTTACCATAATGTCATCAATATCTTCAAAGGAGCCAAGACCGAATGGGAATTTCATCTGGACCAGGTGCTGCTGCAAGGTGCTCATGGAGTCATGACTACCTTTTGCGGAAAGTGCAGTCTCTCTTTCTCGCAATACAGACCTGCGATTTCTAGATGAGAATTAGTTACTGTATCTCCGAGTAACCTACAATAAAAAGTGAATATCTCATATTTGTTCTCAGAGCTGAACTAAGAAATACCACATACCAGGTGATTTAAAACAGCAGGCATGTATCCTCTCACAGTTCTCAGGTCAGAATTCCGGAATCAAGGTGTGGACAGGGTCATGCTTTCTCTGACGGCTCTAGGGGATGATCTGTTTCATTGCCTCTCTCTTAGCTTCTGTAGGTGGCCAGCAATCTTTGGAGTTTCTTTGCTTGTGGCTGTGTCACTCCAATCTCTGCCTCTGTCTTCACATGATCTTCTTTTTGTATGTGTCTGTCTCTTTGTCTCTTCTCTTGTTATAAGGATACCACTCATCTTGGGGAACAGGTGGTGTTTAGTCACATGAGTAAGTTCTTCAGTGGTGATTTCTGAGATTTTGGTGCATCTATCACCTGAGCAGTGTCCACTGTATCCAATATGTGGTCTTTTATCCCTCACTCCCCTCCCACCCTTTCCCCGAGTCCCCAAAGTCCATTGTGTCATTCTTATGCCTTTGCATTCTCATAGCTTAGCTCCCACTTGTGAGTGAAAACATAGGATGTTTGGTTTTCCATTCCTGAGTTACTTCACTTAGAATAATGGTCTCCAACTCCTTCCAGGTTGCTGTGAATGCCATTAGTTCAGTCCTTTTCATGGATGAGTAGTATTCCATGGTGTATACATGCCACATTTTCTTAGGATACCACTCATATTGGATTGAGGTCTCACCCTACTTCAGTATGACTTCATCTTAACTATTTATGTCTGCAAGGACCCTGTCTCTAAGAAAGGGTACATTCTGGGGTCCAAGGGGTTAAGATGCCAACATATCTTTTTGGGGGGAACAGAATTCAACAGATAAAAGCCTACGTTCTTCCTCATTATATTTGGTCATCACTGGCAGTTGAGTTTTCTTCTGCCTTAAGAATATGGAATGGTGTAGGTCAAGCTTGTCCAACCCATGGCCTGCGGTCTGCATGCAGCCCAGGACAGCTTTGAATATGGCCCAACACGGATTTGCAAACTTTCTCGAAACATTATGAGATGTTTTTGCATTTTTAACAAAACTCAGCAGCTATCATGAGTGTTAGTGTATTTTATGTGTGGCCCCAGTTTTTCTTCCAACGTGGCCCAGGGAAGCCAAAAGATTGGACATGCTTGGTGGAGTGGCTTCCAGGCAAGAGGTTTCATAAGCCTCGCACCATAGCTCTGTTTTTACTAGAGCCGACACTCTCTCCTGCTTTTAGCAGAGCTGACACACGCAGGGAAGACCAATGCTGTGGATAGTTCTGAGGAGGTCCCGAGCTTGTCATGAGGGTAAAATGTTCTTGGCATCAGCAACTGTTCTTCCCACCCCTGAACATGTTTGAGTCCTGAGAATATGTCACCTTTATGTCAGGGACACATTTTCTCCCAGAAATTTCATTCTTCAATTTTTAAACTCTTTGTCCTCTGGGTTGAATTTTATGCTGTTAACTGTGAACATTTTCCATTTCATGCTAGTTTATAGTTTATAAAATACCTATAATGAAATGCTCATTTTTGACCTTCCCAACAACTCTCTGTGAAATAGGTTGAACAATTATCATTCACTCTCTTTTCAGCGATGTCATTGAAACCTAGAAAAGCATTAAATAGCTTGGTAAAAGTCTCCCAAGGTTTAGAGTTGGACAAGGCACAAAAATTCAGGTTATCTTGAATCCACTCTATGACTTCAAATTATTGTTAGAGAAAAAAATGTAACTGAAACATAGAGAAAAAAGGAGCGTTTATATACTTTCTGTAGATGTCTTTAGTTTTACATTAGTAACCCTTTCTCATCATATTAACACCTTTATTTAATTATTTGTTCTTTTTCTTAGGACACCAAAGCCCTATTTCCTTCTTTATTTATTCATCTGGAGACAGAGTCTTGCTCTGTTGCCCAGGCTGGAGTGCAGTGGTGCGATCTTGGCTCACTGCAACCTTCACCTCCTGCGTTCAAGCAATTCTCCTGCCTCAGCCTCCCAAGTAGCTGGGATTACAGGCATGCACCACCATGCCTGGCTAATTTTTGTATTTTTAGTAGAGACGGAGTTTCACCATGTTGTCCAGGCTGCTCTTGAATTCCTGGCCTCAAGTGACCTGCCCGCCTTGGCCTCCCAAAGTGTTGGGATTAGAGGTGTGAGCCACCGTGCCCGGCCTTTTTTAAAATTTCTGTTTTTACTTTTTGCAGGGCATTTGCAAAAAGACATCCTAAAACATAGTTAGACTATTACATGAACTTTTTACTCAAGTCCTTTGGTGTGGCATGAAATTAAGTTGAAAACTAGCACAACGATTGTAAGCCTAGCTAGTGATATTTTGCTTCCACACTAAATTACACAATTGAGAATTTTACAAAGGATTGTACCAGAGACAAGAGTTGGTCATTCAAGCAACAGATGGTTCCACGTACTTATTCGTGTTCAGCTAAAAATTAAGAAAAAACAAGAAAGAAAAACTTCAACAAAGATTAAAGATTTTGTGAGAGCGATAGATTTTAGTAAAACTGCTTCATTATTTTCCCAGGAATTCTCATGAAACAGTTTTAGCATGTGTATTTTGGGGGTGGCTGGAGATACAGACATTTGCTAATAAACTTTCTTTTGAGAATATTTATTTATATATTTATACAAATTTATGAAATAGAAGTGCAATTTTGTTACATGCATAGGTTGTGTGGTGGTCAAGTCAGGACTTTTAGGGTTTTCTTCTTTGCTAAAATTAAATAGGGCCGGGCTAACTTTCTTCCACTATTTTTTATGGTGGTAAAACACACATAATGTGAAACTTGCCATTTTAACCAAAGTGTGCAATTCTGTAGTACTAAATATATTCACAATGTTTTGCAAATATCACCTCTATCTATATCCAAAATATTTTCTTACTCCAAAGAGAAAATCTATACCATTATGCAACAACTTTCCATTTCCTCTCTCCCTCCTTCAGCCCCTAGTAACCACCAATCTCCTTTCTGTCCCTGTGAATTTGCCTTCTCTAGATATTTCATATCAGCCAAATCATACAATATGTGTTCCTTCTTGTCTGGTTCCCTTCACTGAGCATAATATCTTCAAAGATCTTCCATGTTGTAGAAGAACATGGCATGAGTCAGCTTCTTTAATTTTTATGGCTGAATAATGTATTCCATTGTGTGGCTAGACTCCATTTTGTTTGTTCATGTATTGGTTGATGGACATTTGGATTGTTTCTATCTTTTGACTATTGTGAATAATGTTTTCATCTGTTCGCATCCCTGTTGTCCATTTGTGAAAGTATATACCTAGGTGTGAAGCTGCTGAGTCAGGTGCTAATTCTGTGCTTAACTTTTTTTTTTTTTTTTCTTTTTTTTTTTTTTGAGATGGAGTATCACTCTGTCACCCAGGCTGGAGTGCAGTGGCACGATCTCGGCTCACTGCAGCCTCCACCACCTGGGCTCAAGTGATTTTCTCATCTCAACCTCGTGAGTAGCTGGAACTACAAGCAGATGACACCACACCTGGCTAATCTTTTTAATGTTTCGCACAGATGAGGTCTCACTATGCTGCCCAGGCTGGTCTCAAACTACCGGGCTCAAAAGATCCTCCCACATCAGTCTCCCAAATTCCTGAGATTATAGGTGTGAGCCACCATACCCTGCGTGGAATAATGTTAAATCAAGGGACTAAGTGAATCAATGTACCTGTTCTATAAATGTAACAATCTGGCCGGGAGTGGTGGCTCACGCCTGTAATCCCAGCACTTTGGGAAGCCAAGGTGATCACCTGAGGTCAGGAGTTCGAGACCAGCCTGGCCAACATGGCGAAACCCCATCTCTACTAAAAATACAAAAATTAACCGGGTGTGGTGGCAAGTGCCTGTAGTCCCAGCTACTCGGGAGGCTGAGACAGGGGAATTGCTTGAACCTGGGAGGCCGAGGTTGCTGTGAGCTGAGATCGTGCCACTGCACTCAAGACTGGGCAACAGAGTGAGACGCCATCTCAAAAAAAAAAAAAAGGTAATAATGTCACCATGCATGTATGTGTGTGTGAATCTGTGTCATCTGTAGCAAATTACAGTGAAGACAAGGTGGGGAATAAGGAATTCTAGGAGTAAGACTACATTACAAGGACCATGAGACGTAATTATTTACTTGCATCTCACAGTTGTGTAAGATCTCCTAAATGCATGCGTTGACCTACTAAATGTTAAAGGAAGTACTGGAATCTGCAAGACACTAAGCTACTTAGTCACAGAGAGGGGTTAGAACTAGAGCATCCACCTCTCCGCCTTCCATTTTACTTTATTTTTCCATTAGTCCTTCAAATGTGTAGCCAACTATAGCTCATTCCACTGTGAGGATTGTCTGTGCCATTCACTGCATCACTTGATTCCTCTTCCTGAGAAAGTCAACGCATTAATAGATTATCACTCTGGTTTGTCATTTTGAGTATCTCATTTTCCTTTTAGAATGCCAGAGTGGCTCTCTCTTGGCTCTTCATTAAACAATCATTATAATCACAGGTTTGAAGGTGTCCATGCCTGAACTTCCGTTATCTAATTGCTGTCATTTACTAAGTGCTTTTGTTACCTGAGTTCAGAGAACAGATGCTCCCCCACCCCAAACCAAACCAGGCCAATTTGCAAAATCCCTTTTTAATAGCACATTTCTCTGTATGTCTGTTGTTATCAATTTCTTTGTTTCTTTGGGGACACCATACTGATGGCAGACAAGAAACCAAAATTCCCATCTTGGCTCAGTTTTACAATCAAGGTGAGCCTTTGGTAATATAAAAATATCTCTCTTCCCTATGGCCTCTCTTCATCCTCCCCATCCTCTCTCTTCCCTCCCCTTAACTTCCTTCTTTCCTTCCTTCCATTTTCTTTTGACATTCCTTCCTTTTGACTTCCTTCCTTCTTCCCTCTTTCCTCCCTTCCTCCCTCCCTCCCTCCCTCTTTCTCTTTCTTTCTTTCTTTCTTTCTTTCTTTCTTTCTTTCTTTCTTTCTTTCTTTCTTTCTTTCCTCTTTCCTCCTCCTCCTTCCCTCCTCCTCCTCCTTCTTCTCCTTCTTCTCCTCCTCCCCCTCCCCTCCCTCCCTCTCTTCCTTCCTTCCTTCCTCATTTTCCCCTCCCTCCTTCCTTTCTTTCATCCCTCCTTTCCTCCCACGTTTTCTCTTTCCCTTCCTTCTGTTTTCTTTTATCCATCCTTTCTTTTTTCCTCCTTCCTTTCTTCATCTGTCTCTTCTTCTCTTCTTTCCTCCCTCTTTCTGCCTCCCTCATTCTCTCTCTCTCTCTGTTTCTTTTCCTCCCTCCTTTTTTCTTTCTCCTCCTTCCCTCCCTTCCTCCCTTCCATACCTATCCAGAAGCTACACATATCTTGCTCATTTATGGGCTATGCATGATACCTGTTATCATCTCCCCCTCACTGGGTGGTGTGGAGGTCAAGATGGTGAAAATGACATCACTACTTCTTTCAATCTTCATTTCCAGGTGTGTGGCAAATATAAACTGCTCACCACAAAGCCTGACAAATAATAGGTACTTTGGGGAAGAAAATTATTATTCGATGGATGAGGTAGATGTAGGTGACACCCAAGGCTACACAGACAAATTGACAGAATTATATTCTGGGAGAGGGATGAGGCACAAGCTTGCAAATTCATACTTGTCAGAGATTACTTGTTGGAATACAGTCCTGACTTTGATATTGGTTTGCAAACCTGTGTCTCTGTGTTTGTGATTCTTTTCCGAATGTGGGGTTTCATAATGAAATTTGCTTTCCAAATCTCCTCTATTTGATAGACTGTTATATTTGAAAATACTTTAAATCAGGGTGTTCTCTCTCATCTTTCTCTCTAGGACCTACACTTGCATGTTGGGGTTCTGATAAAGAAACAGATAACTACAGACATACAGAGAAATGTGCTATTAAAAAGGGATTTTGCAAATTAGCCTGTTTTTGTCCCAGGTGGGGGAGCATCTGTCCTCTGAACTCAGCCAACGAAAGCACTTAGCAAATGACAGCAATTAGTTAACTGGAGCTCAGGCATGGACACCTTCAAACCTGTGATTATAATGATTGTTTAATGAAGATGCATGTCAGTTGTTCCAGACACCCCATTCTCAGAATCCCCTTGTTCCTCACAGCATAGACCTTGGGGCTATTATCAGTTGTATATTTTTTTCTCTGTCATCATCACCACATTAAGAATAACTTTAAATAATATCTTTATGCCAGATAGATTGTGATAAGATAAGGGCCAAACCTGGTCTACACAAATTGAGTGTGGCTTCAGTGGAATGTGTAACTACAATTCCACTGATGGATTCTTCCTACAGGTTAGGGATATGACTCATTGGGGTGGCGATGAACAGTAATTAATCTGAGTCTCCTCCAAGGAGAAATCAAATGTTGCTTTGGGGGAGGCCTTTGACAGGGCACACTTGTAAACTTCGAGAAGATAACAATTACAGGTTTATGCTCTCAAAGTGAGGAGCCCATCCCTGGAAGAGGTTGATGTATACTTAGCTGTCTCCTGGGGCTTTGAGGGTATTATCTTATATTGAAGTCGATGATTAATTATCATGCTGCTTGGAGAATCATTGAAGCACAGCTTGCAGCCTGAGTTGATTGAAAGCCGGTGTCCAATGTAATTACCAGCTTGTCTATCAGATTTCTCAAAATAGAATGTGAGGACTCGCATGGGGCTGTTTAAAATATTCAGATTTGCATTATTTGGGATCTCAACATTTAAAACATGCATCCAAAGAGAAATTACTTTCAATATTTGTTCCCCCAAAATTTCATGATGGCATTGATGTAAAATTTTTTTTTAGCAGTGAAAGGACCATAAAATAAAAATAAAAATTTAAAAGCCACTTTATATTTAAATTATATTTCATCAATATGTGTAGTGGATGCATCAAATAATACAAATTTAGAAAATGTTCAGGTTTAATTGGAAAGGTTATAAGCACAGAAATTAAGACACAAATTTAAATATTTCTATATATTTAACGAGTTCAATTGTAATGTGAAAAGTTCAAAAATATGAAACATATGCACAGTTGCCATTAATTGAATTTAGAAGTCAGACAAAAATAATAAATATACCATCCTTTGATTTTTACCAGTGTATAAATATAATGTCAATGCAATAAAATAATATGCATCAGCAGAAATAAAATGGGCACATGAGAGAAACTTGCACACACACACACACACACACACACACACACAAGCTAAGTGGTTAAAACATTTTGATCCAAACCCACTCCTTCTTTAGACAATTTTTCTTTTGCTATGACATTTCCAATCCGTGGACTGTAATGAATTTCTGGACAGAGCCATGCTTCTCAAATTTCTAGCCAACTGGAGAATTATACAACATGGTGTGATCTTGTCTCTCAGAACCAGATCTCCATCACTTAGTGGTTTTAATCATTGTAGTACTCCTCACCCTCTTACTTTCAACTCATTATATGGAAATGATTTAATAATAATTCTTGCTTTATGACTTATTCTCATTTGTAGTACATAAATCATTCCCTCTTCTTCTTTCCCGCCTCCCTTTCTCCTTCCCTTCCTCCCTCCCTCCTTCTTTCCTTCCTTCCCCCGTCCTTCCCTCCCTCCCTTCTCTCCTTTTCTCTTTTCTCCTTTCTTGGTTCATCTCTCCTTTATCTTCCTTTACTTTCTTCTACTTATACCTCACGTTCACAAAAATGTCACCTCGACAATATGTTATAACTACTTGTGGTTTCCCCTTCATTTCATTTCTCTGCCTTCTTGGCTTAAAGCAAGGACCCCCCCTAAATTTGTGGTTGTTAAATTTGTGGTTGCTTTAATTTTGATAAAGTTTATGCATATATTCTTTTTTTTAGACAGGGTCTTGCTCTGTCTCCCAGGCTGCAGTGCAGTGGCATGATCAAGGCTCACTGCAGCCTCAACCTCGCCAGGCTCAAGTGATCTCCCCACCTCAGCCACCCAGCGTTGCTGGGACTATAGGTGCACATCACCATCCCTGGCTAAATTTCATATATTTTTGTAGAGATGGGGTTCGCCATGTGCCCAGGCTGGTCTCAAACTCCTGGGCTCAAGAGATCCACCTGCCTCAGCCTCTCAAAGTGCTGGGATATGTATATATTATTTAAAAATATATATTTTTTAATCTAAGTTTTAAACTTAAAGCATATTACGTTGTTTGTAATATGTTTGAACTTGTTTAATATGTTGCAAAGTTTCATGTATGTTTTATGCTATCTCCTGGCTGATTTATTTTGATTGCAATGTAATATTTTATTGCCTTAATCTACTACAAAGTTTCACCTATAATTTGGGCTGAGCCCTGGTTGATTCCTTTTTGACCAGAGTATATTTCATTGTAGTAATATGCTAATATTCCAACAGCCCAGGATTAGCAGTGAGGTACTGCCTCAGGAATGTAAATTTCCCACAAGTTTAAAAGAAAGCAAAAATGTCTTTGTGTAGGTAGAAACAAAAGGAGTCCTGTTAGCAATTCATGTGAGGAATTAAAGATTTTTTTTAAATATCATATGGTTTACCTTTCCGATACATAAGGCAATAATGACAATAACAAATAAACAAATTGAAGTTCTCTTTCTCCTTGAATATAAAGGGAAATTATAAAAATGAAAAAAAATTAAAAAAGAGATCTCATTGTCCATTGATTGTTTTTGTTTGGTTTGGTTTGGTTTTGCTTTGCTTTGTTTCTGCAGAAACAGTAACAAGTCTCTAAAGGAGCTTATATTAGAAACAATACATCAACATTTACTAAGGAAGCCAAAAAATGGACTGAATGCTTCAGTATTCCAATTACCCTTTAAAACTAACTAACAAGTTGCTTATTCCTGTTCCTGACATCTAAAACAGTCTGGGCACTTGTATGTGCTTAATCCGTATTTCTTAAAATGAGGAATGCCTCACTATTCATAAGAAAGTGAAGTCATAATTTTTTCATTGGATAATTTATGTTATAATAGTGTCCTTCATAATTGGAGAAGTTGACGAGAAGGATAAATAATAAAATGACTACTGGGAGATTTTTACCATCACTAAGTTCCTCTTTATGCCTTTTTTCATAGAGGGCTTCTATCATCTGCATTATGCAAAGTATGAGATAAACAACGCTAATGATAAATATAATAAAAAGTGTAAACTAATAGAGCAGTGTTGGTTTAGTAAAGAAATACTGAGGCCAGGCATGGTGGCTCATGCCTATAACCCCAGCCCTTTGAGAGTCCAAGGCGGGTGGATCACCTGAGGTCAGGAATTCGAGACCAGCCTGACCAATATGGCGAAACCCCGTCAAATTAGCCGGGTGTGGTGGCGAGTGCCTCTAGTCCCAGCTACTCAGGAGGCTGAGACAGGAGAATTGCTTGAACCCTGGAGGCGGAGGTTGCAGTGAGCTGAGATCGTGCCACTGCACTCCAGCCTGGACAACAGAGTGAGATGCCATCTCAAAAATAATTAATTAATTAATTAAAAAATAAATAAATAAAATAGTGAAGGAATACAGAAAAAAATCTATTTTCTTCCCCATAATGGCAATTTTACAGATTTTTTATGTGAAGTTGCATTTCTTTTTTGCATGGAAATATGTAAGTTTTATTTTAAAGTAATTCCCTCTCCACCTAGGGTGTATAAAATGTTGCCCTTGAAGTAGGTGTGGTCTGTAGGATGAAATGGAGGCTGGTTGCACCCTTTGCACAGTATGAGCTCCAAATCCCCCTATGACAAATGTAATTCCAAGAAGAAAGCCCTTTGTGAGCTCGGCTGTTGGAGACATGCAATCGATACAGGAAGACAGTTTACATATCTTCCTTTACTCCCAGTTCAATTACAAGCCCATGGAACATGACTGGTGCATGAATATTTCCTAATTAAATCTACTCTGATTTTTTAAATTAGGAATTTAGCTGTGGTGTTCAGTCACCAAATCTTGCTACTGTTTTTATTGCAGAGACCTACTACTTAGAAGGCACTTGAAAACAGTGTGCTAATAATAAATTGTGAATAATAAACAGCAAAGACATGGCAGCTGGTGGTGGCATTTAAATTCCTCAAAAAATGTTATTATCATTCCTTGAGTGCCTACAAGGTTGCAGACAACTTGTTAAAGTTTTTTCATTCATTAGTTCATTAAATCACTACAATGGCATCCTGAAGTGACTCTTATCCCTGTCTTACTTGTGAGGGAATTAAAGTCCAGGAAGATTACAGCACTTTGCTTGGGATAGGAAATAGCCTAACTACGATTAGGGTGGAGGCTCTCACGTCTATGCCTTTGATTATAATCATTGCCACATCCTTGGAATGCATCACTTACATGCCTTTATGACCATAAAGCAAGCAACTCCTTCCTTTCTTCTTCCTAGCCCCTGTCTGTCATTTATTTATGACTGTGGTGGCCAGAAAGACAGCATGATATACTTATTCCATAGGATGGCACATCTAACTTTCCTGAAAGATGCAGTAGAATGCATCGTGACTTAGGAGCAAAATGCATCATGCCTAGCTTGGATCAACAGTGAACTCCAGAGGAAACTGCAGGTGCTGGGCTTGAACTCATGGTGACTTCTAGGAAAGGGATGAAAACTGACTTTCTGTGATAGATTGGATCATTTGTCCCTCAAAGACATCCACTTCTTGACTTCTGGGATCTGAATATGTTCACCTACATGACAAAAGCCTTCACAGATCTGGTCAAGTTAAGGGTGTCAAGATGACAGGTCATCTTCAATTATCCAAGTGGTCTCACTTTTATCACATGGATCCTTATAAGACATAGACAAGAATGTCAAAGAAGAGAGGAGATTTGGTGACAGAAGCAGAGATGGAATGATGTGCTTTGAAGGTAAAGGAAGAGACCATGAGTCAAGGAAGACTCCAGAATTTGGAAAAGTCAGGGAATGGATTCTCCCTGGAATCTTCATAAAGAACCAGCCATACCAACTCCTTGAATTTAGCCCCCTAAGACTCATCTCAGACTTCCAATCTCCAGAACTATGAAAGAATCAATGTGTGTTGTTTCTTAAGCCAATGGGTTTGCAGTAATTTCTTATAGCAGCAACGTAAAACTCATACATCCTCCCATCAGGCAAACTTAGTCACCTCTTCATTGTGGACCAATTTGGAAATGATTTCTTTTTTGCATTTATCAGTAGTCTAGTCATTTATCTAAAGGAGAGCTGTGCAAGAGATTAAATTGCACAGGCTTTTCTAGCCAGTGAGTCCTGTACCTCCCTTGAAAAACCAGATGACTCAGAGAGTTCTTACTTATTTCAATCAAAGGCAACTAAAATGTAAGCCAGGCCTCTCTGCATGTCTCAGGTCACGCAACTTAGAACTGCAGTTTATAGATAAGGAGCCCAAAACACACTGAGTTATAAATCAGAGACTTTATTTTAGTCTTCATTTCACCTAATACATATTCCCTACAGGTAACTGAAACAATCTCTGGAGATTTTTAAGGACTGATTTGATTTTTTTCTCTTTCTTTCTTTCCTCCTCTCTCTCTTTCTTTCCTTCTCTCTTTCTTCCTTTCTTCTTTCTTTCCTTTCTTTCTTTCTTTCTTTCTTTCTTCTTTCTTTCTTTCCTTTCTTTCTTTCTTCTTTCTTTCTTCTTTCTTTCTTTCTCTTTCTTTCTTTCTCTTTCTTTCTTTCCTTTCTTTCTTTCTTTCTTCTTTCTTTCTTTCTTTCTTTCTTTCTTTCTTTCTTTCTTTCTCTTTCTTTCTTTCTTTCCTTTCTTTCTTTCTCTCTCTCTCTCTCTCTTCTTTCTTTCTTTGTTTTTTAGAGACAGGGTCTTGCTCTGCCACCCAGGCTGTAGTGCAGTGGCATGATCACAGCTCACTGTGGTCTCCAACTCCTTGGTTCAAGAAATCCTCCTGCCTCAACCTCCCAAGTAGGTGGGACTGCAGCCTTGCATCACCACATCTGGCTATTTTTTAATTTTAATTTTAAGAGATGGGGTCTTGCTATGTTGCCCAGGCTGGTTTCAAACTCCTAGCCTCAAGCAGCTCTCCTGTTTTGGCCTCCCAAACTGCTGGGATTACAGGTTTAAGACCTGATGCCTGGCTCATTTTCTTTTTGCTTTTTCTTTTTCATCTTCTCTCTTCCCTTGAAAATGATAGTGTGCAGTGCTATATAGAATATGATTCTAACACAGTTGTTCCCAAACTTGAGAGAATATCAGGAGCATCTAGAGGGCTTGAAAAAAACACAGATCACTGGGCACTGTCCCAGAGATTCTGATATTGTGTGTCTGAGGTGCAGCCAGAGAATTCATGGCACCAGGAAATTCCCCAGGGATGACAATGCTTTCTCTCTTGGTAGGATACTTTGGAAACTACTACATTTGTTTTTAGTCTACTTGAATGAACCAATGCAATGATTATCAACCTGGGGTATTTTCTACACCCCTGCCCACCCCCCCATCCCCCACAATGACACTTGACACTGTCTGAAGACATGCCAATTGTCACATCTTTAAGGAGGGAGAGGTATTGCTACTGGCATCTAGTTTGTGCAGGCCAGAAATGCTGCAAATCATCCTACAATGCAAAGAGCGGCCCCTACCACAAAAAAAAATCATCTGATGCAAAATGTCATTGGCTTATGGGTAAGATATTGGGCTGCCTATGTTGATGTCTTCACATGCTGTAACTTTGCACCTTTGACTAATTTTCTGAATGCCTCTATACCTACCTCCATTTATTAACTGATTAAAAAGAAATAAAATGTTAATAGATTTCTACAAAAGCTGAAGCGAGATAATGCTACAAATTGTCTAGCAGATTATAAACTCACAGTAAAAATGGGTTGACGTAAAATATATCTCTCCACTTCAATTACACGTTTTTTCCTTCTCAAGAAATGTATGACAGAATGAAAATGGGCTGAGGTGTTGACTTGGTTGAGCAATCTGCCGTAACAATCTCCCAAATTCTCACCCTGCAAAAATGATCATTGACTCATGTTTAAATGATGGGCTTTGAGAATTGTGCAATGACTTCTTTCTTGGCCCCCCCGATAGAAACTATCTGATACTGCCCTGGAAAACAAACAAACAAACAACAACAACCAAAAAAACCAGAATTAGGATCAAACCTCCAGAAATCAGTTCCACTTTCCATTTGGCAGAGTCAACAAGCATATCTTATTTGTAGCTCTTCACCGCATATATTAAATTTCAAAATGAACCCACCAGGGTTAGAGTCCACATAGAGATGTCTTTTACAGAAATTTGTCCATGGTTTTGCTAGGTACATATCAGCCCTTGTTTAAGCATTGGAAAAGCATATTTTTAAGGACTGTGTGCGTGTGTGATTTAAGAGGTTTTGTTTTTTTTTTGAAGCCTCTTGATGTTATAAAATTTATGGTTTTTAAAATGGCATTCTCCAATGTCTTTATCTCTAGGGCCTGCTGTTTTGATATTTAATACATGAGATGTGTCAGATAGAACGTGGAGTAGGAGGATTGCCTATCAAAATTACAAATGACATGGAGCCATTATCCTGGGGAACTTTTCAAAGAAAGTAGCAGAAAGTACAAGGTGTTTTTATGGGGCTCTGACACCCGTCTGCTTTGAACTCTGTCCTCAACTCTTAATTGCTAGTAGAATGTGTCTCCAGATGAGCCCTTTGATAGTTCTGTCTTTGCAGACTTAGCCTACAGGGGAGTAAACAGCCTTTATTTTTTGCATAAGAGAGTCTTCAGATGCAACATTTATAAATACAAGAAGCAACCTGTAGGGCACAAAAAAGAAAAAAGATGATTCTGCATGTTAACTGGTAGAGAATATTCTGAGCGCTGTTGCCTGAGTAAAGATAAGGAAGAGGGACCATGCTGTGCCTCTGCAGAGACTTGCCTGTCTGGAGCTGAATTTGCTCGGCAAAATTGACTAGGATTATTTGATCTGAGTTAGTTTCTCTCCGAGGCAGGTGTGGGCACTAACGTGTCTGTTGGGGCTCCATTGCTATAATGGAATATGGCAAGGAGAGGGCCCCTAGGAAGTGATTATTCTGAAACTTCAGCAGTTGTTTATCTATATTTTTTAAAACAGGCTCAGCTTTTAAATGAGTGCCACTAAGAAAGGGAATCAATGGCTTGGATTTCTTGAAAATATTGTAAAACTTCACCAGGCTAGTCTGTGTTACTGTAAGTGCTGTCTTCTCTCATCTTATAACTGTGGAAGCAGTATTACAACAATTACATGAAATGTCCTCTGTAACCTACTTTTCCCTGGTTATTCTTTTACTTATATAAAGTATCGTTCACATCTTTTAATGTGGCCAACCAAATCCTCTGAGGCATAGAAACATGCCATCCATTTTCTTTCTAAACTTTTAATTAAATGCCAAAAGAATTTCCCATCAAGTCAAAAGCAACAAAGACAAAAATGGACCTCCCGACTTGATCTTGCATTCTGTTCTACAGACTCCAGATCTCTCTTCCTTTTAGCAGCTAAACCACATAGAAAAACTGAAATCTCAGACTTTACCACCATACAATTTATCCATGTAACCAAAAACAACTTGTACCCCCAAGCTATAGAAATATATATATATATATATATATATATATATATATATATATACACATATTTCTTCTGTTCATCTTCACTCATACGGATGTTAGATTCTCTTGCCTTGACCGCTACAAATACTTGTTTTTCTTTTGTGAAGTCTTATGGCAATGCTGCTAATCCGTATCATGCCCTGTATAAAACCCTTTAGTCTCCCCCTGTTGCTGTAGGATCAGGATCAATCCCCTTAGCTTGGCCTATAAGAATCCCCATGATTCTTCTCTCTACCAAGTCACCCTCCAGCTCAAGTAAATTTCTCTGTTCACCAAATATTTCCTTTATTCATCAATTACATGACACCAGGTATATTGCAGCTCTCATATTCAATGCCAAGAATAATATGATAAACACATCATACAGAACCTCACACTAAACATGGGCTCCATGTTTGATGAATGTGCCGTTTAATTTGGGAAAGTGGATTCTCCATGAGAAGGCAGCCTAATCTGCTGGTTCAGTATCAAGAAAGATAAATAAGTCAGCATTGGTTACCAAGATATAAGGATCAACTCATTTATCTGACTTGCTCTTCCTGTATTTTCACCAGCTGTTTCTTGACTATGACTTGGTCTCCATGATGAGTGTGCTCAAAGGGAGATCCAGCCCTGAAAACGAGGCACTAACACCTGCTCTGTAGGTTCTTGTATTTATTGTTATATAATAAAAAATGCTCTACGAACTGGGGTTCTCACTTTACAATAATTCCTTACCAAACTTTCACAGCATTGTGAGCACACATGGACGAAAGCAACAAATAGTGAAGGAACAGGCTGGATATCACAAATACCTGGACCAATCAAGATATATCATTTTCCTTCTCTTGCATTTAGGGATGTTTCATTTGATTTTTTACAACTTTAAATGATATTTTTACAAAGTTTGCTTTGTCATTTATTTCACTAGAAACAGATTTAATCAGAAAGAAGATCAAGATGAAGGATAAAATTCTAATTAAAACAACATTAACCAACATTAATTTAGGGAGTGGTGGCCAGAGAAGGACTGGAATATTCTAGTAGTCTAGGTTGGCCAATTTCCTTCACTTATTTATACATGCACGAATAAAGCATGCCTCATTTATTGTTTGCACAAACCGTATCAGTGCTAATATTATAGCTGTATAATTGAAAGATGGAAGAAATGGAGAAACCATCAGATAGAAAACTCCAGGCAGAGTTTTCTTCCTATCTTAAAGCTCTATCTCATGGGTGTGCAGAATAAATAAGCAAGAAGGGAATAAGAACAGTATTTAAAAGTCAAGAAACACTCCTGTTCTGACAGGTTGCCACAGAGGTAATGTCTGTAAGCTTTTCCATTTTTCTCTTCAGATGAGAGCTCTGATTCTCTCTAGCACTTCGCTGTAAGATGCCGGGAGACAGATTAAACCTTCAGGAAGCTTATCACAAATAAATTCACATTTAATCATCACAGGTTACCAAAGAAATATTCTGTTTCCTTATAACATTATACAGCCTCACAGCTCCATGGATTTATTTTATTGAAAAAAAGTTAAAAATAATGATAATAACTGAATAGAATTAAGGAATCAGAAAATAAAACTCACTCCCCAAAGTGTGCCTTTAGTTGTTTTCTTCCTCCCACAGTCAAAAGGCAAATGGAAATGTGGATTCTGCACTCAGTGACTTAACCACCTACTGTTAGGGTACAGTTCTTGCAGGATATCAAATTGGGATTTCACTGCCCAGCACAGCAGTGCACCCAACCGTGCTTCTGAGAGACAAATCATCACCAACCGTTCTTCCTCTACCTGTCATCATTATCTACTAACTACGCTTTAATTCAAACTGCAACTTATGTTTCTGCTATGTTGACCACCTCCCCCCACCCTCTCCAATGCTTTGAAAAATATGCAATATTTGTGGTCAGCTAAAGATGAAATTGGCAGACAGGCCAGTCTCTAAACTGCCAAGAGCCAAGGAGCAGCTTTTTTAAAGAAGCTACTTTAAAAACCCAATGCGTCCAACTGTGTGTTGATGGAAGAGTCTCGTGCTCACAAATTCATAAACACTCCATTTTTCCGTGTAGCCACAAGTTCCATCTATATAGGTGTTAAATTTAAATGGTATGCATGATGCAACAGGTCTGTACATTGCAGAACCATAACAGGTTTGGCTTGTTTTCAAAATGCACATGAGACTTTCCCTGTATTCCATAGTGCAGAGTTGGACGTAAGAGGACAAACACTTGAGGGATCAGTTATACTCACCATCTAAGAGTTAAGTAGAAAGTCTATCCACTAAACTCACCACCAGCCATACCCATCTGTAATAGCAATGGGAGTAAGTTGTGACTTCTACTTTTATCATTAATTACCATACCTATTTTTAACCATCATTTCCTTAGTAATGAGTTTGCACAATGTGTCTTGCAAAATAATCATGATATTTATATCATGAAAACATATAATTACTCATTACTGACATCTTAATTAAAATCACAGATTATATCATTGAAATATTGAGATAAAGCTTGCCATGCACTTGATGTAAATATCCAGTGTGTATGGGTGCCAACAGCATCTAGTCATTAACTTTGACTGATTCTTCAACACACAAACCTATCTTACCTCCAGATAGGTTGATATCTTTTTCTTGCTTGCATAATTCTCTTCTTTATTTTTTTCTGAATTTGTCTGCTTTTTATAACTCACTGTGTTGTTAAACAGGCATTGGGAAATAAAATATTACTTGGAGGATGTCAGCCACACTCTTGTGAGCTTGAAAGAGCCAAAGAAATAAAAATGAAGAAAAATGGAGAAGACGGTTTGCACAAGCAAGACATTTTAATTGCACTTCTTCTTACAAAGGGCCATCCTTCAAGCAGGGGAATGCAGGGAGAGATGAACTAAGCTGGCATCACTGTGGGTCCATCACAATTAAAAGTGGCCACTCTTTATGTTGAAATCAAGAAAGTATGGAAAAAGACAAGGTGAAAAAAATGATAGTGAAAAACCTAGGATGCGATTCGATGCAAGTAGAGATTACCCAATGACTAACAACTTCAGTAATAGAGGCACTTATTTATCTCATGTAATAGATCCACAGAGGTAGTCAGAGACATTATCTTGGGTTCTTTATCTCACTTCTCAGCTCCTTTCAGCATGTTTTGTCCTATGTCTGTGGTGGCTACGTGTTCTATATGTACGGTGTTCAGTTCACCTAATGGCTTCTGAACATCCAGTCAGCATGGTTTCACGCTTCTGTGTACATGGCTGCAATAAAGGGTTGGAATCCACTTTTCTCTTTCTCTCTTTCTTTCTTTCTTTCTTTCTTTCTTTCTTTCTTTCTTTCTTTCTTTCTTTTCTTCTTTCTTTCTTTCTGTCTCTCTTTTTCTCTCTTTCTTCTCTTTTTTCTTCTTTCTTTCTTTCTCTCTCCCCCTCCCTTCCTTCCTTGCCTCCTTCCTTCCTTTCTTCCCTCCATTCTTCTTTCTTTCTTTCTTTGACTCCTCCATACCTCCTTTCCTTCCTTTCTTCCTTCCTTCCCTCCTTTTTTTCTTCCCTCTCTTCCTTCCTTTTTCTTTCTTTCTTTCTTTCTTTCTTTCTTTCTTTCTTTCTTTTCTTTCTTTCTTTCTCTCTTTCTTTCTCTCTCTCTTTCTTTCTCTTTCTCTCTCTCTCTTCCTTTATTTCTTTCTGACAGTTTTGACAGGGTCTCACTCTGTTGCCCAGGCTGGAGAACAGTGCTGCAATCATAGCTCCCTGTAGCCTTGACCCCCTGGACTCAAACAATCCCCCCCGCCTCAGCCTCTGAAGTAGGTGGGACTACAGCCTTGCACCACCATGCCCAGGTAATTTTTTTATATTTATTATTTGTAAAGAGAGGATCTTGCTAAGTTTCCCAGGCTGTTCTTGAACTCGTGGTCTCCAGCAGTCTTCCTGCCTTAGCCTCCCAAAGTGCTGGGATTATAGGTGTGAGCCACCACACCTGGCCTGCATTCCATTTCTCTAATGTTTGACTGCAGATAGCGTCCAGGCTTCAGCCCTACCTTTTTCTCTTCCGCCTCCCATCAGGGCAATTGGGTACACAAGCCAGGGTCCTCCCTCCTTGGATGACAGCTGGAAGTGTACCAACACCAGCCCCTCATCACATTAAAAGCCCCAAGTCAGTCTTTCCTGGAAGCGTTACCCATTTTTAGATACTTGGGAAGCCCGCCCTGCCCTTCCTAGAAAGCCTCATTGTGCAAGCAATAAATTTTTCATACCTTCTTGGTGTGTGTGTCTGAGTGTGTATGTAAAATTATCAGCCTCAACAACCAAACAAAATTCAGTGTGGTGGTCAATCTTAGTTTTGTAGGACACCCATACACATTGGGTATTTACATCAAATATATATATTTTTTTCAATTCAAAAGACAGCAAAATTATTTGCAGAGACTGCTTCCTTCAGACTTCATTACATGTCTTTAACCATAAAAACCTTTCCTGACTTTTCCTAAACTGGTCACTTAAGAAAGGGAAATGAGATTCTCTTCTTTGGCTAAGACTCATTATCCTTATGCCCTGGGCTAAGAAAAAGCTGTGTTTGACAGGGCATTTGATTAAACAATATCAGCCTTCAAAAAACGAAAAGAGAAGAAAGAAATGTCTGTTCAGTAGACACCCATGAGTATCTACTACAAGCAATGTAGCAGAAATTTATCCAGACATAATGAGTGTTGAATAGCAGTTCCTTCCTGTAGTTCCAAGTATTAGCAAGCAGTGAACAGCATCTTTAATTTAAAGTTGTGAACATGAAAAACAGATAACCTAGAAGGGCACTGATTTACAGCAATGTGCTACAAAAAAACATGGCTATTTCAAAACTTTTTGTGCAAGTTCATGTATTCTGATAATTTATTAAAGAATGCACAATATTGTGGAAATGCACACACACAAAATTAAGTACTTATGGATAAAAATACCTTCAGCTCTTTGTGATCATGTGGGAAATTAGTTAGAATTAGATCGTCACAGCTTTTAAAAATGACAGGACATGTCATTTAAAAATTCATTCATTTATATAAAATTAACCAACTTGTGTTAGTATATTTTAGCCATAATTATTTGTGGGAGAGCCATAATTCCCTAATTTTACACATACTCAAATTGATTCATTTGAGTTCTGAACAACTAAAGACCTAAATCAGAAAACATGACAAAATCTTTTTAAAATATGGTGCCTCCGGTTGTCATAAAAATCTGTCATAACGTAATATTGGAAGTCTGTTAAAAGCATCCTACTTCAGAACGTTAATCAATATTGAAAAGAAAATGAGTGTTGGTGGTTGTAAGAAAAAGATTTAAAAACATTTTCTTAATCGTTTTAATTTAAGCTTGAAGTAATTTACAGTTTAAAGGAGACATTACCTGAAGCATGTGAATTCTGAGATAGATTTCAAAACTTTGCATGCAAGATTCGTGTATTCTGCTGATTTATTGAAGAATGTGTGATATGGTGGATATGCACGGGGAAAGTGTCAAGTAGTTATAGATAGGTCGATCTGGAGCCCTGGTGTCATGTACAGCCTGAGATAGCTCACAGTCTGGCTGCATGCTTGAGGCATCACTCAGGAGCCTGGTAGGGTACTAGCTTATGAATGTTCATGTGCAACGCCCCTGAGGTCCAACTCAGAGTCATTTGCGTAGAAGAAAATATTTATTTCCGCAACACAATATTATTAAGAATGGTATGTTTTCCAAGCAAGTTCACAAAAAGCTTACCAAAAAGTATAAGATACAAAACACTTTTGATTGACAGCTTTACAATCTAATGTGGTTGTAATCATAACTAAATAAAATAGATTAGAATTGAGTAAGAAAAAAAGTTTAAAATCATCTTAAATGTTAACACATAAAAGGAAATTAATTTTATTTTGACAATGATGAACTGTCAGATGTAATTTGTTTGTTTGTTTGTTTGTTTGTTTGTTTTTGAGATGGTGTCTCACTCTGCTGCCCAGACTGGAGTGCAGTGGTGAGGTCTTGGCTTACTGCAAACTCCGCCTCCCATGTTCAAGTGGTTCTCGTGCCTTAGCCTCTCAAGTAACTGGGACTACAGGCGTGCATCACCATGCCAGCTAATTTTTGTGTTTTTTTAGTAGAGATGGGGTTTCACCATGCTGGCTAGACTGGTTTTGAACTCCTGACCTCAGGTGATCTGCCCGCCTCAACCTCCCAAAGTGTTGGGATTACAGGCGTGAGCCACCGCACCCCGCCCTGAGTTAAATATTTCTTTAAAAAGTACTCACTTAAGTTTTGTGGTGACTAGAGTGTTTTTGTAGATATTCAAACTTCTGATATGCCAAGATAACTTAAAGATAACTCCATTCAAGGAGTCATGATGTTATAAAACTTAACATATAAAAATTTGGAGTTAGGAAGACCCCATTGGTTTTGTTTCCATTTATTTCTCATGCATTGGAACTAACAACGTCAGAGAGTCCAATTCCTCTCACATCTTTGTCTTGTTTTCTCCTACCGGCCACCCTTTGGCGGTCTCGCAGATCTTGCTAGACTGTTTATGGAATCATTTCCATTTCCCTTAGTAGTTTCTGACTCAACATATTTGAAAGTGATTCTACTCAAGGAAGTCAGGCTTAGGTCATGTAGGCTGGGATTTGAAACAGTCATGCATATTTTGTTTTATGATTGTCTTCTTCCAAAAAATAGTAGAAATGACTTTTTTGAAGCACTTGTCTCCAATTTCACCAACAGGTATTCCTTAATGATACAGATAACAGAGCAGTAAGTGCCTTATCTTTTGGGAAATCTTAGTGCATACAGAATGTTTTCCTTGTACAATGACTTCAGTCATTTCATAACTCCTAATACAACCATAACTCTTGGTCAACATCACCTTGGAATCTGAATATTTGGTTTTTGTGTTTGCCCATCTATGGGATAAATACCTTCAGTTCTTGGCAGGGCTCTTTCTTTGGTGCAAATTATGCAAAAAGAAAAGCATTCCTGGTTTCATCTTAAGTGGGTGTAATTATTTTCTACCAGGTGGTTTGTACAAATTCCATGAAACTGCTTTATTCAGCACCCAAAATTAAAGTTTAAAACCACCATACAACGTATATTACTTTTTCAGCAAAAATTTGAAAACAGATTTCATAGAAATGAAGACCATGTTGGAGTTTTTTAAGGTTGCAAGGAAATTATTGATATTAATATAATATTTACTATTATATGATATTTCATTATGTATAGCCATATATTCTGAGAATGTATTTTTTTCCAAAATTAGAGGTGACTCACTTTGTTTTGCTAGTTTACACTTAGATTTGATTTTCTAAGATATAAACATCTATAAATAAATAACATCTAAAGGCAACAAAAGTCCTACAAACCTGTCAATGTATCTTTCTGTTAACACTTCATATTCTCTTTCTTATAGTATTAGGCAACATGTGAATATTATTATGGGGATTTAAGCACTTGGATTGTAAAGTTCCTTTGCTTTGGGTGGGAAGTGACAGCAGGGGCAGACAGTGAGTTTTGTCCACAATGAGATGTGCATTTCAAAATGATGAAAGTTAAGCATCAATTAGCAATATTTTTATTTTCACTTTCTTGAAGACCATGAGGATATCCTTAAGCATATTGAGACTCCTACTAATGGTATTCAGATCTAAGAAGTGGAAACTGAACACAGAGCAGCATGGAACAGGAAAGAGTTTATTCACTGAAATATTAATACTACCTGTTCTGCAGGAGATGGTGATCGTCTTGTGGATGAAATAGGGTTCATTTATTTTCCCATTCTTGTTGACAAATACCCATAATAGAAACATAAGAGTATAAAGAAAATGAAGAAACAGGAGAAGGAAAAGGAGAAGAAGAGGAAGAAGAAGGAGGAGGAGGAGAGGAGGAGGAGGAGGAGGAGAGGGGAAGGGGAAGGAGAAGGAGAAGGAGAAGAAGAAGAAGAGAAAGAAAGAGAGAAAAAAGAAAAGAGAAAGAAAGAAGAAAGAGAAAGAAAGAAAGAGAGAAAGAAAAAAGAAAGAAAGAAAAGAGAGAAAGAGAAAAGAAGAAATAAGAAATGAAGAAAACAGGACTTATGGGTAATTCCAATGTAACACTAATTATATATTTTAAACTGTTATTTGAAAGTGGACAATCTGTTGGGATACAAGTGTTAATATTTTGAGATAGAGACTGGTAGTTTTGTTTCATGCTTTTATTTCTATTTTATTTATTTATTTATTTTGTGACACAGTCTCTCTTTGTCACCCAGGCTGGACTGCAATGGGTGCAATCATGGCTCACTGCAGCCTCGACCTCTCAGGCTCAAGTGATCTTCCCACCTCAGCCTCCCCAGCAGCTGGGACCATAGGCATGTGCCACCACGTCTGGCTAATTTTTGTATTTTTGGTAGAGATGGGTTATCCCCATATTGTCTAACCTGGTGCCCAACTCCTGGGCTCAAGCCATCTGCCAGCCTCGGCCTCCCAAAGTGCTGAAATTACTCTGGCCACTGAGCCCAGCTGAAAGTTGTGTTTTAAAGGGAATTCTAGGGACGAAGGCCTAAACCATTGTTCTCCATCCTGAAATGCATGCTTTTAAGCCCAATTAAAGAAATTTGTCTGGAATATCTGATGATACCGGAGGTTCTCAACTAAAAGTTCAGTGTGATAAAATTCTATAGTAAGACGCAAAAATCCCATGGAGAGTTGTGCATACATGCATTGCTCCAGAGAGAGGCCTATTATTATTATTATTACTATTATTATTATTGTTATTTTGAGAAAAGTTCTCACTTTCTTTCCTGGGCTAGATTGCCGTGGCACGATCTTGGCTCACTGCAGCCTCGAACTCCTGGGCTCAAGTTATTCTAAGTCTTCATACTTCTAATTAGATGCTCCAATGCTCTGTGATCCTCAAAATAGTAAGAACCACTAAAAGTCCTTTTTTCATTTTTTCTTATTTTAAAAATGATGGGATGAGACTACACTGACTTTAAGGTCAGTTCGAGTTCTATAATTATATGCATCTATAAATTTTGTAATGACTTCTTAAAGGCAAACTTCCTTTCCTCAGTACCTTATCTTTTCATAGCCTTTAAACAACTCTACAGGGAAATAAATCATTTTGACCCAAACTAGGTCAGCATTGAAGCAGAATTCTATTTGTCAGTGCCCACAAATTCAAGATTCTCTTTGAAGAATGTGTCAGAAACCATGCTTTATTGGATCACAGAGAAATATAGTTTAGAACTCATAGAAACTGCTGCTTGAGTCATAAGAAAATACCTTTTCAAAATAAAAATGGTGCCAAATTATATCACATGATTAAATGATCATTTTGTTCAATTGATGAACAATTTCCAATATATCCATTAGCAGAACAATTACTGTTTGCAAAACTACTTATAATGCGCATTTATATAGTGGTTTTTCTATTATAATGAGTGTTCGCCGACTTTAAAATCATTTAATTTTTATTCAATCCCACTGCCTTCCAAATTCTTTCAAATGTAGTCGCATAAATATGAAAATAGGAAGCTATCTTTATCAGCATTTGGGGGAAAATGTAATAACATTACGAGCAGTATCACATTAGGAATGTCTACACAATGTGGTGCAGAGAGGAATCCATTGAAATAAGTACTGATCAGGCCAAGATTCATGGCAATGGAAATTTAAAGAAAGATATTCGCAGAAGCACAGCTGCAACAAAAACAAAAAGCAAAAAACATACCCTTATAAGCTTGTGGTAGCAAGGAAACCAAGTCTGTATATACCATGGAGATATGGGTTGGCACTATGACTACCTGCTATGAGAAAGAACATCAATAGATACTTAGAGTTGTCACACAGAGTTTCTGGCTCGAGTGCACATCCATTGCTCAATGGATCTTGCACAGTTCCTTGGCATAAAAAGTGAGATATTGCCAAGGCATGGCCCTATAGTGATCAGGCCAGGAAAAGAAAGGACAATGTCCCCTCCTCTCATTCTAATCTCCATTGTATAGAAGGTAGTGCAAATTCCTGTAGGAACAACCATGACCTTCCTAGCTATGCATGTGTTTGCAAAAATGATTGCATTCCATTGTTTCTGAGTTTGTTCCTGCTCTGCTAGGCATATTGTACTCTGACTTCACATCAATGCCGTCAGACCTGAAGGTACAGGGGATGGAGATGAGACCAGGGCATGTGGGCAGGCAACAGTAGGCAAAACCTAATGCCAAGAGAGACACCAGAGAGAGCATCCTTAGCTCCTCCATAGGGAAATCTAGTTTTCATTCATCATGCTCAATGTCTTTACATGTGTAGTTGACACAATGTGTTTAAAATGTCCCCTCTCTTAAATCATTGCTATCACCAACGGGGGTTTGTTGTTTTATATGTTTGTTTTTATGTAAAGAAAATGGAAATGTTGACAAGATAGGATGCAATGAGCCAGAGAGTATTTCCATTGAGCGGAGACCCAAACAGGGATTCAATGGAGGAAGAGAGAGAATCCTTAAGGACAGGGAGGCATAAGATTCCCAAATATTGCTCTGGAAACTCTCGAGGGAGAGCAGAGGGTGGCAAGGAGGAAAATGGACCAAAATGTCATTTATTGGTCACTGTATGCACCGCCCCACCTCTGCTGACTTGATTGTACCAAATAACTACTATATTTCACCTTTCTCATGGTCACTAAAAATGAGACTGGCCCCTCTTTCAAGCAAAACCCATGCACAAGCTATTCAGTGTTCCATCACTGACATCTTAGGGAAACTTTCAACTGAGACATAGGAAGACTAATACAAGGAGAGGTTGGATCTGGGACAAAAGAAAAAGAAATATAGACCTGTATAAGTTCACAAATCCATATTGTTTGTCACGCATGTGGACTTTTTAAAATGTTCAACCTATAAATACCCTAAGCTGAACACAAACCCATTAGTATCCTACACCCCCTACCCCTCCCCATGTTTTTATTTCTGACCCCAAAGGAATGTGAATTTCAAACTCCTGTCAAGGATTGAGCTCTCTCACATCTACTGACTTGGTAAGCCTAAATTTACCCAGTGAGGACGGAGCAAGACGGCAAAGAGATGTCCAGTTAAAGAGTGGGTTTCTAATTTTCATCTGTGATAGACCTAATGCCTGTCTAGTTGAGCTCCCATTCTAAATTATTCCATGGTTGATTTTTATTTTTATATATAGATAATAAAACAACTGAGTAATTTAAAATCCAATTTTTCTTCTTTAGGGCTTTATCTATTTATCATTCATTTCTAAATGGAAAATAAGTTAGGCAAGCATAAACTATCCGTTATAAACTTAGCATATCAAAAAACTCATGGGCAAAAATCCCCAACACCATGACAAAGGACAGAATTTGTTATTAGCCTGAAATAAATTTTCATTAGGAAGGATGATGGTACCCAGCAGTGGAATTCTGATGTGAAATGGTTTACCTTGAATATCCTTCAAACGTGCTCCTGCAAGAACTAAAAATTTAATAGGAAGTTATTAGATTAAACTTTCTTCTTTGAAAACAGTGACAGAATTACATGGGCTCTGATCATAATCATTTGTTAAAAAGACATGTCAAGGAAAGCAGCTGCCTTAAAAAAACTTTAAGACTTTAAGGCAGTAAAATTTTATTATATATAGAAGATTGACAGTGGTTCCAGCAGAGAATGGAGCCATCTTGAGTGAAGGAAGCAGTTAAGATGTCACCCAGTACCCTAGAAAAATTAGCGGCATTGGTTTTAGTAATTTAACTGTGGGTGTGGCTGTCCAATGTTCTCTTAAGTGTTTCAACTTCTATCAAAGACAACACAGAAAGGATCTTGCTTTCGAATTTATAGATTCCTTAAGACTGTGTTTAATGAAGTGTTTTACGTGAGGCTGTTGTATTAATGGTCACTATTGTTAAATACCTAACTTGCCATGGAAACCTTACCCTTATCTGTGGATGTTAATTTTGCCACATTCTGCATGAAGGGACTCTAGCTCAGAGATGCAAAATGCCTTGACTGGAATTACACAGCTTCACACTGGCTCAGTTGGTTTTCCAGGCGGTCGGCCTGACTCCCCCATTGTATTAGTCTGTTTTCATACTGCTATAAAGAGTTGCCTGAGACTGGATAATTTCTAAAGGAAACAGGTTTTTTGACTCATAGTTCAGCATGGCTGCAGAGGCCTCAGGAAACTTACAGTCATAGCAGGAGGCACCTTCTTCACAGGGCAATAGGACAGGGAATGAGTGCTGAGCAAAGGGGGAAACCCCTTATAAAACCATCATATCTTGTGAGAACTCACTCACTATCATGAGAACAGCATTGGGGAAACCGACCCCATAATTCCATTACTTCCACGTGGCATCTCCCTTGACACATGGGGATTATAGGGATTATGGGATTACAATTCCAGATGAGATTTGGGTGGGGAAACAAGCTTAACCATATCACTCATCCATGCCAACTCTTTGGAATCCTGTATAGAATAACAGGAATATGAAAAGTATGTTTATCACAGCACTATTCACAATAGCAAAGACATGGAATTAAGCTATGTGTTCATCAACAGATGAATGGATAAGGAAAATGGTGGTACACACATACAATGAAAACATTATCTACGAAGTCAACAACAAAATTGACTAACGTGATATAAATATTGGGAAATGGGATATATAAGTGGTTTCATTTAGCATCAGCTTGCCAAAGACAATAATATAGAAACCAACTAAGCATAAAAGCTAGATACATGTGCTCGCAGAATTCCTCTAAAAGTTTTCAATTATTTGCCCTGTTTTTTTTTTTTTTTTTTTTTTTTTTTTTTAACTGGAGTAAATGTGTTATGGACTTAATGGTTCCCTGTCTCCATTCATATCTTGAAGTCTTAGCCTCCAGGACCCCAGAATGTGACTGTGTTTGGAGACAGGGCCTTTAATTAAAGAGGTGATTAAGGTAAATTGAAGTCACTAGGGTATGCCCTAATGTGTATTAGTCCTATTTCACACTGCTATGAAGAAATACCTGAGACCGGGTAATTTACAAAGAAAAAGAGCTTTAATGGACTCTCAGTTCCACATGGCTGGAAAGGCCTCACAATCATGGTAGAAGGTGAAGGAGGAGCAAAGTCACATCTTACATGGTGGCAGGCAAGAGAGCCTGTGCAGGGGAACTGCCCTTTATAAAACCATAATATCTCATAAGACTTATTCACTACAGTGAAAACAGCATGGGAAAATCCCACCCCCATGATTCAATTACCTCCCACTGTGTCCCTTCCACAACACATGGCAATTATGGGAGCTACAATTCAAGATGAGATTTGGGTGGGGACACAGCCAAACTATATCCTAATCCAACTGGAGTGGTGTCCTCATAAGAGGAGATTAGACACAGAGACAGAAGAACGATCACATAAGGACACAGGGAGAACACTGCATCTACAAGCCAAAAAGAGAGGCCTCGGGAGGAACCAGCCCTGCCAATATGTTGATCTGGGACTTCCAGCAAACAAAACTGTGAAGCAATAAATTTCTGTTGTTGTTGTTGTTGTAAAAAGCTCCTCTTTTTACCTCTGGTAGAATTCAGCTGTGAATCTATCTGGTCCTGGGCTTTTTTAGGTTAGTAGGCTATTAATTGCTGCCTCAATTTCAGAACTTGCTATTGATCTATTCAGGGATTCTACTTCTTCCTGGTTTAGTCTTGGGAGGGTGTATGTGTCCAGAAATTTATCCATTTCTTCTAAGTTTTCTGGTTTATTTGCATATAGGTGTTTACGGTATTCTCTGATGGTAGTTTGTATTTCTGTGGGGTCAGTGGTAATATACCATTTATCATTTTTTATTGTGTCTATTTGATTCTTTTCTCTTTTCTTCTTTATTAGTCTAGCTAGTGGTCTATTTTGTTAATTTTTTCAAAAAATTAGCTCCTGGATTAATTGATTTTTTGTAGCATTTTTTGTGTCTCTATCTTCTTCAATTCTGCTCTAATCTTGGTTATTTCTTGTCTTCTGATAGCTTTTGGATTAGTTTGCTCTTGCCTCTCTACCTCTTTTAATTGTGATGTTAGGGTGTCGATTTGAGATCTTTCTAGCTTTCCAATGTGGGCATTTAGTGCTACAAATTTCCCTCTTAACGTGCTTTAGCTGTGTTCCAGATATTCTGGTATGTTGTCTCTTTGTTTTCATTGGTTTAAAAGAACTTCTTGATTTCTACCTTAATTTCATTATTTACCTAGGAGTCATTCAGGAGCAGGTTGTTCAATTTCCATGTAATTGTGTGGTTTTGAGTGAGCTTCTTAATCCTGAGTTCTAATTTGATTGCACTGTGGTCTGAGAGATTATTTGTTATGATTTCTGTTCTTTTGCATTTGCTGAGGAGTGTTTTACTTCCAGTTATGTGGTCGATTTTAGAATAAGTGCCATGTGGCACTGAGAAGAATGTATATTCTGTTGATTTGGGGTGGAGAGTTCTGTACATGTCTGTTAGGTCTACTTGATCCAGAGCTGAGTTCACGACCTGAATATCCTTGTTAATTTTCTGTCTCATTGATCTGTCTAATATTGAGAATGGAGTGTTAAAGTATCCCACTATTATTGTGTGGGAGTCTAAGTTTCTTTATAGATCTCTAAGAACTTGTTTTATGAATCATGGTGCTCCTGTCTTGGGTACATATATATTTATAATAGTTAGCTCTTCTTGTTGAATTGTTCCCTTTACCATTATGTAATGATCTTCTTTGTCTTTTTTTATCTTTGTTGGTTTAAAGTTTGTTTTGTCAGAGACTAGGATTGCAACCCCTGTTTTTTTTTCCTTTCCATTTGCTTGGTAAATTTTTCTCCATCCCTTTATTTTGAGCCTATGTATGTCTTTGCATGTGAGCTGGGTCTCCTGAATACAGCACACTGATGGGTCTTGACTCTTTATCCAATTTGCCAGTCTGTGTCTTTTAATTGGGGCATTTAGCCCGTTTACATTTAAAGTAGTATTGTTATGTGTGAATTTGATCCTGTTATCATGACACTATCTGGTTATTTTGCATGCTAGTTGATGCAGTTTCTTCATAGCGTCATTGGTTTTTGTATTTTGATATGTTTTTGCAGTGGCTGGTACCAGTTTTTCCTTTCCATATTTAGTGCTTCTTTCAGGAGCTCTTGCAAGGTAGGCCTGGTGGTAACGAAATCCCTCAGCATTTGCTTGTCTTGAAAGGATTTTACTTCTCCTTTTCTTATGAAGCTTAGTTTGGCTGGATATGATATTCTGGATTGAAAATTCTTTTCTTTAATAATTTTGAATATTGGCCCCCAATCTCTTCTGGCTTGTAGAGTTTCTGCTGAGAGGTCCACTGTTAGTCTGATGGGCTTCCCTTTGTAGGTAACCTGGCCTTTCTCTCTGGCTGCCCTTGACATTTTTTTCCTTCATTTTGACCTTGGAGAATCTGATGATTATATGTCTTGGGGTTGATCTTCTTATGGACTATCTTAGTGGTGTTTTCTGTATTTCTTGAATTTGCATGTTGGCTTGTCTGGGGAAGTTCTCCTGGATAATATCTTGAAGTGTGTTTTCCAGCTTGTTTCCATTCTCCCCATCTCCTTCAGGTACTTCAATCAATCATAGGTTTGGTCTTTTTATGAAGTCCCATATTTCTTGAAGGCTTTGCTTCTTCCTTTTCATTCTTTTTTCTCTAATCTTGTCTGCATGCCTTTTTTCAGCAAGGAGGTCTTCAAACTCTGATATCCTTTCTTCCGCTTGGTCAATTCAGCTATTGATATTTGTGTATGCTTCACAAAGTTCTCATGCTGTGTTTTTTAGCTCCATCAGGTCATTTATGTTCCTGTCTAAACTGGTTATTCTAGTTAGCAGCTCCTCTAATATTTTATCAACATTCTTAGCTTCTTTGCATTGGGTTAGAACATGCTCCTTTAGCTCGGTGGATTTTTTATTACCCATCTTCTGAAGCCTACTTCTGTCACTTTGTCCATCTCATCCTCTGTCCAGTTCTGCACACTTGCCGGAGAGGCATTGTGATCATTTGAGGGAGAAGAGGCGCTCTGGCCTTTTGAGTTTTCAGCATTTTTTTGTTGATTCTTTCTCATCTTTGTGAGTTTGTCTAGTTTCGATCTTTGAGGCTGCTGATCCTTGGATGGGGTTTTTGTGGGGACTTTTTTTGTTGTTGATGCTGTTGCTGTTGCTTTCTGTTTTTTTCTTTCAATGGTCAAGTTCCTGTTCTGTAGGACTGCTGCAGTTTGTTGGGGTTTCACTTCAGGCCCTATTCATCTGGTTCACTCCCATGCCTGGAGATGTCACTCAAGGAGGCTGGAGAACAACAAAGATAGGTGCCTGCTCCTTCTGGGATCTCTGATCTTGAGGAGCACCAACCTGATGCCAGTAGGATCATTCCTGTACAGGGTGTTTGATAACCCCTGTTGGAAGGTCTCACCCATTTGGGTGGCACAGGGAATGGTACCCATTTAACGAAGCACTTTGACTGTCCCTTTGTGCAGGGGGTGTGCTTCCCTGGGGGAAACCCACTTGTCTGGGCTGCCTGGATTCCTTAGAACTACCAGGAGGAAAAGCTAAGTCTGCTGGTCCACAGACTGCAGCCATCCCTCCCCCTAGGGGATCAAGCCCAGGGAGATCCAGGTTCTGTCCCTGAGTCTCTGGCCAAAGTTGTTAGAGTTCCTGAGCCCCATCCAGTGAGGAAGGATGTCAGGGTCAGGCCTGAAGAGGTGCTCTGGCTGCAGTCTGCCACAGTTGGCATGTTGGGCTGTGGGGGACACCTCTTGGGGACCAAGCCATCCAGCCTCCCTCACTGAAGCAGGGAAAAAGCATGGCCTGGAACTATTGAGATGGATGCCACCCTTCCCCTACCCAGGGAACTTAGTGTGTTAGGCAGTTAGGAGTCCTAGTGCTGGCAGCTGCCTTTCCCCCAAGGAGCTCAAACGGCTTACGCAGCAGGCAGCTGCAGCTCTGGTGCTGGTCACCCCTCCCCTTGGGAGCTTGGCAGGCTTAGGCAGATTCCAGCTGAGAGGCTGTTGAGAATCTGTGTGGCTTTGGGGTTGGGACCCTAGGCTCTGGTGGCATGGGTTCGCAAATGGGATCTTCCAATCCGTAGGTTGCACAGTTCTGTGGAAAAAGCACAGTTCCTTTAACTTGGTAGCACACTCACTCACTGCCTCCCTTGGCTGAGGGTTGGGGGCTCCCCTGCCCCATGTGACTCTCAGGTGGGCTGCCGTACCACACTGCTCTTCCTTCCTCTCCGAGGTTCACATCAGCTGCCCAGTCAGTTCTGATGAAAGAACCTGGATACCTTGGTTGCTAGTGAAGGATTCACATGCTAATTATGGTTCTTTTTGATGGGAGCCTCTGATCACGGCTGTTTCTAGTCAGCCGTCTTGGCCCTGCCCCCCAGATGATCCTTTTTCTGACATATCATCAGAAGGTCAATAGTAGCCTAACACTGCTTCACAATGCCTATGTTATCCACCTCACTTCATCTAATCGCGTGGGCATTGTAACATCTGACATCATTACAAGAAGAGTGAGTATAGTACAGTAAGATATTTTAAGAGAGAGAGAAAAGGAGAGAGAGACCATATACATTTAACTTTTATTACAGTATATTATTATAATTCTTCCTTTTATTAGAAGAATTGGTTATTATTTGTTATATAATAAGATTAGTTATTGTATTAGTCTGTTCTCACGCTGCTAATAAAGACATACCTGAGACTGGGTAACTTATAAAGGAAAGAGGTTTAATTGACTCACAGTTCTGCAGAGCTGGTGAGGCCTCACAATCATGGCAGAAGATGAAGGAGAAGCAAAGGCACACCTCACATGGCAGCAGGCAAGAGAGCCTGTGCAGAGGAAGTACCCTTTATAAAACCGTCAGATCTCATGAGACTCATTCACTATCACAAGAACAGGACAGGCAAAGCCCAGCCCCATGATTCAGTTACCTCCCATCAGGTCTCTCCCATGACATGTAGGAATTATGGGAGCTACAATTCAAAATGAGATTTGAGTGGGGACACAGCCAAACCATATAAGTTATTATTGTCAATTTCTTACTGTGCCCAATTTATAAATTAAACTTTATCACAGGTGTGTATGTCCAGGAGAAGGTATCATATATATAGGTTGAGTACTGTCCACGGTTTCAGGCATCCACTAGGGTTCTTGAAATATATCTCCCATAGATAAGTGGGGACTATTGTGTGGCAGAAGAAAAATCAGTACAGAAAACATTAGAGGAACTCAACCTTCTGTTGCTGGAGAAACCCATACAGAGATCATGAGAAAGAACATAGGTGGTCTTTGTCAGCAAAAACAGGCTCCTAGCTGACAGCCAGCCAGGAAGTGTTGACCTCAGTTATACAGCTGCATGGTACTGAATTCAGCCAATAACCTCAGTGAACTTGGAAGGAGGACCTCCCCTGAGCCTCAAGTGAAAAACACAGCCCTGCAGACACATTGATTTTTCTTTGTGAGACCCAAGCAGAGGACCTAGTTGAGCCATGCTGTGCCCAGACTCACGGCAACTGTGCGGTAACAAATAGCTGTGGGTTTAAGCCATTAGATTTGTGGTAACTTGTTGTAGAGGTGATAGATATATCTGTTAATTTCTGTTTCCTGATCCAATCATTCTCCCTAGTAATCATATATTGGCCTTGAATAGAATTCCTCTTCTCCCCCTCACATAGCCTGTCTTGCTAGAATCCAAGCCCCCTTTCCTTCTGTAACCTCAAGATGGCATATAGGTTTCTGCACTCCACTGGGATATTGAGCAATCACTGTGATTTTCCCCATGTGCACAGTTAGGTAAGTTTGTATGCTTTTTCTCCTATTAATCTTTTTTTTGTGAGTCGATTTTTCATCAAAGCTTTGCAGGGGGAGGGCAGGCACCTTGGACCCACAGTACCTATCAGGTTTTGTCCCTGAGTCTACGGATTTAACACTGCTTGAAGCCACAGTCTCTCAGTGGACTTCTCAGCTAGCCCAGATGATAAATGGCCTCTTCTGATGAAATCTATTTGCATTTGGTTTCTCTTACCACGGACTAATGCATCCTCTCAGGTGTCAATTAGCACCTTCATGCAAGTTATTCCCTAATCAGATATTTGCAATTTGGCCTCTTTCCTTTGCTCTAGATTCACATTTCCAAAGGTCTCTCGGATATCTTCAACCGGCTGCCCTGAAATCACCTAAATTTCAACAAGTCTCAAAACAAATTAATCATCATCTTCCTGATACCAACTCCTCTTACCAACTTCCCTCTTCCTTTAATGGTCGCATCATTTTCACAGGCAGGGTTGAATCCTTTGAGCTGTTTTTGACTGACCTATCTTCCATGCTGTTGTCATTGCGTCTCTTGCCAGTTGATATTTCCTTTAAAAAAATAGAGTCTTGGCCAGGCGTGGTGGCTCAAACCTGTAATCCCAGCACTTTGGGAGGCCAAGGCGGGTGGATCACCTGAGGTCAGGAGTTCAAGACCAGCCTGACCAACATGGTGAAACCCCGTCTCTACTAAAAAAATACAAAAAATTAGCTGGGTGTGGTGGAGGGCCCCTGTAATCCCAGCTACTCAGGAGGCTGAGGCAGGAGAATCACTTGAATCCAGGAGGCGGAGGTTGCAGTGAGCCAAGATCACTCCATTGCACTCCAGCCTGGGCAACAGGAGCAAAACTCCATCTCAAAAAAAAAAAAAAAAAAAAAAATCTTATTTCCTTGTGTTCTAGCAATTTTTCTAGCATTGAGTATGTGCTAAATAATGTTCTCACAGAGAAAGTGAAATCCCTTCTTTTTCCTCACACAATGTGCCTCAGCATTATCTTGTATTTTTATTCCTACAACAGATGTCTAACTAATGTTTTCTATCTCTTCTTCAATTTAACCTAAGTTAAAATGTTTTGGCCTGCCAAAAAATTATTTTACAAGTGAATTTCTGTTTCTTGAATCAATCATTTTTGATACAATTATTTATACATTAATTTTCACCATTATTTGGTTCAGGCCTGTAATCTCATTGCTTTAAGAGGCTGAGGTGGGCAAATTGCTTGAGACCACAAGTTCAAGACCAGCCTGGGCAACATGGTGAAACCCTGTCTCTACAAAAAATTAGCTGGGCAAGGTGGCAAGTGGCTGTGGTCCCAGCTACTTAGGGAGCTGAGGTGAGACCTCAGGAGGTCAAGGCTGCAGTGAGCTGTGATCATGTCACTGCATTCCCTCCTGGGTGACAGAGTGAGACTCTGTCTCAAAAGAAAAAAAAATTAGCTCAGGGTGGTAGCACTTGCCTGTGCTCCCAGCTACACAGGAGGTTGAGGCAGGAGGAATGCTTGAGCCCAGGAGTTCAAAGCTGCAGTGAGCTATGATTGCACTACTACACTTCAGCCTCAATGACAGAGTGACACCCTGTTTCAAAAAAATAAATAAATAAAAATCAGAATAGCACATTACATAGCAAATCTAATCCCATTTTTTGTGTTTTCTTCTTCTTCGTCGTCCTCTTCTTTCTTATCTACTCCCTTTCTCACCTATTTTCTCTTGAGTCCAATTTTATCAGACTGTTTCCCATGATGCCACTGAGCAATTCTTGAGAATTTCAACCAAATTGTAGCCACACCCGTCTGTCATCTCTCAATCTTCCTCACAATCTCCTTTTCTTTTCTTTTTCTTGCTCTTTTTCTTTTCTTTTTTTATGAGACAGGGTCTCATTGTGTTACCCAGGCTGTAGTGCCATGGTGCCATATTGGCTTATTCCTGGGCTCAAGCAATCCTCCTGCCCCAGAGGATTAGCCAGAGGATGTGCCACCATGTCTGGCTAATTTTTGTATGTTGTGTACAGGTGGGGTCTGGCTGTGTTCCCCAGGCTACATTCTCCTTATCAGCAGCAGTTGACCCAGCTGAACTCTATCAATGCTAATAAAACATGTATTTCACTTGTACTCTGATATGCTTCCCCTTCCAATCTCACTAGCAGCCCCTGTTCACTCTGTTCACCTAATCTCTTCTTACTTATATTTAATTTTTCCCTCTTGACAGTGCTTTCCTCCATCAGAACAAATGTGATTTCTCTTTGCAATTAATGCACATAGAAGTTTGTATATAAGTACTCATCCTTATGTTTATTGTCTTTTAAATGTTTTATCTTTTCCTCTGACTTTTTTGTCCCCTTGGGGGTCATTCCAAAGCTATATATTTTAGTATTTCTCATGATCTCTAGCATATTAAAGCCTCTTAATAAATATTTGTTCAGTGAGTACAAGGGAGAGTGAATTTTATCATTTCTTACTGTGTAAGTCTAACTTCTCTATTTAGCTTAATACAATTCACAATGCAATGGGTTGTCATTTTCATGGTTAGTTTTTATCTCCATGATCATAACAGTAGCTGCATAATTTAGATTCTGCAGAACAGTCATCCTTTTTTATCGTTTCTCATGTTATTTAAGTTTCTCTAATGAGTTTGAAAATTCCATTTGAGGTTGCAAATGAAAAATTTAATCACTGCTTTTCAGTTTAGAGTATCTCACCAGATGTCCCCAATTCACTCTTTATAAATGTGGTCTTTTGCTATCCTGACTCCAGTAGTTAGTACTTGTGATGTACTTCGTCCTTCTCCGTTTGGGGAATCCAAACTCCCTAAGTGAAATGTATTATATTATAATTGTGTTTCCCACTTTCTCTGAAACTTGCCTATTTTCTGCTGGATCAAACTCAAAATATTTTATTCTGCTACTTCAGGCCTTTCCTGTCTGCACAAAAATCTCATTTCTATTATATTTAACTACATCTAAACATGACTCACCCCTTTCACTTAAGGTTCATTTTCTGGTTATATAATTTTCACTCTCACCATGCTGCCAAGAAGCCTAGAATCTGTAGGACCTATATAAGGACTATCAATGAAAAGAGCCAAACTCTGTCAAATATTTAAGAAGGCTTATTCTGAGCCAAATATGACTTACCATGGTCCAAGGGATAGTCTCAAGAGGTCCTGAGAACACATGCCCAAGGTGGTTGGGTTACAGCTTTGTTTTATAAATTTTATGGAGACATAAGACATCAATCAATCCATGTGAGGTGTATATTGGTTCAGTCTAGAAAGGTGAGACAATGCAAAGTGGGGACTTCCAGGTCATAGGTGGATTCAAAGATTTTCTGATTGACATTTAATTGAAAGAGCTAAGTTATTATCTCAAGACCTGGAATAAACAGAAGGGCATGTCTGGGTTAAGACAAGGGGTTGTGGAGAACAAGGTTCTTATTATGTAGATGAAGTCTCATAGGTGGCTACCCTTAGAGGCAGTAGATGCCAAATGTTTCCTATTCAGATACCTAAAACATGCCAGACTCTCAGCTAGTCTCTTCAGGATCGGAAAAAATCTGGAATGAAAATGGGATTCTCTACAGAATGTATATTTCCCCTACAAGAGACAGCTTTGTAGGGCCATTTAAAAATATGTCAAATAAATATATTTTAGGGTAAAATAGTTTCATTTCTTTCAGGGCCTGCTATTTGTCATATGATGGTATACCAGAGTCAGGTTGGAATTTGCTAACTTATTGCTACAAAGAGTCTGTTCTATCAGTCTTAAGATCTTTGTTTTAAAGTGAATGCTGATCAGTTGTGTTTGACTCCCCAAGAAAGGAGAATACAATGAGGCATGTCTGACCCCCCTTTTTCCAATTATGGCCCAAAATAGTTTTTCAGGTTTCTTTGAAATTCCCTTGGCTGAAAGGAAGGGTCCATTCATTCAGCTGGGGGGCTTACAGTTTCATTTTTGGTTTATAGGCTTTTATTTACCAGGAATGGTTCCAACATATCTATGTACTGAAATCCAACTTGTTCCTCACAGTGAACTGAAATCCCCACCCTTTCTGGTAAAGCAATGTTCCCACTGAAAAGAATTACTTTATCCCACGGATTGCTGTTTCTGCCGTTCTGAGGATACCTATTCTTGCTGCCTAAAAACCTTAGAAGGTTTTACACAGCAAGGCAGTTATGTTTAATAAGGGCATGGATGTTCTTCTTAGCTGTTCTTGTTTGTTTTCTGAGTGACCCATCTAATTATTTATAATTTTGCTTTTACCCTCATTAAGACATATTCCCTTTGACTTTAAAAGTCTTTGCTCTTATCTCACTGGCTTGCTGTGAGTATGTATGTAAAACATATGAGAGGCTGAGTCAAGAGCCCAGCACATGATCAGAACTCCATCACCTTGTAACTCCTGGAGCATATAGCATATTTTGTCTTCAACAACTGTTTTTGTTTTGTTTTATTTTGTTTTTAAGAGATGGGGTCTTGCTCTGTCACCCAGGCTGGAGTGCAATGGTGTGATCGTAGCTTACTGCAGCCTGGAACTCTTGGGCTTAAGAGATCCTCCTGCCTCAGCCTCCTGAGTACTTAGGACTATAGGCAGGCACCACCATGCCCAAATAATTTTTTTAGCTTTTTTTTTTTAGAGATGGGATCTCACTGTTTCCCAGGCTGGTCTCAAAATTCTGGACTCTCCTGCCTTGACCTCCCCAAAGTACTGGGATTACAGGCTGCAGCCATCACATCAATCCTCAAAACTGTTATTTATTCCTTACTTTGATTTCACTATGGTACTTTATAATAAAAGGGTCTTAAAATGAACAATGGCCACTGACAGAGACCTTGCTGAACACAATTTAACTGCATAGTCACTTATTAATACATTAAATTCCTCTGCAGCTCCATGATATCTGAGTTTTTATTTTCACTTATGGAGCAACCACTGAAGGAGAATCAAAGGCTGAAATGACTTTCCCAAAGTTTCCCAGCTATTTAGGAAAGAAATCAACTTAATACCAGATCTAGTCCTCTGAATGCTCAAAATATATACTCCTGACAGTAACTAATGTTATGATTGTATTCAAATAGTTGTGATTGAAAATTAAAATTATAAATTTACATAATATGGAAAACCAAATACTTCTATACAATAGTTTTATCTTTAAGTTTCCTTCAAAATAATCCTGTATTATGAATAACAAATCAAAATTGCATTGCAACGATTTAGGCAAATATGAATGAGTAAATCTGCTTTTTAACAATTATATTTCAGGAGCTTTGTCCAGTGCCTAGTACATAATAGAAAACGCCTCATGCATTTGGTCCTGACATGCAAAAGTAACTATATAGTATGTGTATCTATATGTATATATACATATACACTATATACACATATATATACACTATATAGTGTATATACATACACACATATATATACCATATAGTGTATATACATACACACACATATAGATACCATATAGTGTATATATATACACACATATAGATACCATACAGTGTATATATACACACACATAGATACCATATAGTGTATATATACACACATATAGATACCATATAGTGTACATATACACATATACTATATAGTATATATACACATATAGCATATAGCATATATACACATATATACTATATAGTATATATATACACACATATATACTATATTGTATATACACACATATATACTATATAGTATATATATACACAAATATATAATATAATATATATACACATATATACTGTATAGTATGTACATATACACATATATTTACTGTATAGTATGTATATACACATATATACTGTATAGTGTATATATACACATATATACTATATAGTATATATATACACATATATATGCTGTGTGTGTATATATGTGTGTATACTATATATGTATATATACTACATAGTATATATACACATATATACTACATAGTATATATATACACATATATACTACATAGTATATATATACACATATATACTATATAGTATATATATACACATATATACTATATAGTATATATATACACATATATACTATATAGTAAATATCTACACATATATACTATATTTATATATACACATATATACTATATAGTATATATACACAAATATATATACTATATGGTATATATACACAAATATATATACCATATAGTATATATACACACATATTTACTGTATAGTATATGTATATATACACATATATACTATATTATATATACACATATATACTATATAGTATATATGTACTATATATATAGTATATAAAGTATATATAGTATATATACACTATATATACTATATATACTATATATATAGTATATATATAGTATATATAGTATATATGTGGTATATATGTATATATATTATATTCATTTACTGTATATATACTACATATATACTATATATACCATATATACATATATAGTATATATACATATATGTAGTATATATACTATATAGTATACATATATGTGTATATATACTATATAGTATACATATACTATATATGTAGTATATATATACTATATATGTATAGTATACGTATACTATATATAGTATATTTATACTATATAGTATATATACACATACATATACTATATATATGTATATATACATAGTATATACGTATGTATATATGTATACATATACACACATACATATACATACATGCATATACATACATATACATATACATACATATATACATAGTATATATGTATATATATACACATAGTATATATATGTGTATATATATCACATAGTATATATATGTGTATATATCACATAGTATATATATTCACATGTATATATGTGTATATATATACGATATATATCACAGTATATATATGTGTATATATATACTATATATCACAGTATATATGTGTATATATATACTGTATATCACAGTATATATGTGTATATATACTATATGTATATCACATAGTATATATAGTATATATACTATATATATAGTATATATAGTATATATACTATATATATAGTATATATAGTATATATACTATATATATAGTATATATAGTATATATACTATATATATAGTATATATATATAAAGCACATGTGGAAAAGTTTATACTGTGTATATACCTATGTAATTATTTTTGCATGTAATTATAGCAGATGTATCCATATTAAAAATGTGTGTGTGTGTATATATATATTTATATATATAATATTTTATATATAGTATTTTTTTATATATGTATGTATGTATGTGTGTGTGTGTGTGTGTGTATGTGTATATATAGTGTTTTCTTCCTTTATGAGACAGGGTCTCATTCTGTTTCCCTGGCTGGAGTGCAGTGGGTCAATCACAGCTCACTGCAGCCTTGAATTCCTGGGCACTATGCCTGACTACATTTTTCCTTTTTTTTAGTAAATGGGATCTCACTATGTTGCCCAGGCTGGTAATGTATTTTTATTATATTTATTGTAATCTAGTTACAGTTGCAAATTGCTGAGGCTACAGTCATATTGTAAATAAAAATAAATTTTAAATACACATTATTTATAATCTATTTTTTTTTATTTTTAGAGAGAGGGTCTTACTCTTGTCACCCAGGCTGGAAGGCACTGGTATGATCACGGCTTACTGCAGCCTCGAATTCCTGAGCACAAGCGATCCTCTTGCCTCATTGCCTCAGCCTCCTACATAGCTGGGACTACAGGTGCATACTATCATGCCGGATAATGTTTATAAGTATAAATTATTAAAATATGAACATATATAACGTTTATATATGAACATATATATGCACATATATCGTTTTATGTTTTCTATCTACTCACATTCTTTAATAATATGAACATAAGTGACACAGAGAAAGGCAAGCTTCAACACTATTAAAAAAAACCCTGAAATACAACTAAGACTGTGTGTAACTTAATTTACATCCCTAAATCTACACCATCATGAAGACTATATTATGTTCCCACCCAAAGTGAAAGCATACTCAACTCCCTGTCCTGTTCTAATAGTTCTTCTCCATCTGTTGTATCTAAAGGTGGTGATTTTGTATTGTTTTTGTGTTGGGTATGAACTACTTTTCAAGTCAGATGATAGCTAAGGACTGTCTCTCTAGGCAAAATCATTTGCTCCCATGAACCAGATATTTTGCCAATAAAATTGGCAGGGTTTTGAGTTTCCAGGATTTTATGAGTCACGGCATTAAAATTCTTATTCTAAGGCATATAGCTTGTAGATAAGAGTATACCTGGCTGAATTTTGCCTAATTGATCTAGGATGTCCAGGTCTTGGCTAGATGCCAGCAGTGCTGTGAACGATCAAATTCAGGAGGGACATGGCTTGATGGAGGTGGGGGAAAAGGAGACGCCAGGCACCAGGCCAGCTGCGGGAGCCTCTCCACAACTGGGCACCTGAATGAACTCAAGGCAGGAAGGCAGCAGGATCCCTTGTAAAGCTGCTAAGGGTAGGAAGAAAAGCCCCAAAACAGATGGGAATGGTAGGAAAAGATAGAGAAAACAACATAATGAGACCTCGGCTCTAGCAAAAAAAGACAGACAGACAGAAAGAAAGAAAAACAATTAGCTGGGCATGGTGTTGTGCACCTGTGGTCCCAGCTACTCTGAAGGCTGAGGTGGGAAGATTGCTTGAGCCTGGGAGTCAATGCTGCACTGAGCTATGATTGCACCACTTGAACTCCAGCCTGGACTACAGAGCGAGACCCTGTCTCAAAAAAACAAAAACAAACACAAAAAACAAACAAAACCCAAAACATTAGCAATATCCAGCAGCATATGTCATCTATGTCAAACATTATATCCAAATATTCCCCTCCAGGAATTGCATTTAGAGATTTGTTAGGAAACGATTTCCTTTGTCTACTTGCAACTTCTGACAACCAAGACACACTGTCATGCCCAGGATAAACAAGTAACCTTGTCTTTGATGACAACACAAAATTCTCTTAGACAGTTAGAAGCTCCAAAATGTTAACACCCAGAAACAAAAACAACAATGAAAATATATTTTGGATCCAGCTGAGTCTATGGAAATAAAAATATAGAAATAATGCTGTTAAATAACTGGAATGATTAGCAATCCATCTGCCAAGAGACAGCATAATTGGAAAAATACATCACACAAAAGCAATAATAAACACTGGTTAGAGGCTACTTGTTCTGTTCAATAAAGTTGAAGGTAGGAAAAATTCTATGAAAGAAGAAATGAACAATAAGATAACAAGACAACAGCGTGAGGGAGGCAGAAATGTACACACAAGTCAAGATGAACATTTCTGATGTCATCGGTATGAAGTGTGGGGCTAAAGAAATGTGGTGTAATAATTATGTAGTTGCAGGATATTACGGAAATGTCTTTTGAAAGACAAGATGTGTGATATGGCTTGGCTGTGTCCTCACCCAAATCTCATCTTGAACTGTAGTTCCCATAATCCCCACGTATCGTGGGAGGGACCAGGTGGAGATGATTGAATCATGGGGGCAGTTACCTCCATGCTGTTCTCGTGTTACTGAGTGAGTTCTCATGACAGCTGATGGTTTTGTAAGGTGCTTTCCCTGCATTTGCTCTGCACTTCCCCTTGCTGCCAACATGTGAAGAAGGACATGTTTGCTTCCCCTTCCACTGTGATTGTAAGTTTTCTGAGGCCTCCCCAACCCTGTGGAACTGTGAGTCAATTAAACTTCTTTCCTTTATAAATTACCCAGTCTCGGGTATATTTTTATTAGCAGTGTGAGAATGGACTAATACAATGTATAATACAAAATAATTATTTAATATTACAATGTCTGAAACACCACCTTTTACCAATTAAAAAATAAGTAGAAGATAGGTGGGGTGAAAAAATTGTGTTTATGTTCACATTTTTCAAAAGTAAATGCATATCACATCAAAAAGAGTTAAATTGTACATTTCTGTGTAGTGTACATATATATAATGTGTGTGTGTGTATTTCCATGAATCTATATATCTACGTGTATGTATATGTATGTGTGTATATATATAAATATGTACAATTAAGGATATTAAATATACATAAATGTAATGCTTTGTAATGAAAAACTACATATTTTTCATTAATAAAACATGTCAGCCAGGTGTAGTGGCTCACACCTGTAATCCTAGCACTTTGGGAGGCTGAGGCGGGCGGATCACAAGGTCAGGAGATCGAGACCATCCTGGCTAATGGTGAAACCCTGTCTCTACCGAAAATACAAAAAAAAATTAGCCAGGCGTGGTGGCGGATGCCTGTAGTCCCAGCTACTCCGGAGGCTGAGGCAGGAGAATGGCATGAACCCAGGAGGCAGAGCTTGCAGTGAGCCGAGATCACACCACTGCATTCCAGCCTGGGCAACAGAGTGAGACTCCATCTCAAAAAAAATAAAATAAATAAATAAATAAATAAAACATGTTTATGCACAAATTAAAATTTTTAATTTTTGAAAGTGTACCTACATCTATCATTCATGGCTACGTAAATGAATTTATGTTGAATTCACCTATAAAAGCAGAAAGATAATAATTACATCAAAAACACTATTGATTAAATGCAACCTTTAAACAAGCATAGATAAAGAAAATTATTCAGAAAGTTCAAAGTAAAGGAATGATCAGTTTTGGGTTGTATCAATACAGGCAGAGAGAAATCAGAAAGAATAACATGAATATGGTGCAAAATAGAACTTATCGAAAACATGTTAAATACAAATGTTTCTCATTTTAAACAACTTATCGAAAACATGTTAAATACAAATGTTTCTCATGTAAGATGTGACTTTGCTCCTCCTTTGCCTTCCACCATGATTGTGAGGCCTCCACAGCCATGTGGAACTGTGAGTCAATTAAATCTCTTTCCTTTATAAATTACTCAGTCTTGGGTGTGTCTTTATTAGCAGCATGAGAACAGGCTAACACACTACACAAAATTTTCTATTTGTATTGGCTTTCCCCAATCAATTCATAGGAATAATTTCTATTTTGGGAATTCTAGTGCTTTGTCCATAAAAATTCTTGCAAGCAACTTCATTGAGTGTGTGATTTGTTTTCTATTTCTTTAAGGTATCTTAATGTTAATATCCTTGATTTCAGTTTTGAGATGTACCATTTTCATTGTCATTCAATTCTTGTGTTTTCTCATTTTAATAATCACCTTGTCTTTGGCCCACTGGTTAAGGAGGAGTGAGGTGATTAATTTTCAAAACTTTTGTGTAACTTATCTTCAAAGCTGATGAAGATAATGATGATGATTATGTACTACTTCCATAGATTATACATATATTTGTAATGTTTCATATGTTCTTTAAGGAGGTTTTGTGATTTTTTTTTCATTTTGTATTAAGGTTTACCATAATAATTTTTATTGTAAAATATTGGGTCTTACCACCGGTTATTGTATTTACTTGTAATTCTCAGACTTCAAAAGCATATGACAGAGGGCTCTGATTGACTAAGTACCAGGAGATAACTGCCAACTTCAACTATGAACACAGAAATGCCAAAGAAGGAAAGAAACAAAAAATGCTCAAAGAAAAAAATGGTTAATTTTGTATTTCAATTTATAGTTCTTTTCTAAAATATAACTTAGATTATATAGAACAAAACTTTTTCTGTCTTAACAAACTCAGTAAGTATTCTAAATGTAAATGTATTCTAAAGTAAAAAAGGGGACATTTAACTTTGGCAAAAATTAATATGCTATCAGCCACTAGGCATTAAAAAAAAATAAAACATGAACACTTTTTATTTGATTCTCCTGAGCTGAGCAATGCAGAAGCAGTTTTTCTATGGATTAGATGAGGTAGCTGGTTGATTCACTGAATTAAGTCAAAACGTCATATTCGAATATATATGCAGTTTAAGGTATTCTCTTCTTTTTATAGGAAGTGAATCTCTGCCTTTTGTTTATTTTTTTATGAATTCTGTATCACATAGGATCACCTAGGCCACAACATCAACACAGTAGTTTTTCTTTTCTTAATTTAATTTTGAGTGCAGAGGAGATTTTGAATATTCACAGAATCACTCAGAGCTATATTAAAATAAGCTTTCATGAAGACTACACATTAAAGAAGTCCTTTGAATTCTATTTCCCTAGGCCTTCACATTGTCAGAGTACAAGGATATCTTTCCTTCTCATAAAATTCTCCCAAAGGCAATGGAGGATTAACTCCCAGCCGTGCTGTGGTGTATGTTCTGGTCTCATACATTCAGTTGTGTGTTCACTGAATTTAACAAACAAAGGTGAAGCTAAAGAGATGCCTTTCTTCCCCTTATTTTAAACAAAATTACCATCTCCTATCCATTTCTAAAAGGAAGGCATGCATATGTAAGGAAACTATTCAGTGAACTTAACACAGACAGAAATATTATTAACACAAGGTGTTTTAGAATGAATTTCTTTTCCCTTTTTCATTATTAACATCAGATATGTAGCAAAGTAAATTGGATTGGATATTATTTATATTAAGATATTTAGTTGGCAAATGCACACGTAAATTTAGGTTTTCAAATCTACCTTAGTCACTGTGAGGGAAACAGTGAAGGTTTCCCGACACCCAATAATTATATCATCTGTAGATGGAATCGGGAACTTTAGAAAGAGCATTACTTTTTCCAGTTAGACATTTAAGTGATTGGTACAATTTTAGAAACCCATAATCTCAAAATTTACCATATTCATTTACAGTAAGATTCTTTCAGGTCACCGGCACCCTCATTTCTAGTGGATGGTGAAGGTTCTCATGGAATGATTCAACTACTTCACAGACCTGTCCCAAGGAGTTAAATAACTTAAAATTGGTGGGACAAGAACAGAAATTGATATTCTTTCTCAAATTAATGGGGAGTAAAGAAAGAGAGGTATGTATCTTAGGAAAGAGGCAACCAGGAAACAAGTCAATCAACCGTTAGGAAATGTTAAGTCGAAGAGTTTGTGGAGTCATAATGCCTCTTTTTCAATTCAACATTCATTAGAAAACTCATGATGAAATTTTGATAAGAAAAATCCTTAAATCAAAATGATCATTTCAATATATAAGGGACATCTTCAAAGTGCCAGGAAATAAAAAGACCTTTTCTTGTTAGAAAATAAATAAGTTGATGAGTATTATTGTTTTGCTGACAACCCCTATGGATAACAAAAGTATTCTTAGTACACACATCCTTGAGCTATTTCTTTGCCAGATGCAAAGTTTGCCAAGAAAGTCACAATACCTGAAAGGATTCTCAAATAGGACAAAAAAAAGGTGTGTTAAAAATCACAGAAGCTATTGTTCCCGGACCGAACCACGGGGTCAGGCTGCTTATTCTCACAGCCCAATAATGACATGCAGACGAACTGGGAAAAGAAGAGAGTTTACTTCTATAACCGCGTACAGGGAGAAGACTTGGAAAATATCGCCAGGCAAACTCAAATTACAAAGTTTTCCAGAGCTTATATACCTGCTAAGCTATATGTCTACGTATAAGGGTGCATTCATCTAAAGACATTGGTGATTAACTTCTTCTAATCTATAACTAAGGTCTGAGTCCTGGAGACCCTCCTCTGGGGCCTCAGTAATTGACTTAATCTAGATGAGTCCAAGTGCCTGGGGTGATTACCCTTATCTTGTTTCCTGCTAAATCATGGAGGTTTGGGGAGTTCTTTTAGACCCCTAATAAAACTTGTTTGTGGAGGTCTGGGGAGTTCCTTCAGATCCCCAATAAAACTTGTTTGATCCTAAATGGGTCCTCTTAAGAATCCCTTCATTATCTTGTCATGCTTCAAGGCCTAGGAGAGGCCTGGGCAGAACTCTCAGTGGGCTTTTGTTACATTCCAGCCTTTGTATAAGGGCGCTGGCTCTTTCAGCTTTTAATACTTAACTTCACCACTCGGTCAGTGCTGAAACAGTTGTTACAAAGGTCTGCCTGCTCAGCTGTTAGTGAGGCCTAGCCTGCGACACTATGGCCTTTTATAGACGTTACTAAAAATCTTTAAATACACACTTAGAAAACAAAAGCATAAAAGACACTTCTGAAATCAATTTCCATTTCTGAGTAATGATGTATCTGTTGACTAGATATACAAACACAGAGTCAACTATTATGTCTCAAATAGTTCTCTGGTTCTGTGCGGTCTTAATTCTCTACCGAATCCTTTCTGAGCTACCCTTGTGTGTGTTGCTGATGCTTTGAGCCTCTTGTTCTCTTAACAAACATTGCTTTTATTTCTTTATCACTAATAAAAAATGTTATTAGCTTTCATGTGTCTCCATGGACCAAACAACAGTACTTTGCCCAAGATGAAACTTTTACTTCTTGCACATAAATGTCTGAACGGATGGGTGTTTTGAGAGAGTAAAAGTTCTGTTCTCTGGATTCACTCAGAATTTTCCAGAATATACCCATCTTCCACCCTGTTTCCCCATTCCCAGGAGAGGCATCCTTGTTTAGTTGCTAGAAAATGGTTTGTCACTATCACATTCATATTCTACTGCATGGAAGGGGTAAATTAGCTGGAGAAAAGCCGCGTTTTAGAAGATGAATAACTTTGTGGGTTTTTAAAACCATTTTATTGAACTATGATGGACACGTTGAAAGCTATACACATTTAACAAATACAGCTTGGTGAGTTTGGGGATAAGTATACACTCTTGAAACCATCACCATCACCAAGGTTATAAATATATTAATCAATCCATTATCTCCTAAAGTTTCCTCCCACTCCCTTTATTATTATTATTTTATGTCTCTGTGTGTGTGTGTGTGTGTGTGCATGTGTTTGGTATGAACATTTAACATGATATCTACCCTCTTAGTAAATTTTATACATAAAATGCAGTATTGTTTGTCCTAGGCGCTATACTAGAGAGTAGGTCTCTAGAACTAATTTACTCTGCATAACTGAAAGTTTGGACCCTTTGACCATTATTACCTCCCCATTTCTCCTTCCCCACCCACCTGGTAACCAGCATTTGCTCTCTGCTTCTATGAGTCTGACTATTTTGGATGCCATCTATAAATGAATAAATAAGATCATACAGAATTTGTCTTTCTACACCTGGCCCATCTCACTTAGCATAATATCCCTCAGGTCCATCCATGTTGTTAAAAAAATGACAAGATTTCCTTTTTTTCAAGGTTGAATAACATTCCATGACATATATAAATATGTATACATATTTTCTCGATTCATCTGTATGTCAATGGACTTCTAGGTTGTTTCCAAATCTTTGCTGTCATGAACATGCTGGTTGTATTAGTCCATTTTCATACTACTATGAAGAAATACCCAAGACTGAGTAATATATAAAGAAAAAGAGGTTTAATGGACTCACAGTTCCACATTGCTGGGGAGGCCTCACAATCATGGCAGAAGGCAAAGGAAGAGCAAAGGCATGTCTTACATGGTGGCAGGAAGGAGAAGTGCTGAGCAAAAGGGGGAATAGCCCCTTATAAAACCATCAGATCTCGTGAGAACTCACTCAATATCATGAGAACAGCAGCGTGGGGGTAACTGCCCCCATGATTCAATTACCTCCTACTGGGTCCCTCCCACGGCACATGGGAATTATGGGAACTACAATTCAAGATGATATTTAAGTGGGGACACAGCCAAGCCATATCAGTGGTGCACACATGTCTTCAAAATACTTATTTCATTTAAAAGATGAATGACTTTGAATTCACACCCATGATTTCTACATATATCCCATGCACTAGAACATGTATGTGTATAGTGAAGCATTTATTATTAGTCTTCATGGTGTCACATTCTGTAGGTGCTATAACAAGAAAACAGAGTTCCTGTGTCCAGCAAGGTTCTGGCTTGGTCACTTGGATATTCTAGAATCATTTAAATATAAAAATATAGATAAGAAGCTTAGTTAAATATTTTGAAAACTGGTACTACATTCCCTGTTTTCTTTTCATTCTCTATTCCTCCCAGTAAAGGTGGATCTGGTTAAGGACTGAGAGGCATATGGGAATTTACCTTTTATTCTAGGAACTGTCTAAGATAAAGCCTGCCTTTCAACATTCCAAAGACTAATGTAAATAAAATGGAAATTAAAACTGTGCTGAATTACCTCATAGGTAATAGAAAAATTATTTTATCAGGCTATTTAAAATGTTCTTCTCCTTTGATTGCAAACCTTTGAAGACAAAAAAGGTTTTGTACTATTTCCATTTTTCAGTGAGCTGTCATTTAATGTTATTAATATTCTCCTTATAATGTCTGTGCATATAGCAACAGTTGGTCCTTTGAGGTTAGTCTACTTTATTCCTTCCAGCCACTTTCTGTGTTCATGAAATTTGTCAATGTTTTGACAACAACTAACAAGTCCCTGCAATAACAATGAACAAACAAATAAACAAATATAGATAGATTTCCAGCTGTAAAGCTATCTATCTATCTATCTGTCTATCTCTGTAGATATATATATTTCCTATATATCTGTCTCCAATATGAATACAATCTACATATATATGGCTATATAGAGGTATATATATGCATACATATGTGCATTGCATTTGTATGTATAAGTACATATATGTATATATATATTTATATTAAATCTCTTTTACACACATGCACACACATATGTACACACAAACACATTTTTTTCTCTGTGGCCCATTTTCATTACAGAAGTTTTTTCCATTATGGGGTATTAGTTCAAATGATTTTGTCTAGTCTGACATAGAGGGAACAAGCTCTGGTACTTTTGACTGAGTTTTTTTTTAAATCCAATCAACATATATTGTTTACCCACTGCATACCAAGTGCTAACTCAAAGGTTACACGAATGGAAAGGCAGATACCCAAAGTTTATATTCGGGGAGAAATCTGATAAAAGGAAATACAAGACAACAAACACAGAAACACAACCATCGGGCATCATGAAACCTCGTGAAGATAATCATCAGGGTAAGGAGATGGAAAAATTGGGAAGAAAAAAGATTACGTATGCTGGTCAGTTGTACGATAGATCTGTATGATTGATCTATATCACATCCGTCCACCCTCTCCTCACTAGCAGGAGATGCAGTGTAGACCCCAGGCGAATTTTAGGCAAATGCTAGGTTAATTTGCATCTGTTTTACACTGTAAGCATTTAAGCCAAGAACACAAATTTCACAAAGCACTAAAAATGTAACACAATGAATCATATAAACTGATCAGTATGTTTTATTAATAACCCAGAATATGTTAATATTTATTCCCTTACCTTATGGATATCGATGAATCTAGACAACCACCAAACATAGCCCACCTGGTAAAAAAATATTCAATCATGACTTGCAGAGAAAAATCATATTCAGGGGAACATTTTCAAGGGAGACTCAAATAAGCCAATTTTTATAAAGCATTTGCGACACTAATGGGCTCATATGTTTCTGTGGCTGTGAGAGTAGCCATTTGGGGAAAGACAAAATAAAACACTACCTATTGGCTATGGCTACGGAAACGGACACTTACAAATCAATCTGTACTGACACAGCCAGCTCTGAACCTGAAAATGATAGCTATAATCCACATTTCCATTTTAGCTCTGCCAGAGCGGAGCCCATAAATTACTGGGGTTTTTGAGCTGTTTAGAAAAATGCTATGTGAATGGTGAACTTGAGCTCACTTGGGAATAAGGTTGTGAAGTTTAGACCATCGTCTGCAAAGAATGATATTGAAGAATGATTTGTATTGTCATGTTAGGAAGTGAACTTACATCTTGCTAACTGCAGATTACCTCACCAGGGCTGGTGGAACGGGATACGAGACACTGTTCTTTCCAGGAGAGAAGAGCCCAGGTGAACAAAAAGGTCCAAAGTTTATTAAGCCATGCTAGTTACATAAGTTATAGGGAAAAAAAAGTGAAGGAAAGAAAAATAGAGAGGGAGAGAAGAATGAGGAAGAGAGGGAGGCAGGGAGGGAAAGAGAGAATGAATTATGTAGACAATCTCCCTAGATTTCTTTACTTTTTTTTTTTTTAACTTTTATGAGTTTTACTTTAAAAGCCATTTTGAAGACATCCCCTTAGGTAAAATAGGATGGTCTTTATTTTATTACAAGCAAAAAGATCAACTTTAATTCACTTCTCTAGAGGTTTTCCAACTTCCATAAAAATGATAATATAGACAATAAAATTTCACTGACTTCTGCTGGAAAAACTTCCATTAGGAATTTCAATCGAAATTGTCTTAAACTTTTTAAAGGCAATGTTGTTTAGTTGAGTGAGATGGTTCTACTTTTTAGGAAGCTTGTAATTTACACCTGGAACTTCAGATCATATTAAAAATATTTTAGAATGACCCCCAGGTTAGTGTTTGAGAATTTTATTGTGAAAATCACAACATGAAGGAAAATCTAATGATGCTATTTTGATCGTGTTAATACTACATCTGAAAATAATGATCATCTGATTGTAAATTTTCAAATGGCCACTAAGAAAATACAATATTTACCATTAATGGACAAGGACATTTTCAGACCAAATCTTTCAGTGTCCAGCTTTATTTATTGAAAGTTTTTCGGAACTACTTTATGGCTTTATTGAAATAGGAAAACAGAAGTCTATCAGTGGAATTTTTCAGGATGTGGAACCACATCCTAAGAAACTTACATCAAATATGCTAGAGTATATTTGTATAATATATGAATACATCTATAAATATTTACATATTATGAGAATATTTACACTAAATATACTAGATCATAAACTATCCCAAGAGCTTTGAATGAAAGATAATTTTGGAAGAAAATATGTCATAATAGCTAGCATTGGGTATATCAATTTATTCCAATATCCAAATTTCATACCCTTTAATCCATTTTGATTTTATTTTTGTAACCACAAAAATTTTAAGAAACTAAAAATAAATAAAATTCATACCCTTAATATTTAAGACTTTCAACAGATGGAACATAAGAAAAACGAAACAAAACAAAAATTTTCCAGTATGGGGAATCAGTAGAATAGTGCTGAAAACATGCTCCTTTTTTCACAGTATGTTAGGTCTTTTTTTCAACTTGCACTGTAAGAGATTGAGCAAAAATTCTCATATTCTGTTTAGTTTTCTTTTCTTGAGTTTACAATATTTTGTGAGTCTATTTTTCAAATTTTGAAGCTTCTTTTAAAATTAGATAATAAATTGTTTCAAGTTCAAACATATGAACCATGAAGATTCTTCCTTTATTATACCAAAAAATCTTATGCCTATGACCTAATTATCTATAAAATATAGAAAAGCATAGGTACTAATGACTCATGAAGGAGTAGCATGATTGTATGGAAAACACTGGGCAGGCATGTAGAGATTCTCAAATCCCATCTTATTATCCTCCAGTTTCATATTTACTAGATTTGTGGTCTGGGACAAGCCTTCCATGACCCATTCAGTCTTTATTTCTCACCTCTAATGTTGTTTAATTCATTTGTATGTATTTAAGAATTGCTTGGGTGGATACTAGGATTGAGTGCACTAATTTAGGTGAAGGATCTGTGGAAATGCTTTTAGAAAATGTAACATCCATGTGCACTCAATATGTTAAGAAAACTGACTAACGTTGGAAACCTAAGTGGTATGCCCAAAATAACAATACTAGTCAGGCATCCGTAAGATTGTGGAATAGCTCCTTCAGTTAAAAGTGTCAACATTGTCAATATAAAAACAAATTCTAAGCTCATTTTCCTTGAAGAATAATGAGACAAAGACTTAAATGTAGAACTAAAACTATAAAACTCTTAATAGAAAACATAGGGGAAAAAGCTTCGCAACACTGAGTTTGGTCAGGATTTCTTACATATGACACCAAAGACACAGGTAACAATAGAAAAAAAATAGACAATTTGGACTTCATAAATTTTTTTAAATTCTGAGTCAATTTTTTTGGCCAAGTGCAGTGGCTCATGCCTGTAATCTCAGTACTTTGGGAGACCAAGGCAGACGAATCACTTGAGGTCAGGAGTTTGAGACCACCCTGGCCAACATGGTGAAACCCCATCTCTACTAAAAATACAAAAGTTAGTTGGGGATGGTGGCAGGGGCTTGTAATCCCACCTTCTCAGAAGGCTGAGGCAGGAGAATTGCTTGACCCCAGGAGGTGGAGGTTGCAGTGAGCTGAGATCGTGCCACTGAACTCCAGCCTGGACAGCAGAGGGAAACTCCATTTAAAAAACAGACAAACGAACAAACAAACAAAAAACTTTGCATCAAAAGACAATATCAGCAGGGTAAAAAAGCTGAACTCATGGGATGGATAAAATATTTGCAAATTATATATGTTATGAAATTAATATTCAGAATATAGAGAACTCTTAAAACTCAACAGCAAAACCTATTCAAAAATGGGCAAAGGATTTGAACATATATTCTCCAAAGAAGATATATACAAATGGCCAACAGGCACATGAAAAGGAAAATGCAAATCAAAACCACAATGAGATACCACTTCACACCCATTAGAATAACTGCTATAAAAAAAAAAGCAAAAAATAACAAATGTTGGCAAGGACATAGAGAAATTAGAACTCTTGTAAACTGCTGGTGGGAATGTAAAATAGTACAGCAACTGTAGAAAACATTATGGTGCTTCCTCAAAAATTTAGAAATAGAATTACCATATGATCCAATAATTCTGCTTCTGGATGTATGCCCAATAGAGTTGAAAGCAAGGCCTTGAAGAGAGATTTATGCACTTATGTTCATAACAGTATCATTCACAATAGCTAAATTGTGGAAGCCATCTAAGTGTTTATCATCTGATGAATGGATAAGAAAAATGTGGTCTATACATATGATATGGTTTTGCTCTGTGTCCCCACCCAAATCTCACCTTGAATTGTAATAATCCCCACGTGTCAAAGTCAGGGCCAGGAGGAGATAATTGAATCATGGGGGTGTTTTCCCCCATGCTGTTCTCATGATAGTAAGTGATTTCTCACGAGATCTGATGGTTTTGTAAGGGGCTCTCCCCTTCGCTCGGCACTCATTCTCTCTCCTGCCACCCTGTGAAGAAGATGCCTTCCATCATGGTCATAAGTTTCCAGAGGCCTCTCAGTCATGCGGAACTGTGAGTCTATTAAACCTCTTTTGCAGCGTAAATTACCCAGTCTCGGATGTTTCTTCATAGCAGTGTGAGAATGGATTAATACAACATACAAAGTAATATTATTCAGCCTTAAATAGGAAGGAAATTATGACACATGTTGCAACATGAATGAACCTTGAGAACATTATGTTAAGTGATATAAGCTAGTTACAAAAAGACAAATACTGTGTGATTCTACTTAGATAGAGTAGTCAAGATTATAGAGACAGAAAATAGAGGAGTGATTTCCAGGTGATGTGTGGAGGGAAATGGGAAGTCATTGTTAATGAGCATAAAGTTTCAGATTTAGAAGATGAAAAGACTTATGTAGATGAATGGTGGTGATGATTGCACAATATTATGAATGTATTCAATACCACTGAACCATACACTTAAAAATACCTAAGATGGTAAATTGTATGCTGTGTATATTTCACCATAATGAAAAAGAATTAGAAAAAAAACAGAATAATGAGAAATGAAATAAACTGACTTGCATTTTGAAAGTCAGAGCTAATAAAAACAGCATTTTTATTTCATTCTATTTGATTTCAATTTTGGACAGCTTTACTGAGATAAAATTGACATGACAAATTACATGTATTTATAATATACAATTTATTAAATGTTTACATATGTATACTAAATTTTTTTTATAATTTTTGTATCTGTGTTCATGAAGGAATTGACTTTCTGTATTTTTACTATACTGTCTTGTGTTTCTTTTCTCAAAAATGACTCTAACATTTCAGAATGTACAATAGACAAGATTCAAACTTAAACAGCAAATAGAACAAAATTGTACACCAGGACACTAGCAAAAACTTAGAAAGCACTTCATTGTGCTTTATACATAAAATGAATCCTGAAGCATTTCCTCCTCTTCAGATTTCTGGCAGAATTTGCATACAATAGGCATTATTTTCCTTAAGTGTTTAGTAGAATTTACCAATGAATCCATCTTACACTGTTTATAGGTTTGGTTTGGTTTTGGGCTTGTCTTATTGTTTTTGCTCATTTTTGTTAAGAAGTTTTTTAGCCACATATCCTATTTGTTTAATAGATGTGCTATTTCAAATTTCTATTTTTTCTTGAGCTTTGAGCTTTGATAGTTCATGTGTTTCAAGGAGATTTTCCATTCCATGTACATAGTCAAAATTTTTGCCATAAAGTTATTGATAATATCCTTTTATTATTAACTTACTTTTGGATTTTGAGTAAAGCAGTTTGCCCTCTGTATTAGTCAGGGTTCTGTAGAAGCACAGGACTAATAGATGTATATATGAAAGGGAGTTCATTAAGAAGTATTGACTAACATGATCACAAGGTGAAATCCCACAATAGGCCATCTGCAAGCTGAGGAGCAAAGAAGCTAGTCCAAGTCCCAAAATTTCAAAATTAGGGAAACTTTGACAGTGCAGCCTTCAATCTGTGGCTGAAGGCTCGAAAGCCCTAGGCACACCAATGGTGTAGGTTCAAGAGACCAAAAGCTGAAAAACTTGGAGTCTAATGTTCCAGGACAGGAAGCATCCAACATGGGGGAAAGATGGAGGTTAGAAGACTCGGCAAGTCTATTCCTTCCACATTCCTCTGCCTGTCTTTATCCTAGCCATGCTGGAAGCTGATTAGATGGTGCCCATCCAGATTGAGGGTGGATCTGCCTCTCCTAGTCTACTGACTCAAATGTTATTCTCTTTTGGCAACACCCTCACAGACACATGCAGGAACAATACTTTGCGTCCTTCAGTGCAATCAAGTTGGCACTCAATATTAACCATCACACTGTCCATAATGTGAGTGATCTTCATCAACTCAATTGAAGGCCTGAATAGAACAAACGACTGACTTACCCAGACCATGAATGAATTCTGCCAACAAGTGGCCCTCGGACTCTATCTGCAACATTGGCTCAACTTAGTCTCCAGGTTGCCAGACCACCCTGTAGATTTTGAACTTAACAGCTTCCCTAATCACATGAACCAAGGCCTTTTAATAAACGTATGTATACGTGTATGTATGTCTCTATGTATCAATCATTGATCTATCTATCATTTATCTACAATCTATTATATATCCATCATGTGTCCCATATATATATATATCATCTGCCTTGCTGACTTATCCCTACATCCACCCATCCCATCTGTTGATATATCAAATCTATCTTTTTGTCTATCAATTATCTACCTATCTATCTATCTATCTATCATCCATTTATCATTTATCTATCATCTGTCTACCATCTATTATCTGTCCTATCTATCTATTATCTTTCTTCCTATCTTATCCATCTATCCATACCATCTACTGATCTATGAAATCTCTCTCACTATCTAGCTACCTATCTAGCTATTATATATCATCTATCTATAATCTTTCATCTATCATCTGTCTTTCTATCTTATCCATCCATCAATCCAACCATCCCTCCATTCAACTATTTCATCTAGTGATCTTTCAATCAAATCTAACTACCTATCATCTATTCTATCTATCTATTTATCAATCTATCTATACATCCATTTCCTACTGGTTCTGTTTCTCTGGCAAATATTGACTAATAATAATTCTAGTCTCCTAATGATGAGATATCATTGTTAGATAGATCTATGAATTCAGTTTGACTAAAAGCATCAATTTCAGCACTAGGGATCAATGGAGAAAAGAGAAATAAAAGGAAGGCTGCATTTTCTTGGATGAGCAAGAATAAACAAACAGAGCTAACCAGCCATGCAAACACTCAGCATCCACCTATCATTCTCCAAAGCTATCTGACTGGCTTCTTGGTGACCCCAGTAGGAGCTGATGTCTGAAGACATCCTGGCTGAGACTTGAGAAGCTTCTTGTCACATGTCCTCACCTTACAATGGATAGACCAGTTGTAAGACAGAATTCCAAGGTGTACTTTAGTCTCCCAACACACCAGAGCCATAAAAAAACAAAAAAAGGCCAGGTAGAGTGTGACCAGGGGTGACAATGTGTGTTATCTGGGTCTCACTGAGCTCACACCAGGCATATACATCACAAATTCCACAGCCTTGAGGGGAATTATGGACTCTACAAGCCTGTGAACTAGAGCCACTCCTGTTTAGGAACTTCCCTCCAGCTCCACAAGCTGCACCCGCCCTTTCTAAAAATCAGTGACTCCTTTTAAAGGGCTTGCAGAAAGAAGAGATTCATCAGATGAATGGACATAAACAATATGAAGATGTTCTTAGGCTTCAGTGGCTAAAAAATGGCAAACTTCTTTCAACAAGGTCAACTGCAGGTCTTTGGAAAAATGAAAAATGAAAACCTTGAACTATGTGTTTTAACTTGCTTGACATCAGTCTATAAACAGGTCCTCCATCTCTTCTCCCCACCTCTTCCTTCCTCCTTCTCTCTCCCTGTTTCCCTCTCTTGTTTTCTTTGCTTCATGTCTTCAATGTATATTAACGGCATTCCTCTTACAAGGCTGTCTGCTAAAAATGGAATTCCAGAAATGAGCAGTAAAGGGTCTTTGCCCTTGAGGAGTTCACAGTTTACTGCAAAAGTCTGATAGGAAAAGGAGAATTACAACCTGGCTCCATGATTTCTATTCTCCAGTAGAGTGGGAACACAGAAAAGGAAGAAGCTTGATCCGTTTTTGCATAGAATACTTGAGAATTCAACAATGTATCCACATTTATAAGTAAAAGCTACTACCACAAGACAGCTTGTCATGTTTAACATGAAGTGACCTGAGATCAGAGTATGAATATTAAATACATTTCAGAATTTGAGTTGGCATTGAAAAATGTTCCTTGCACAGCCCTGTTGAATTTGCTCATTAGAAATGTGGCCAAGGTAGGATAACCAGCAAAAGCAGGATCTCAAATAGAATTTCTAAACGTGAGATCAAAGGAGGATGCATTAAGAAACAAAAAAAAGACCCAGTGACTTAATTTGTAAGACATCTGCAGAAATGTCCTGAAGTTCAAGTCTGATTGGACGTGGATGGCATCAAGAATGAGATGTCAAATCTTAGGGATCCTGCCTCCAAAAACAGCCCAGCCACTGTCTCTTCATTGTCCATTGGGCAATGCACCCTGAATATCTGCAGCTTGGTAAACAAAGTACCGTGAGAGGAAGCAAAGACATAGACAGCCAGTTACCATTTATACCAAGAGATAATGTGACTGGTAAGACCAGACAGCAAGCAAACACTCATGAGTGATACCAGAATTCTTGGAAAGGGGCAAAATTTAGGTCAAATTATGATTGTACTGGGAGCAGTCATATACCAAAGAGCTGATGTTGGTTTTGAAATCCTTGGGAATTTCTACAGTGACATTCTTATTTTAAATCCTGGAGATAATGCCAAGCTTTTATTCTGGGATTGGAATGAATGGATTTTAATGGGTATGTATATCCCTAAAATGAAAGAGCATTTTTAATGTACACAAATAATAATCCCTTAGTATGTTTATGGAAGGCTTATAGTGCAGAATACTTTATTATAATAATATCCTAATCTTTGAGTTGTTCCTCAAATTCTCACTCTCCCTCTACCCAAGGATCTCTTGACTGTGTTTTTCAGGAAACACACCTGATATGGTCAGACTTTGTGTCCCCACCCAAATCTCATCTTGAATTGTAATCCTCAGGTGTTTGAGGAGAGACCTTGTGGGAAGTGATTGGATTATGGAGGCAGTTTTCCTCATGCTGTTCTCATGATATTGTGTGAACTCTCACAAGATCTGATGGTTTTATAAATGATAGTTTTTCCTGCACTGACACATGTGCTCTCTCTCTCACCTGCTCACCTGCTGCGATGTAAGATGTGCCTACTTCCCCTTCTGCCATGATTGTAAGTTTCCTAAGGCCTCCTTAACCATGTGAACTGCAAGTCAATTAGACCTCTTTTATTTATAAATTACCCAGTCTTCGGTATGTCTCTATAGCAGTGTGAAAACAGACTAATACAACACCCTTTAACCTGAGGCAGAATTAAGGAAAATTTTGTTGTTGTTTTGGTAACAAATCTCACTCAGAAATTCCAAAGATGAAGTTTTCCTTCCCTGCCTGAAGCTTTCTTAAAACCTTGAATTCCAAAAAGTATAACAGTTCCTTCAAAAGAGAAGCATACAGTTACCATATGACTCAGAAACTCTGCTTCCAGGTATAGACCCAAAATAATTGGAAGTGGGAATTTGCACACCCATGTTCATTGCAGCATCATTTACAATAGCCAAAAGGTTCACTCAACTTATGTGTCTATTGATTAATGAATGGCTAGAGAAATTGTGGTACATACATTCAAGGGAATATTCATTAATATGAGGTACCTAGAATGCTCAAATTCATAGAGACAGAAAGTAGAATGATAGTCCCCAGAGGTTGGACAAAGTGGGGAACAGGAGGTTATTGTTTAATGGGTATAAAGCTTTGCGAGATGAACAGAGTTCTGGAGATGGATGGCGGTGATGGTGGTGATATGGACAAGAAGCAGGGAAATACTGGGTAGAAGAGGGCGGCTCCCTGGCAAAGGCCCCACCCTCAAGCCTGGAAACTGCCGCCCTAAATGAGAACAGTTATCCCTGCTTTCCTACCAAAATGTTACCTTTTTGGCCCGCCACCCAAGCATCTTGTGCCCATATAAACCCCAGATCTCAGCTGGCAGAGGAATAAGTGGCTGAATGTCAAGAGAAGAAGAAGCAACTGAGCATCAGAGACTATGGATAGATGCAGCTTAACTTCAGAACAGCATGACTTCAGAGAGGAGCCCGAACAGAGATGGTAGGGCTTCTGGGAAAGATCACCTTCTTCCTGTACCATCCCACTTCCAGCTCCCCTTCTGCTGAGAGCCACTTCCACCACTTAATAAAATCCTCTGCATTCATCACCTTTCAAACCATTCATGTGACCTGATTTTTCCTGGACCCTAGACAAGAATTCTGGATGCACTGAGTGCAGGAATCCAAAAAGGCGGTCAAACTGACTCTTCATTGAGTTGTTTAACACTTAAGCCATCCACAGATGGCAAAGCTAAAAGAGAATTAATTGTAACACAGCCCCAGATGCTGCCATGAGGACAGAAAGTGCTCACCCGGGCCCTGGCACCCACTCACCTGCGTGCTCCCTCCCATAAGGGGTTGAGCCCAGCAAATTTGAGAGAATAAAGTTTATCATTGCCAGTGCAAAAGTGGCCTGCTGGATCCAGAACCAGAATGGACTTCATGCCACTGAAATGTACCCTTAAAAATGGTTAAAGTGATTAAATTTAGGCCAGGCACGGTGGCTCATGCCTGTAATCCCAGCACTTTGGGAGGCTGAGGTGGGTAGATCACAAGTTCAGGAGATTGAGACCATCCTGGCTAACACGGTGAAACCCCATCTCTACTAAAAATACAAAAAATTAGCTGGGCGTGGTGGCAGGCACCTGTAGTCCTAGCTACTCGGAAGGCTGAGGCAAAAGAATGGTATGAACCCGGGAGGCAGAGCTTGCAGTGAGCCGAGATCAAGTCACTGCACTCCAGCCTGGGCGACAGAGCGAGACTCCTTCTCAAAAAAAAAAAAAAGTGATTAAATTTATATTGTATATATTACCCCAATAAATAAACACCTACATTTCTAGAGACCAGAAAATGAGGAAACTGCCAGGAAGATGGAACAGAAAGAAGAATCATCCTCTTATAGTAGAAATGTGTGAGAGAGTGCTGGTTCCCTGAGAATCAGAGATTCCCCACAAAGGGGGTGTCTTACCAGGAGAGGTTTTCAGACCCCAATTGGCCTCCTGAATTCTTGGTGTTTCTGGCTTTTGTTGGTACCTTCCCCTTATTATCCCACACCAAATGATTAGATTAAATTTTATTTCTGCCTAGTGTAAAGAGAATCAAGGGTCATAATTCTTTGGTTTCTGAGAACATACAATTAATGACTTTTCTTGCAGAGAATGTCTGAAATTAGACTCCTGATCCACATCCTCTTTCCTTTTTATTTATTTATTTTTAATTTTTATTTTTGTCTTAAGTTCTGGGGCACATGTGCAGGATGTGCAGGTTTGTGACATAGGTAAACATGTGCCACGGTGGTTTGCTGCACAGATCAACCCATTACCTAGGTATTAAGCCCCACATCCATTAGCTGTTCTTCCTAATGTTCTCCCTCCCCCCAAACAGGGAGGGGAAAACACATACACCCTCCTTTCTTTTTTTTTTTCCAAGAAGGAGTCTTGCTCTGGCACCCAGGTTGGAGTGCCATGGCGTGATCTTTGCTCACTGCAACTGCAACCTCTGCCTCCTGGGTTCAAGTGATTCTCCTGCCTCAGCCTTCCAAGTAGCTGGGATTACAGGGGGGCATCACTATGCCTGGCTAATTTTTTTTTTTTTTTTAGTAGAGATGGAGTTTCACCATATTGGCCAGGCTGGTCTTGAACTCCTGACCTCATGATCTGCCCACCTTGGCCTCCCAAATTGCTGGGATTACATGCGTGAGCCAATGCACCCAGCCACACACCCTCTTTTTTATGTTCTCTTCCTTTTAGGATTCTTTCAAGGTAAATGACAACAAAATCATGGAGTTTTATATACGAGAAACATGGCTTTTATTCAGACATCTGGTTTCTCTCACTACCTTAAGTTCTGGGAACTTTGCATCTTCCATCCATCATCTCTACCATCGTGAGTAAAACCAGTGTCATCTTTACATAACATGCAGAAGCTAAATTAAAATATATGAGTGTCAATCAATACAGAAATTTCAATTCCCATACCAAATTGCACAATATTTCAAATTACAGCATAAAATATACCTTTAAGATTATGATCCCATAAAAGAAAACAAGATCTCTCTGCATGTGCTGACATACAAGATCATTGATGACAGATTATTAATTGAAGAAATCATATTGCAAAACCAGATATCTATAGATTCATAGAAATATATCTGGAAGACTTTCACAGTTTTCTTTATACATTCTGTGTATTTGGATTCTTTGACAAATAGGTTAAAATTGTGTGTCTTAGTCCATTTGGGCTGCTATAACAAAATACCTGAAGCTGAGCAAATTTTAAGAATGGAAATGTATTTCTTACAGTTCTGGAGGCTGGGAAGTCCAAAATCAAGGTGCTGGCAGATTCAGTGTCTGGGGAGGGCTGCTCTCTGCTTCCAAAATGGTGCCTTGTTGCTGTGCCCTCCTGCCGTAGAAATTCTGTGTCCTCACATGGTAGAAGGTGAAAAGGCAGAAAAAGTCTAGCTAGGTCCCTTTAGCCTTTTTGTGAAGGCACTAATACCATTCATGAGGGCAAAATAATCACCTTCCAGATATCTCACTTCTTAATACCATCACCTTGGGCATTAAGTTTTAACAGATAAATTTTGGAAGGACACAAGCATGCAAATCACAGCATCGTGTTAACATATGTTGCAAAAAAAGACCTCTAGATATTTTGATCTGGACTCATGTTTAAAAGTGAAAGAGATTATGCCTTTTATAAGCTGGGTATGGTGGCTCACACCTGTAATCCCAGCACTTTGGGAGGCCAAGGTAGGCAGATCACCTGAGGTGAGGAGTTTGAGACCGGCCTGGCCAACATGGTGAAACCTCATCTCTACTAAAAATACAAAAAATTAACTGAGCATGTTGGCGCATGCCTGTAATCTCAGCTACTTGGAAGACTGAGGCACGAGAATCACTTGAACCCGGGAGGTAGGCATTACGGTGAGCCAAGATTGCGCCACTGCACTCCAGCCTGGGTGACGGAGTGAGACTTTGACTCAAAAAAGAAGAAGATTATGACTTTTATATTCATGTCTCTATTCTCAGCATGGAGCAGACATCTTAGCTGATATGTTCTCAATTTGTACTTCTAAAAGCATGAATGAATGAGATGACAACATGGCATGTAGTGCCTTATCAGCCTGAGCAACTGGGGACTCTCAATATTTGAATGCACAATGAACATACATTTACTATATTTAGGAATAGGTAAGCTGGTACTCGTTAAAAATTAGAGTTTATAAGAATAATGTATGTAAGACTCATTTTAAAAAGCTGTTTGGAAAACTGCAAACAGGTCTTAAGAATAACATGGATTAAATAGTGGCAGAGGAAACACTTAGAATGAAGGAATCTGGGTGCATGGTGGTAAAGTCAACTGAGTGAATAGTTCCAGATTGAAGAAAGGGTGTTGAAGAAGTAGTGACTTTATATGCATTATGAATTTTTCTGACTCTGTTTAATTTTTTTTTCTTATTTGTTAAGGCCAGTCAACAGATTATCTGAGAAAGCTAAATAACAAATAGCAGGACAACAACATGAGAAATGAGGGCACATACTTTTGAGAAAATACATTTTAAGACAGCAATTCATGCTCCAAATTAACAAATATACAAAATAAGACTTCGTGTCAGAGTCTAGTCTTAGTGGGACAAGCAGGAAAATTTAAAAGTTCAACATAACATCATCTTGTAAAGGGCTTTCTACAAAGAAACAGTAACTTCAGTATGAAGTAGTCTTGTTAACCCAATAGGCACCATTTTCAGGTCGTGATGTAATTTATGGAATGTCTTTACACATCTTAGTTTGTTTTTGTTTTTTGTTTTGTGGTTTTTTTGTCAAAGATCTCTTTGAATGAAGGGGGGCCACAGGCATTATCTCAGCTCTGAACCCTGAGTAATGGAGGCTGATTGATACTGAACATCGCAAAATTCCCATATGAACACAAGACAGAGACCACTAACATGTCCCACTATTATTTTATTCCCATTTAAGTGCATGCTTGTCTATATTCTGCAGCTTCTAAAACTGATAACATGGATTAAGGCATATTTAAATGTCATTTGGGTAGCCTTTTTCTTAATAATTTTCCCATAATTGTGTTTTTTAACACATATTTCCTTATTTAAAATTTTTTATTTCCATAGGTTATTGGGGAACAGATGGTATTTGGTTACATAAGCTCTTTAGTGGTGATCTGTGAGATTTTGGCACACCTGTCATCTATAATGTGCATATGTATTATATGTATACTTGCACATAAATATTATTATAAATACTCATATAATACAATAATATAAATATTACATATAACATAATGTGTATATGTACATGTGTATACTTATATATAAATACTATATGTAAATAAATAAAATATATGTACATAAATAAATATAATATATAGAAATATATATGTATACTTATATATATTATGTATAAATATAATACAGACATATAAATAAATATATTTCTATATTTATTTATATTATATTATATTATATATAAAGATTTTATATTATATTATATTATATATAAAGATATTATATTATATTATATATAGAAATACTTATATAATAAATATAATATTAATATAGAAATATTATATTTATATTATATTTATATATGTATATTTTATTTATATAAATAAATATATAAATATTATATAAAATAAATATTATATGAATATATAAATAATATAATATTAACATAATATATAAATATAATATTTATATTATATACTTACAATGTAAATATATATTACAATGTGTATATGAATTATATATGTATACTTATATACAAATATTATGTATAAATAAATATAATATACATATATAATTAAATTTATATGTGTATATTTTATTTATATAAAAGAATACATATGTAATATGTAAATATTATATTAGATAATATTTAGCATATTATGTAATGATATGTGTTGTTATATTAAGTAATTATGTATTTATGTGTGTGTGTGTATATATGTATGTGTGTGTGTGTGGTGTGAACATATATAAGGTCCAGTAAGGTTCACAGTCTTACACAGAGAACATGGGCATAATGGAAATAGCTATTTCATATTTTGAACTGATGCCACTAAAAGCATTCTCACTGAGACCTGACAGTGTGATAGCTGTTTCTGTGCATTGTTGCAGATTTCCGTATGTTTCAAACACAGCCTCCAAATGCTATGTTTAACATGTATGTAGTCATCAACCAAGAGATACTCAAACAAAAATACTTTTCAAAATTGGTAGCCTAATTCCAGATGTCTAGTTTTCACCCTTCCTTGTATTTTACAACCTCCCTCTCTATTTTTCTGTTACTTGAAGAATGCTGCTGTAAAAAACATTCTGGGCTTATTTTCCTCAGAATCACTTAATAGTCCAATAATAACTATAGACATTGTGAATTAGTTTGGTTGATAGAATCTCTTATCTCCTCCCCATGGTGGTAGAAAATGAACAAAATTATTTTAACATTTGCAACTAGTTATTTTAATCAGACATATTGATACATTCCAGAGTAAGGTATAAATTGGGTAATGGATTTTTCTCGGATTAATTCTCTCACATTTTTAGTAATATGAAATTTTCTTTCAATCACCAAGCTATTATTTTGTGTAAAAATCACTTGATAAAAGAAAAATATTCTGACTTCATTAACTTTGAGTGCTGGATATTTGGCTAAATTATCCTGCCTATAACTGAGTTTGACAGCCCGATGCAAAATGCAAAACCAACAATTTTCCTTGAAAGATCGATCCTTCATTGAGGTTTATTACAGTGAGGAAATATTGCTTCTTAGATACTTTTCCATCTTCTTTCCATCAGTAACACCATTCTCGGTTTCTGGTAATAGCCTGCAATGGATTATTAGATAAATGCCTTTTTAATATAGAGAATCCAGGTGTGGTGGTCAAATACTATGATTGAGTAGCTTTCATCTCTCAGCTTCATTAAGCAGGGACTGGGTATAATGCTCTTTTCTCACTTATTCTGCTTGGGCTGCCAACATTTTCCTGTGGCTGTGAATGATGACAGCTCATCCATTATTTTATGAAAATACAGAAATATTTCCATCTCTATGTTACGTATTTCTCTATTCCCAAAGACTGGCAATTGAGAAAGCCGCTTCCGTGTTACCGGCACTAACTTACCTCCATTTTCTTCCCTAGCAGACATTTCCAAAATTGGCATAAAAATTCAGAATTGCTAATCATAGGTTTCCATTGATTCAGATTATGTTTTGTCCCTCTTTAAGAGTTTACTCTTGGAGGCATGGACAAAAATCAGGACATCGATGATAATCTGTAAAACATTCAATGACGGCAGTAATACCTAAACGATTTCCTTTTCAAAGCCTCATAACTATAATTCTCACTCTCTGAAGAGATTCCAATGTGCTGGACAGCAGTCTCCTCATAAGAACTGAGAAATTACTCAGGTCTTGAATCACAGTTGATTGACGCATCATTAAACACTCATTATTATGATGGGTGAAAGCAGCCTCTTTTGTAAGCTTCAGATTTATATGTTCATACACAGGAAAGGAAACCACAAGATTCTTATGAGCTTGGAATTTTTTTTAGCAGCTGAGCAACGTAAGAAGGGATAGGCAAGTGTACCCAAGCTCCAGGGAATATATCTAGTGCAAATTTTATCTACCTTAAAGTGGAATTCACATCCCCAATGTCATTCAACAGGTAAATGCAGAAACTGCAGCGCATCCAGCAATGGAATACAACACCCAAAAGAAATGAGCTACAAAGCCCTGAGAGACACAAAGGAAACTAAAATGCATATTACTAAGTGGAAGAAGCCAGTCTGAAAAGGCTGCATATTGTATAGGAACATTCTGGAGAACTATGAAGATAGTAAAAAGATCAATGGTTCCCAGGAATTGGGGAGAAGAAGGGATGAATAGGTGGAGAACAAGATTTTTAGGGTGGTGAAACTATTCTTTGTGATGCTATAATGAAGGGTACATGCAATTTTACATCTATCCAAACCCACAGAATGTACAACACCAATAATGAATCCTACTATAAACTACTATGGACTTTGGATGATAATGACGTTCCCACGTAGGTCCATCAGTCGCAAAAAATGTACCACTCTGGTGGGGGATGTTGACAGTGAGGGAGGTTGTACATATGTATGGTTAAGAGATGTATAGCTGGCCAGACATTGTGGCTCATGCCTGTAATCCCAGAACTTTGAGAGGTTGAGACGGGCCGATGGCTTGAGACCAGGAGTTCCAGACCAGCCATGGGCAACAAGGCAAAACCCCGTCTCTACGAAAATATACCAAAAAAAAAAAAAATTAGCCAAGCATGGTGGCATATACCTGTAGTCCCAACTACTTGGGAAGCTGAGGCAGGAGAATCACCTGAGCCTGGGAGGTAGAGACTGCTGTGAACCATGATCGTGCCACTGCACTCCAGCCTAGGTGACAGTGAGATCCTGTCTCAAAACAAAAACAAAATAAAAGAGATATGTGAAATCTCTGTATTTTCCACTCAATTTTGCTGTAAAGCTAAAACTGCTTTTAAAGTTTCAAAATAATAATAATCACATGAAAACCAAAAAAAAAGTCTATCAATTTTGAATGAAATTGGTTGTCCTGAGAATTATGAGTTTGCTAGGATTTTGAAATAGGTTGCTGCCTTGGGAGAGAGGTTAGATAAAATGGTTTTGTCCATTTACTGCTTGAAAATTATAGGGTGATATGTAAACTTTCCTTTTCTTGGGGTATCTAGGCCACAATTTAAAGAATTCTAGGAAGTAATTTAAAAGTAAATCTTTTTTTTTTTTTTTGGCTGGGCGTGGTGGCTCACACCTGTAATCCCAACACTTTGGGAGGCTGAGGCGGGCAGATCATGAGGTCAGGAGTTTGAGACCAGACTGGCCAACATGGTGAAACCCCGTCTCTACTAAAAATACAAAAATAAGCTGGGCGTGGTGGTGTGTGCCTGTAGTCCCAGCTACTTGGGAGGCTGAGGCAGGAGAATCGCTTGAACCCAGGAGGCGGAGGTTGCAGTGAGCAGAGATCGTGCCACTGCACTCCAACCTGGTGACAGAGTAAGACTCCGTCTCAAAATAAATAAATAAATAAATAAATAAATAAATAAATAAATAAACATAAAAAATAAAAAAGTAAGTCTTTTTAAAGATGGAGGGAAAAATGCATGGGCTTTGAAATGAAGAAAATAAAATTATTAGTGAATCACCTAAAGATTATTGTTGCCTGGAGATCATTTTTAACCCATTCTTAATGACAGCATTCTGTTTTTTCAGTAGTTCACATTAAATGCTGGAAACCATTCTACTGTGGCTTCACAGTATAATCAATAATGCAAACACAATAGCACGGCAATATGATGAATTACGGAAATTAATTGATATTCTGTCACACGTTTTAGTCTTGAAGCTGAAAATGATCCCTGTTCATCTTCCTGAAACAGGTTTGAGACTTACATGGAATGATGAACATTCTAAATACATAAACTTTGATGTTCCGAAGAGTATCTGCAGCTGGACCATCTCATAGATGTAAGAGAATCTCTTTGTGACATACTTTGTTCCACTCTGATTGACCATTTCAATCTCTGTCTTATAAAAAAAAGATTAAAATCATACTTTGCTCAACAGCTAGAAATCTCACCTAGAAAACCTCTAATGTTATAAGTACATATATTATCTATGTGCTTAAATATTTTTGATTATGAAGAATTAACATTTCCAAGAGCTGATATATTTAAAAGGGGAGAGTGGAAAAGAAAGAAGAAACAGGAAGCATGGGGCACTAGAGCGAGTGCAGATTGTCTCTATTCCTTTGCAATAGTTTTCCATTGCAAATATGGAAATATATCATTTTAGAAAATGATTAATATATAGACATCGAAGACATCTTTTAACATGGTCTGTTCATAAGAACTGATAATAAAAATCTGGATAGCTAAGTGAGTGTTTATCTTTGCTCATTGCTTTCCTTCCTACTAGGATGTCATAATTCTTCAACGTGTGTCAACATGTGTGGGAGATAATAGTGCAAGATGCTATATGTGAGAGAATTTGAAAACATTAAAACAAATAATGCATTATAAAATGTGTAACTTTTACACTCATTTATAATATTCTGAAAAAGAGAATCCTTCATACATATCTTCAACTTTATTTTCCCTAGCCAAGGTTCAAAAGTATACACTATAAATTGTGTGCTTTTAAAATGCTGTGAGAAAGTATGCCTTCAGTCGGCCTGGTTTTAGAATATCAGTGTTTTAGCCACGCTGGTAGATAGAATACTCCTCCGATTTGCAATGCTTCCATCCAAAAATACAAACAGGCTCCACAAATACAGGATCTAAAAATAAACAGGGGTGTTTTCAAATAAATCCCTGTATGTGTTCACGGTGACATACATTACTAGACCATTGAGGAGACCTCCTTTATGAACCACGTTAGAGATCAGATTTCCATAACGTACAAGCCAAAAGTTCTTCGTCTTACAACAAAAAAAAATATGGATATGAAACAAAAACAGTATGCTCATTTTTAGGCAAAAAACAAGTCTAACTCACCCTTCCCCAAACAAGCCAAACCATATAAAAGCTCTTGACCCACAGCCGCAGATGAGATTGTGGAAGAAGTTTGTTTTGGTTAAAATGTAAAATTTAGTTTTTAGTAGCCCCTGTCTCTTCCCCACGAAATTTGCCGAAGCTTTCAAGAGTTTTTAAAATATTTTCCAGAAGGCTTATGTGTACAAACCAAGCCAGGCAGCTCACTCTGGTTATACAATTCTTGGCTTAAGCTGTAAATTGGGCACTGAATTGGAGGCAGATGTTCAGAAAAGATTTGGGTGATAATAATTAATGACTGCATGATGATAAAATGTTCCTGCCTAAATTATAACATTCATCATACTCTCCCACCACCTTATTTTGCTATTAGAAAATAGTTTGAAATAATGCAACATTGGCTGTGTTTGGATTTTTCTATAATTAAAATAGACTCAAGATGGGGTACTGTGGATCAAGTTCTGGGCAACTGGCCTGTCTCCCATCCCTTTAGTCTGTCTGAATCTTTCAAGGGAATGAAGCTGTTTTATTAACATCAGTCATTACAATAAATGAGTTATTTACTGGGTTGTTAGAACAAGGGGGAAATATTTTTTAAGTTTTAAGTTTAGAGATACATGTGCAGGTTTTTATATAGGTAAACACGTGTCATGGGGGGTTTGTTGTACAGATTATTTTATCACCCAGTTATTAAGCCTAGTATCCATTAATTATTTTTCTTGATCCTCTCACTCTTCCCACCCTCCACCCTCCATTAGGTCCCAGTGTGTGTTGTTCCCCTCGACATAGGTGTTGTCCATGTGTTATCATTATTTAGCTCCCACTTACAAGTAAGAACATATGGTATTATTTTGTTTTCTGTTACTACATTAATTTGCAAAAGACAATGGCCTCCAGCTCCATCCATGTTCCTGAAAAACACATGATCTCATTCTTTTTTATGGCTGCATAATATTACATGGTGTATATGTACCACATTTTCTTTATCCACTCTATCATTGATGGGTAGGTTGATTCCATGTCTTGTTATTGTGAATAGTGCTGCAATGAACATACACACATGCGTGTGTTTTTATAATAGAATAACTTATATTCACAAGGGGGAAATACAGAAATAATCAATTTTCTTCTTCTAAACTAGAATGCAAAAAAATTATAATCACTTGTTTTCTCCGTAAGGAGGCTGGATTCAAATGTGCTGTGAATAGCTTTTCCTGATCTTATAGTTTTCAGGATTGATTTTGACCCTAAGGCAACATCTCAACAAAGGACATATTTATCATTACTGCACGTCTGCTGACCTTTAGTCCATTTCATTAAGGTTTACTAATGTTTTTCCACCCACAGCTCTTATGCATCAGACCAAGAAAAATTTATTCCTTGTGTCTCTTTTTAATGCCATTACCTCTTAAATGGTGGTGGTAGAAGCTCAGGTTCAATATGTTGATGCTATTTGCTAATGCAAACGATTAAAACATGTCAATGATCAGACCATTTTTACAAGCCCCAAAATCACTCATATGGATTTTATACCTGAAACAAAAAGTCTTTCCACAGGAATTTTCAATATTAGAATGGCCAGTCTTCTTTTCATCCATTTCTGTATATGCATGTGTGTGAAGGAACACACAGCCACACTCATTTACAATATTCTGCAAAGGAGAATCCTTCATAGGTATCTTCAGCTTTATTCGCCCTAACCAAGGTTCAGCTATCACCAGCAAAAAAAAAAAAAAAAAAAAAAAAAATCACAGCTATCATTATATCATTGCCTTTTGCAGAGGGGAGATGTCACCTTCACCTAAGCACTCTCAGGCATAGCTTTTAAACTGCATTTGTAATGAAAAATATTATACAAGGGTATAAAGAGTGGTGTGGGTGTGGACAGGTTGCCTAATATAGCTGAAACTTCCCTTTTGCGACACAAAATGCAGGAAAATGATGGCACAATATTAAGATAGCTATTGAGGAATAATATCTGTGACCTCATGTGTTATATCTGGTAAGGGTTCCAGGTGCAAATGTGGCAAACACCTATTTTAGGATATAAAAGTTTTCACAGATGAATAAATTTATGACATATTCATTGTTTAAAAAAATTAGTAGAACATATGTAGAAATAGAGAAAAATGAAGAAGAACTTAGGATGAACAATGAAGAAGACATATTCAATGAGTCAAAATTGATGCATATCAAATACTTCTGGAAATAAAAGATATAATGAAATGAAAAAGTAATCAAACTTTTACAAAACTATGTGCATAGCTTATATACAATTAATATATATAAAAATGTAGCACAAAATAAAATTTAGATCAATCTAAATCATGAATGTATATAAGGTTAAAAATGAAATGTTAAAATTTATAAAATTCATATATATGAAACACATAAAATTTATATTATATAATATATAAATGTAGTACACAATAAAACAGATCAACCTAAATTATGACTATATGTAAGAAATGAAAACTATAATGTTAAAATGAATACAACTTATATGTATACAATTTTTTAATGTAATTTATATTATATTCAGTTTACATATGCAAGTATACCAGCACAAAAGAAAACAGGTTAATCTAAATTATTACTGTGCATAAAAATGAGAACTAAAATGTTAAAAGGCAATGATTTTAACATTATATTAAAGATAATACAAAATGCGTGGCTTCATGGTTTTAGGGATATTCTCTAAGTTTTTTGTTCTTTTTCTTTTTTTTGTTTTGTTTTGTTTTTTTTTAAGAGAGTCTTGCTCTGTTGCTCAGGCTAGAGTGCAGTGGGATGATCACAGCTCACTGCAGCCTTGACCTTCCCAGGGCTCAAGCAATCCTACCACCTCAGCCTCCTGAGTAGCTGGGACTATAGGCCTGAGCCACCACACCTAGCTAATCTTTTCTTTTCTTTTCTTTTCTTTTCTTTTCTTTTCTTTTTTTTTTTTTGAGATGGAGTCTCACTCTGTCGCCCAGGCTGGAGTGCAGTGGCAAGATCTCGGCTTACTGCAACCTCCGCCTCCTGGGTTCACGCCATTCTCCTGCCTCAGCCTCCCGAGTAGCTGGGACTACAGGCGCCCGCCACCACACCCAGCTAATTTTTTAATATTTTTAGTAGAGACGGGGTTTCACTGTGTTAGCCAGGATGGTCTCGATCTCCTGACCTTGTGATCCACCCACCTCGGCCTCCCAAAGTGCTGGGATTACAAGGGTGAGCCACCACGCCTGGCCTCTTTTCTTTTCTTTTCTTTTCTTTTCCTCTTTTTGTATTCTTTGCAGAGATGGGGCCTCACTTTGTTTCCCACGCTGGTCTTGAACTCCTGAGCTCAAGTGATCCTCCCACCTCAGCCTCCCGAGTAGTTGGGACTACAGGCCTGTGCCACCATGCCTGGCTAATTTTTCTTTTTTTTCTATTTTCTTTTGTATTTCTTGTAGAGATGGGGCCTCACTTTGTTTCCCAGGCTGGTCTTGAATTCCTGAGCTCAAGTGATCCTTCTGCGCCTTCCTCCCAAAGTACTGGGATTACAGGCATGGGCCACCATGCCCAGCCTCCTCTAAGTTTAAAAGTTTGTTGAGCATTTGATTGTACATTAATATAGTTAAGCATATGAGCAAATGATATCCATTTAGTATATAAGCCTAACCCCACAGAAGTCAAGGCATGAGGTAACAGTGTTCAAAATTAACTAAGTACAATAGCACTTAGTATTATAAATGTCATTTCTTTACCCCTTAATATTTATGAGACACTGGAAAAGCTCTTTTCTTAAATTATTTTATTCCATTCTCATTGCAGCCCTATACAGTAGATAACCTCATACAGATTTTCACAGATGTTGCAGCTGAGTTCAAAGAGATGTTACTCATGTTCAACCCACAGCAGATCGATATCATCAATTACTCTGTATATTAGTAAATCATAAAAAAAATTAAAATGCTATTTTTATACATACTTGCTGTTTTTTAGTAAACCAGGAATGTGATCATTCTTTATATTTTACGTATATGTATTGTGAAAGCACTATCTAATATAACATACAAGTAATATAGTTGACTTACTCTATATTTATGAATAGCTATAATTTAATCAAGAATACCCAATTTGTATCTATTTTATTCTACATGAACTACCTAATGTGATATCTCACCAATAATTAAAATTGTTGGCAAGAGATAGTAAAAATAAACCATGATGTAGGTAATGTCATTGTCTGTTAGAACAACCCACATAACCTACTTGAGGCTATTTAAGGACCTTAAGTGGATTCACTAAAATACACAGGTAAAAATCAATTTTTATTGCTTGTCATAAGGAACAAGACTATTTTGTCTGAAATTAATTTGGTAAAAAGAAATTACTGCATCATGACTATCGAAGTATAAGATCCTGAGATTAAAATGAATATGGAATACATGGAACTTTTTGAAGTAAATGAAAATGTTTCTAAAACACCAAAAAAGTGTTGAAAAACAAGCAGCTATAAAATGAGCCCACAGCTATGAAGAGCATAGAAGGACTTTTTAAAACTATTTCTGACATACTCTTTTTTTATTGTGACTTTGTTTCATTAATAAATACTGTGGTGTTCCTATTTCTAATTTATTACATTAAAATAAGCTGTGATTAATTGTGGTGTTGAGGTCAAGTCCTGACACATTTTAATTTGAGGGACAACCAGATTATTGTCAGAGAATCTCTGTGATTGGTGACAAAATCGTCCTACTGGGAAATAATCTTTTTTTCTCATTTAAGTAATTTTTCCCATGGAGATGATGGAAGGTAGGCAACACTGCAAATTTAGTATTTTTAAAAATTCTTTAATGTTTTTAACATTAGATTAGGCCATTTTTATCCAATCCTATTTCTACATGGCTGTCCATACTTTGTTGAATCAAGGCATAAAAATGGACAATTCCCCTGTATCTTTGGGTCTTCACTCTGAAGGCTCCCATGTATACACATTAAATGCATTTGTATGCCTTTTATCCTATTAATCAATCTGCCTCATGTCCATGATTTTCAGCAAACTTTTAGGGATCCAAGGGCCTTGGCCCCCACACATGGCTTTTGGTATCCATAGGGGTCCTGGAACAAGTCCCCTCCCCGACCCGCTGATACTGAGGATGATTGTAGCAGAACACTTAAGATTAGAAGGGATTTATTTGATAGTTCTTTAAAATTAGTTTTTATCCCTTGATGTTATCAAAATTTAAAGAATGAATAAGATGACTTGTTTCCCCATCTAAGACCAATTTTTCCTCGAGAGCAGCTGTGTTTATCTGCTGTGTCTCTTCTTTCAGAGGTCCCCAGTGGATCTGTGGCCTGTTAGGAACCGGGCCATACAGCAGGAGGTGAGTGGTGGGCAAGCAAGTGAAGCTTCATCTGTATTTACAGCCACTCCTCATCACTGGCATTATCACCTGAGCTCTGCCTCCTGTCAGATCAGGAACGGCATTAGATTCTCATAGGAGCGCAAACCCTATTGTGAACTGTTCAAGTGAGGGTCTAGGTTGTGTGCTCCTTATGAGAATCTAGTGCCTGATGTTTCTAGTGTCACTGTTTCTCACAACCCCTAAATGGGACTGTCTAGTTGCAGGGAAACAAGCTCAGGGCTCTCACTGATTTTACATTATGATGAGTTGTATAATTATTTCATTATATATTGCAAAGTAATTATGATAGAGGTAAAGGGCACAATTAATGTAATGTGCTTGAATCATCTGGAAACCATCCCCTAACCCCTGGTCCATGGAAAAACCGTCTTCCATGAAACTGGTCCCTGGTGCCAAAAAGGTTGGGGACAACTGTCTTATAGTATCCAGAGCTTCTAGAACAATGCCTGAGACAGAATAAGCACTCACAGTTCTTAGTGAATGACAAATAAATGAAGATCCCTGCAGGGTTAGGAGAAAACTTCAGCCTGTGGATGTTATTGCTCACATGAACTGTGATGTTCATGAGTAAGAGTGGAGCTTCTTTGGCTGGAGGAAAGAGCTTTGGTTTAGTAAGTAAAGAAAGAGTGCATTTTTGGAAGGACTTCTGACCATCTCAGGATTAGTAGGAGACTACAGAACTGGGCTTAGGAATAGGTACTCAGGAGTCAGAAAGCAGAAACTACAATGAAAGCCTCAATGTGGAAGAGTTTAGTTAAGCAAGATGCAGCTGATAGAATTCTTTGGAGAGGCTGGATGTGGTGGCTCACGCCTGTAGTCCCCACACTTTGGGAAGCTCAGGCAGAAGGATTGCTCGAGCCCAAAAGTTCAAGACCAGCCTGGGTAAGAGTAAGATCTCATCTCTAAAAAGGAAAAAATAATAATAATAATAATAAACAGGCTCAGAGGGTCAACACTCTCCAAGCCTTCCAGTCCTCTCATCAAGATTTAAATTTGTGGAAGGGGGTATCTCCCCAAGCTGTCGTATGCCACGTGCTCACCCTAGGCTGGGGGACAAAAAAAGATCTGTGGATTACCATCACCCCAGGCTACATGCAATAGAGAAGCGGTAGTATTCATAAAGAAATCAAAAAACACTTAGAAAATTGATATGAATGCAAAAAAGACAGAAAAGAGCAAGAAATACCCGGTGCAAAGACCTTTTAAATTTTTCAGAAGTCTACCTTTTCTGCATCTCACTATGACATCTGGGATATTCATATTAATGTCACTGGTAATCTTCTACGTATTGCATGTTCATGTTACACAAGCGTGTCATGTTTATCCCATTTAAATTTCATCCTATTAGTTTTGGCTCACAGGCAAGGTTCCAACTTGTGATCTAAACATTTTAGTTGCAAGACATTACTCACTCATCATATTCCTTCTTTAATTCTAGAATATATATGATCTTCCTAGTCACTGTTTGAAATGATTTCAATCCTTGAGGTTGCCTATCTATCTATCCATAAATCATACCTATCTATATATCCATTAATCATATGTATCTATTTATCCATCCATCCATCCATCCATCCATTCATCCATCTATCCATTCATCCATTCATCTATTCACTCTATCTATCTATCTATCTATCTATCTATCTATCTATCTATCTATCATCTATCTATCTCCATCTGTGTCCCTCTTTCTCTCCCTCTCTCATTCTCTCTCTCCATACATATACAGTTGGCTCTTGAACAACACAAGTTTGAACTGCATGGGTCCACTTATACGTGGATTTCCTTCCTCCTTTGCCAGCCCTGAAAGCAAGATAAGCCCCTCCTCTTCCTCCTTCTCCTCAGCCTACTCATTGACCATAACAATGATTCACTTCCACTTAATGAATAGTAGATATATTATCCTCCTTATGATTTTCTTAATAACTTTCTTTTCTCTAGCTTACTTTATTCTAAGAACACAGTATATGATACGTATAACATAAAAAATATGTGTTGATTGAATGTTTATGTTATCAGTAAGGAGTTCATTCAATAGTAGGCTATTAGTACTTAAGTTTTCAAAGAGTAAAACGTATATATGCATTTTCAACTACAGAACTACAGAGGAAGGTGGCACTCCTAACCCTGGAGTTGTTCAGGGATTAACTCTGTGCGTGTGTGTGTGTGTGTGTGTGTGTGTGTGTCTATCTTCCTTCAAACTCTTAAATAGTAGTTTCCTTGAAACTTAGTATTTGAGAAAGATAACATGAAATACAGAGCCTTGCACTGCATCCTAATAAACTTGGAATCTGCCTGGAAAATAAGATTTATTCATAATACCACACTTCTGGGGAGTGTTGCTATGATAAGCCCTGATACATTCTAAGTGTACTATCACACGGATCTCAGCTTTCATGCATTCCACAGAGATATCACAGAATTTTCAAAGCTTTGTTCACCCAGACACACCAGGCTTATAAATTTCTTTGATTTTCCTCCCTAGTGATGATATAAAGAAATAAAACAAAACCACCATATAATTATTTTGGATGAGCCCCCAAACAGCTGCATAATTATCAGATTATCAGTTGTTTACTTGGCAATTATTTAAATGCAAGGGAATAAGTAAGGAAGGGGTTAAAGAAGACCTAGACGAATGTTGGTAGCATTTTAGGGACTATAGAAAAGCAAACATAGTATGAAAGAGATGTAAAAGTATGTTTTTGTCATGTTTTAAGCGAGAGATATAAGCAAATTTAAGCAACAAAAAGAACAAACTCAGGATAGAAATGTATGAATGTGGTCGTAGGTAACTCTCAAGTGTTTTGATAAAGATTGTTGCAGAGAAGGATTTGGAATAAGTATGGAGGTGCGTCCATTCCGGAAGCTTGGAGAATGCTGACGTTTAGAAAGTGCTGAGAGACAAATGTCTGGCACCATCATGGAATCTTCCTTTAAGGTTGTATACACATGTCTCATAGTCACTATGGTAGAAGAATCAAGGACTGTGAATATTGAAGAGGCAAAGTCAGTGAGATTTTAGGAAAGACTGAATGGGTGGTTTATGAATGAGCACAGTCATCTCTTATGCATCTCTTCCCTGAACACAAACAAACCAACAAGGAGATCCAGCAACGGAACTGGAAACCTCATCATTGAAAGAACTTGTGAGCAACTCCACTACTCACTCACAATGGATGCAGAAACTCAATGAAATTTACACAGATGGGAGGGGTGCATTATGGATTGTGTTCCACAAAATAATTATCTACAAAAATATGAATTACTAACCTGACTCCAAGGGGATTTTGAAAACCAAGTGTAATTATTGCCAGGAAGCATAAGAAATTATCAGGGAGTGATCCCTAATACCCCAAAGCCCAGTGCATTGAGAGTCAAGTTCTATTAAAACCTTGAAAGACAGATCATTTCAGTGTTTTAAAAAAATTATTCTGGCTGGGGCCGGGCATGGTGGCTCATGCCTGTAACCAGTCCCAGCACTTTGGGAGGCCTAGGCGGGTGGATTACCTGAGGTCAGCAGTTTGAGACCAGCCTGGCCAACATGGTGAAACCCCATCTCTACTAAAAAAATACAAAACTTGGCCGGGCATGGTGGCATATGCCTGTAATCCCAACTACTCGGGAGGCTGAGGCAGGAGATCACTTGAACTCGGAAGGCAGAGGTTGCAGTGAGCTGAGATCGTGCCATTGCACTCCAGCCCAGGTGACAGAGCAAGACTCCATCTCAAAAAATAAAGAAAGAAAGAATTCTGGCCTGGTGCAGTGTGGCTCACGCCTGTAATCCCAGCACTTTAGGAGGCCAAGGTGGGCGGATCACCTGAGGTGGGGAGTTCGAGACCAGCCTGACCAACATGGATAAACCTCATCTCTACTAAAAATACAAAATTAGCCGGGCGTGGTGGCGCATGCCTGTAATCCCAGCTACTCGGGAAGCTGAGGCAGGAGAATCACTTGAACCCTGGAGGCAGAGGTTGCAGTGAGCCGAGATCGCGCCATTGCACTCCAGCCTGGGCAACAAGATCGAAACTCCGTCTCAAAAAAGAAAAAAACATTATTCTAGAATGCAGGGAAAGGAGAAAAAATCATTGATTTTTATATACTTCCAGGCACAGAGATTTAAGAACCTTTTTCAAAAGAAAGCTATAAAGCAACTCCCCTTACAAATGTGACTAAGTTTAAGTAAAATATTTTGAAAGTATAATATAGCAGCACATTTTTAAATGTATACCTATTATGTGGGGGTTCACACCAGAAATAAAGAATAATTCATTATAAAACAGAAATATATTAATTTCATTTTGCAGATAAAGAATTCATAGAGAAAAAAATTATAAATATCATCATAGAACATGAAAAGACACATCGATTTGTTATTTTCAAATAGAAAACAAATTGGAAAAACATTTTAATATTGTATATGCACGTTTATAGAGACAGAAATGAGAATTGTGTTTAGTGGTAAAAACATAGAAATTCTTGCAACATCACAACTTTTTGAAAGATGTTCCCCACCACACCATGAAGAGTATTATGGAAGTTGTACTCAAAGCAATTTGACACAAGAAACATGAGAAATAGAAAATTGGAAAGCAGATGACAAATAGATAATTACATATATTTTGCATAAATGAAAATGTTATAACTATCGGAAAAAAATCTTTCAAACATAGTAAAACTACTAAATAAAGTTTCAAACTACAAATTAATATCTTATTATGCACAAACATATTTTACCTCTCCTGAAGCAGGAGGATCACTTAAGGCTGGGAGTTTGAGACCAGCCAGGGCAACCTAGGAAAACTCTGTCCCTAAAAATTTAATTAGCTGGGTGTGGTGGTGCAGGACTATAATCCCAGTTACTCGGAAAGCTGAAGTGGGAGGATTGCTTGAGACCAGGAGTTTGAGACCAGCCTGGGCAACACAATGAGATCCTTGTCTCTAAAAAATAAAAAATAAAAAATTATCCAGGCATAGCAGCTCATTCCTGTAATAGCTGCAACTTGGGAGGTTGAAGTGGGAGGATTGTTTGAGCCCAGGAGTTGAGGCTGCAGTGAGGTATGATCATACCACTGCACTCCAGCCTGGGTGACAGAGTGAGACCCTGTCTCTTAAAAAAGAAAAAAATTCTGCCTTTACATGTACCATCTTAAATACAAACAACAACCAAATAGAACTTAATAACAGAAAGATTTAATTGCAATACTAACAGAAAATGAAAATAGCAGTTATTTAATATGCTACTAGGGGTCGGGCATGGTGGTTCATGCCTCTAATTCAGCACTTTGGGAGGCCGAGGTGGGTGGATCACTTGAGGTTAGCAGTTCGAGACCAGCCTGGCCAACATGGTTAAACCCTGTCTCTACTAAAAATATAAAAAATTAGCTGGGCATTGTGGCGCACACCTGTAATCCCAGCTATTTGGGAGGCTGAGGCAGGAGAATCGCTTCAGCCTGGGAGACAGAGGTTGCGGTGAGCTGAGATCCCACCACTGCACTCCAGCATGAGTGACAGAGTAAGATTCTGTCTCAAAAAAAAAAAAAATATATATATATATATATATATATATATATATACATATATATGCAACTAGGGAATATATCAAGAGATATTATGCCACCCATGATGTAACCTATTTCAGCTTCATAGTACACAATGGGTTCAACATAAATGAAATGTCCTTGATTTTTCTAACAGGTGAAAGTACACACATTGGAAATTCTTGCCCTTGGTGATAAGATGAAGAGCATTAAACCCCACAATGACTCTTTGTAGCTGAGGGTCAGTGAGACTGAGGACACTGTCTTAGTCCATTGGGACTGCCACGACAAAATATCATAAACCAGGCAGCTTAGAAACAACAGACATTTATTTCTCACAGTTCTGGAGGCTGGAAGTGCAAGAATAAGGTGCTAGAACGTTCAGTTCCTGGGGAGGGATATTTGCCTGGTTCATAGTTAGTGCCTGCTCACTGTGTCCTCACATGGTAGAGGAGAGAGCCATTGTGTTTCTTCTTCTTTTTATAAAGACACTAGTCCCATTTTGGGGACCCACCCTCATGACTCCATCTAAACGTAATCACCACTTAAAAGTCCCACTTCCCAATACTATCCTATTGGGGGTTAGGATTTCAACATATGAATTTGGAGGGGACATGAATTTTCATTCCATAATGGACATGTCTTCATTTTCACCCCAGTGATCTTCAGTAGCATTCAGTAGCATCTCAGTAGCATCCAAGGATGTAGTGATGTAGGATTTTTCTTCTTGGTTACTTTGCAAGCTGGGGATCTCTGGCCAGTGAAGCTCTGCCCAGGCCTTGCTTGACCACACTAACCTGCTGCAGGACACAGCCACTCAATTGGCCACTCGAGCAGAATCTGGCTTGTGCACTGGCTCAGCCCATGGCTGGGAAGGGCATGCTCCAGCTCGCTTGTATTATAGCTTGTAGTTGCCTTTGGTGGTTCCCAAGCTCCTGTACTACACCCAAGAAGAATGAGGATACACTGGACATTAAAGGGTGAGGAGTGTGGAGAAGAATTTTATTGAGCAACAGAACAGATCTCAGTGGAGAGGGGATGTGGGGGTGGTCCCCCATCCCAGCAGTCAGGTGGTTCTCTCCTCCCCTTGTGGCTGGGTCTGGAGCTTTTTATGGGCTCAGAATAGGGGAGGGGTCGGCTGTAGGTGGTATTGGAAAAGGCAACACTCGATTGGTTAAAAGGCATTATTCAGAAAGAATCAATCAGGAAAGGGTGGGCAAATAGGAACAGAAGTTCTCACTCTGGGTCGCAGGTTTAATCCGGGACCAACAGTCCAGTCTTTCAGCCTTCAGGCTGCTTTTGGCTTGAAGGTGGGGTTTTACCGGAGACCTGCCCCTATCTGCCTAGGCATTTGGCTGGCTCCTGTCTCTATCAGTAGGGTGAGCAGAGGCCTGGAGTGGAGGGGACAGGGACCCCCAGGACTGAGGTTACAGCACCCTGAAGGCGTAAATTTTCAATTCCACATCTTTCAGTCTCTCCAGGTTCCCAGTATCCCAGCTGCTTCTTTTTTTGGGGGCCAACGCTATCATTTGAGAGCCTTGTTCTATTGCTACATGAACACGCAGATATTTTAAGACACTCAAAGGCACTTTACTGCTCAATTTGGAAAACCACCTTTATTAAAAACATTTCCTCTTTTGTTTGTCTCCTGCTTCTTCTCTTTCACTTACTATTATATAGACATTAGTTTCTGAATAAAAAGAAGGCCTCATAGATATGCATCTGTATCTCAAGGAAATACTAATATTTAGGCTGTATCTCAAGGAAATACTAATATTTACTACCATGATTGTGGGGCTACAATATGGGGAGAGAGAAATTGAGTAGAGAAAACCAATAGGATGGCAAAAACTGAGGATGTGGTTGGAGACATGACCAATGGGTCCTATGGCTTGCTTTTAGGAACTATTCCTAGTTCTCATCAGTGGAATTGAGGCAAGAGTGATGTATGGCATATGCCTATTATGTGTACCTAGACTCCTCCAAACCTCGCTCTCTCTATCATCCTATTTGGCAGCTAAATGTTGATGGTCAGGGTGACCTCAATGTGCTTTGTCTTTGAAGAAGAAAGTAGACAGGACACCTATCTCTCCCTACCATGGAGACAACCTATAGTGGACTTCAGTCTTCGCAAGAAATGAACTTTTGTTGGGTGAAGCCACTGGGATTTGGGGGTTGTTCCTACAGCAAGAAGCCTCTCCTGACACATTTGGATCCAGATATTCATAGCTGAGGCGTTTTGGCAAATCACTCTCACATGGAAACTCAGTTCATTTATTGTTTATAAAGGAGTTAAAGGTACCTAGCTTCTCACCTATATAGTGGAAAGTATTGGAGGCAATCCATGAAAATGATATGAGAATCATTACTTTAAAAACCTTTACATGGCTAAGAAATAATTAGTTCACTTGTAAATGTAATTTTGGTTTCCTCTGTAAATATAACCTGGCACTTGGACAATCTGTGTCAACCTCAGATTCTATCCATTCCTTGCTTTATTTTAAAATTTTAAACACCTTTTCCCCTTGCAGTTGATATTTTGCAAACTTGGAAAGCAAGAAAACCACAAAAACATTAAAAGAATCTTAAGGTAACCATTACATATGAGAGAATAATCTCAATTAATGAAGTTTAACTCAACTGAGCTTGCTTATTTTGGTTTCATAGATTAGTGCTTAGCCAATTCTCAATTTGATTTTTTTTCTTCTTTTAGCCTTTTTTCTTGTCTCTCTTGGTGTGGTTGGTGAAATGGAAATGAAGACTGATAAGCCTGACATGATGTTATTGGTTTTTTCTCCCCCTGCACATAAAGTATCACATTCTAGACTATCTGTTTCTAAAGAAAGGATTACATTTGCAAAATAGTGTCATCGTAGTTGTTGTCAATTTAAATAATCTTTACTTCATGTGGTTTGTATTTTCAACATCACCAGTGCAGTTTCTTCCCTCTTTTCAAACCTGTCAAGTCCAAGCAGAACTTAAGAGACACCCAGAGGATCAGGTCAGTGAGCAACAGAACGGTACTGGTGTGACAAGATGTAATACAACTTCCCTTCAAACAAATTACTTTCTTTAGAGATGACGTCCTTTTTTCAGTATTTATGTTTAAAGCAAACCAAAGGAAGCAGATGTCAATCTGTGAGAGAATTACAGGTCTACAGGAAAAAGAAATGACACAAGCATCTAGCAAAGTGAGAATTGAAAAGTAAAGGAGGAATCGGATATGTCAGTTTTCCTACCCTGACACTGGGAGATTAATAATTGACAGACCGTACAGACAATGATAGTATTTGGATTATTTAGACTGACAAAGATATAAATGGACAGTTGAGGGATGATGTATGATCAATTAATGAATACAAATCTCAAAACATAGGCAATTTTCATTTATCTCATGGCATTTCTTTTATTTCTATCTGCAATAGTAGAAACTGTATCATCCATCGATTTCACTGTGGAATGCAGTCCTAGGCATGATGGCTTTATTTTCTTGGTGCTTCAGAATTATATCAAAACACACACCCAAGATTTTATCTATGTAAAATAGCCAGAATAGGCAAATCCATAGAGACAGAGAGTAGGTTAGCAATTGCTAAGAGCTGGAGAGGGGAAATGAGTGACTGTTTCATGGGTTCCAGGTCTCCTTTTGGAGTGATGAAAATATTCTTGCATTAGATACAGGTGATGGTTGCATGCCTTTGTAAATGTACTAAATCCCACTGAGTTGCAGACTTTAAAGAGTGAATTTTATGTTGTGTGGATTTTACTACAATAACAAAGAATTATGCTGCCGTGTCACATGTTCTGAAGCAACCAGTTGTATAAGGATCAGATTAGAAGCTCATGACTCCAAGATGAAGATGCCCAAGACCTGCACCCATGGAAGCTCTTGGTTTACTGAGAAAGTTCGGGGACAGATCTGAAGTTTGGAAAGACCCATAGCTGCTGCGAGAGAAAGGGATGTTTCCGTGGTTAGTTGGACTTTGGAAGAAAGAGATACTCCTAGTGAAACTGGGATGTGCCTGTCTCTGCATCTCATGGAGAACCACAACACAGAGCAATGCTACAGGATACAATGAGGTTGTCTTAGCCCTTGTGGGATGAGTGAGCCTATGGTGGACATGCCCAGAGTGGGTGTCCCTGGGTTAACTCAGACAGCCAGTCAGTCCATGGATTTGAGGATCTTCAACATTCGAATTCCTAAATTGATGTTTGCTCTGATCTCTAAAGTCAACGCATGGATGTTTGTTGAGACCATGATTAATAAAGTTTTAGGCTGGGTGCAGTGGCATGCTCCTGTAATCCCAGCACATTAGGAGGCTGAAGTGGAAGAATTTCTTGAACCCAGGAGTTCAAGACCAGCCTGGGCAACATAGCAAGACTCCATGTCTGCAAAAAAAATAAAAAATTACCTGGCGCATAGTGGTGCACACCTGTGGTTGCAGCTGCTCAGAAGGCTGAGGTGGGAGGACTGCTTGAGCCTGGGAGTTTAGCCTGGGCAACAGAGCAAAACTCTGTCAAAAAAAAAACCCAAAATGTTAAAAGTTAAGTTAAACATCTTTTTTGGTATTTCCTTCCTACCATATTGAATGATCCAACAACAGCCACTCAGATCTTCATTAAATCTTCTGAGATTATATTTCAAAAGCCGGGATTTTGCTCTTCAATGATAATCCCATTTGATTTAACTTTCTTCGTTCTTTTATTGCTACTTCTTGAATCTTGAAAATGAGGTGAGAAAAAGGTTTTCTTCAAGTCTAACACCATATAGTTCAGGGTCTGTTGTCAATGGATTTGTTCTTAGATAAAGCATTAAAAGCTGAATATTCTGAAAAAAATTGTGTGACCTCTTTTAAAGGGAGTTGTGGGTGGAATCTCGTATGTTTCTTGAATCACCAGTCTGGGAAACCACATCAGATGTTCTTCCTTTTCAGTGATTCATCCCAAGTCATGACTTGGCATGGCCGTTTAACCTCCTGTCATCTCCTACTTGGTTAGAAGAAGTTTCTCATGCTTCAGAACCAGAGATAGACTGGAGACCTGTGCTTAGCTTCCTGATTTTAGACCCTAAGGAACTGTTTGCCCTTCTGATATTAAACCAGCAAAATCACAAGAAGAAAGAAGAAAGAATGTAGTGATTTTCTTTCAAAGATAAGGAGTATGACATGGACATTCCCCTTGACTTCAATTTTCCAATATAACTGTAAGTCTCCGTATTAGCTCCCTGGGGCTGCTGAAACAAAGTACTACAAATTACAAACTAGGTGGCATGGTCAATTGAAATTTCTTCCCTCACTGTTCTGGAGAAATCTGAGGTCAAGGTGTCTGCAGGGTTGATTCTTTCTCAAGGCTATTAGAGACACATCTATTCCATGCCACTCCCTTAGATTTTGGTAGTTGGCTGCAAGTCTTTTGTGTCTGTTGACTTGTAAATGCATCATTCTGATCTCTGCCTTCATCTTCACATGATATTCTTATGTGCATGTCTGTGACTAAATTTCTCTCTTTTATAAGAATGCCAGTCATATTGGGATATAGTGACCCACTCTACTCCTATATGACTTCATCTTAACTAATTTCATCTACAATCACCCTATTTCCAAATGTGGTCACATTCTGAAGGACTAGGCTTAGGACTTCAACATATAAACTTTCAGAGGGACACCATTTAACCCAGGAAAATCTCCAAGTAGAAGTGTTCTCAGGTCCCATTTTACAAAACCATCCCATGAAACAAAAGTACCAAGAGATAAAACATGAATGAAAAGATGAAGGCACATAGTAACCTATTGTGTAGCTGTCAGGACATAAGCCACAACCCAATGATCATACAGTTGTAAAGTCTATAATGCAAATAAAATAGCAAGCTACAAAATCATGATTTGGGAAGGCCATTTTACTGCCTCTAGGGGAGAGAATTTTATAAAAGGCTTACCTGAGAAGGTCATACATGTAAGTGAATCTTGCAGAATGAGTATGAGTTATCAGAGAATAAAAATGGAGGAAGCGCTAACTACAAAGATGGAAGTTTCAGAGTCTGGTAAATAGATAAAAAGCAGCGAAATTTATGTGCAAGAAAACAAAATACAGATGGGAGAATGGTGTAAAATCTGCCTCTTTCAATGAAGGGATGCTCAATACAGCAAGACTAACGCAAGCACATGGGCCATTTTTACTTTCGTGGTGCGTACAACCCTTGGACTTGTCTGTGCATTTGGCCACTTAAGTGGAAATTGTGCTTTTTCTGCTTCTTGTTGGTTTTTGAGATTGGGGCTTCTCTCTCACAGAGAATGCTTGCAGGGCTCAGTGTTCCAGTTCCCACTGGGCTCTGGCCGTTTCTGAAGAAGAGAGATACAGACAGGCAGTGTGTGGCACTTGACAATCTCTGCATGCTCTGCTGTTGCTTCTTCCTCAAATGCAATTTGAAGAGTGACTTTGATGGACAGCCCTTTGGTTGAGGGGCTCTGAGTGCAGAGGCCACTCATTTTACATGCATTGCATTAGGTCGAGAGGCCTGAGCCATTTTCACAGACAAGTTGACATTTAATTTTGGATGTGCTGCTGCAATCTGGAACATCCTTTGCATAATGTTGTTGATTGGGGAAAGTCCTGGCCTGAGAGGCCAGTGCTATTTTAGGGTTCAGTTTGCAGCCTCTGTTTTATTGAGCTTTTCTCTAAAGACAAAATAAATGTGGCTGGGAGCCAAGTTCCAATAGCAATTTTAGGGTGATTATGAGACGTCTCTGTTGCTTGTCAATTCAGCTATGGTATCATCCCATGTTGGTAAATGTGTTTGGATTATTGTAGTACATGTATTTTTGAGTATAAAATAAGAAAATAAACATTCAAGGTTATTGCTTAAAAGAATTGAACAGAGGTTATTGGCTATTGGTTAAAAGAATTGAATGGCTTTTACCTGTAACATTGAATGTTTAGATGTCAATTGTAGCTCCCATAATTCCCACATGTCATGGGCGGGACCCGGTGGGAGGTAATTGAATCATGGGTGAGGGCGGGGCAGGGGGTGTCTTTCCTGTGCTGTTCTCATGATAGTAAGTCTCACAGGATCTGATGGTTTTATAAAGGAGAGTTCACCTGCACAAGCTCTCTCTTCCCTGCCACCAGGTAAGACATCCCTCGGTCTTCTGCCATGATTGTGAGGCCTCCCCAGCCATGTGGAACTGTGTGAATTAAATCATTTTCATTTATAAATTACCCATTCTTGGGTATGTCTTTATTGGCAGCATGACAACAGACTAATACAATGTCTAATTAAATATCATTTTTACTTTTATTTTTGGAGTTTAGAGAAAAGTCTAAAACCATAACTTGGAAGAATGATGACCTGATTAAGCTCAAGGATGTGTAATTGTTTCCTAGGATGGAGTTGTGTATAAATATTTACTGATCAATCAGAAGTCCCTGCTGACTTTGTAGTAACTTAGATTGAAATCCTGAGTCCTTGGCAGTAAGGCAACAGTCAGGGAGGAGATAGCTCTAAAATATAATGTGGTTTTAAAAGAGGCAGAGGTGCCTGTGAAAACCCATGATCAAATGCTCATTCCAGAGGAGAATGATCAAGGATTAAGTCATCCACTTCAGGTTATTCTTTGTGACTTAAGGTAACTTATGCATTAGTGGATACATCTTTACAAAAAGGCTAATAAAATGGACAGTATCTTGGAACCAACCCAAATGTCCATCAATGATAGACTGGATTAAGAAAATGTGGCACATATACACCATGGAATACTATGCAGCCATAAAAATGGATGAGTTAATGTCCTTTGCAGGGACATGGGTGAAGCTGGAAACCATCATTCTCAGCAAACTATCACAAGGACAGGAAACCAAACACCACATGTTCTCACTCATAGGTGGGAATTGAATGATGAGATCACTTGGACACAGGGCGGAGAACATCACACACCGCGGCCTGTCAGGGGTTGGGGGGCTGGGGGAGGGATAGCATTAGGAGAAATACCTAATGTAAATGACAAGTTGATGGGTGCAGCAAACCAACATGGCACATGTATATCTATGTAACAAACTTGCACGTTGTGCACATGTACCCTAGAACTTAAAGTATAATAGAAAAAAAAAAGAAAAGAAAATGAGCTTAGAATTTATTGTAATATCAGGAAACAGGGAAGTGTTCCAAGATAAAAGGATGGGGTGTGCTGCAAGAATGCAGGATCCAAAATAAATGAGCTCCCGGCACCGAATAAAGCTGTAGTGATTTGACCAATAAAATGAATAAAGTAGCATGGATCTTCTTCAGGGAATGAAATAGACATCCATAAACCAATATGAACATTAACAGATAATGAAATAAAGAAATAATGGGAAGAACACATCTTCTTACAGAAGTATTCCAAATATCTCAGGTGGATAGTCCTACAATCCAGTAGGTGAAGTTTAAACACTCATGAGTTGATTGTGGCCTGAGATTAGAGACTTGGAGAAAAATAATCACTATTAGTGTATTTTATAATGAGAATTCAGATATAACGCCAAAGACATGATCTATGGATGAAGAAAATTTTACATGTTTTTAAATCAAAATTTGTACAAACACACACACACACACAGGCAGATATTTTTCTGCAGTACACACTGATAGGGGAGTAAAAGACAACCACAGACTTGGAGAAAATGCTTCCAAGTCACAAATTTGTTAAAAGAATTCTTTTAATTCGTTAAATGACTTTTATAAACAATATGCAAGTAAACTTACAACTAATCAAAACAAAACAATGCAGTTAAAAATGAACCAAATATCAGGAAAGGCATATCACCAAAAATTATATAAAAATTGTTAAATATGAAATTTATATTAGGGACATGTGCATTTAAATAACAATTAGATACCATTACTCACCTACTAGAATGGTTAAAGCACACAATTCTCATAAGGATAAATAACAATATGAATGTGGAAAACCAAGAACTATCATGCATTGATGGTGGGAATTGAAAATGCTACATGCACAAAATGGGATTTTTTTTGTCATTTTTTTAATAGAGATAAAAGTACAGTTAAAATGTGATCTGGTGTCTATGTTCCAAAATACTTACAACACTGATTCAGAAATTAATGTTTACAATGATACCTTCAGAGGAAGTTCTAATCAGCTTCATTAATTTGATTCATTCTGCACTCCTTGAAATTTGCTTACAGAATAAATGTTGTATGAAAAATCTCTCTAATAATTAAAATTTCTCAAATACAAAAAAAAAGTATAGTATCCATGATGATCAGGAGAGAAGTGATACAACAAATGAGAAACTCACGTTGGACAGCCCATGGCAAAAGGATATCCTCTAATGCATTTTAGTGACCTGTTCCAAAATATTTGATTTTTCATCTCAAAAAGAACAGATATTCTGTTGAAACAGGTTGGATAGATCTGCTGTAATATTATATACTTTTTTGTAAATGTATAAAATTTTGGAATGTCTTCCAATTCACATACCACTTAGTTGTATAAATATTTATCATTCATATGCAGATACAGACAGTCATCAGTTTATGATAGTTTGACATACATTTTTAGACTTTATGATGATGGAAATGCAATATGCATTTAGTAGAAACCATAGTTTGAATACCAACACAGTGTTTTTTCACTTACAGTGTAATATGCAATAAATTACATGAGATATGCAACACTTTACTGTAAAATAGGCTTTGTGTTAGGTGATTTTCCCAAACTATAGGGTAATCTGAGTCTTCTCAGCACATTTAAAGTAGGCCAGATACAGTAGGTTAGCTGTATTCAATGCATTTTTAACTTACGACATTTTTGACTTACAATATTTTCAACTTATGATGAGTTTGTTGGGATGTAACTCCATTGTAAGTGAAGAAGCATCTCTGTTACACATCTTAAATATGCCAGACATTGCACTAGGCACTGCAGACATAGATACATACTTTTAAAAATGCCTGGCCTCAGGCATTTACTGGTCCTATCTGGTTATTTCATTCTTCTCTCTCTCTCTTTCTTTTTTTTTTTTTTTTTTTTTTTGAGACAGGGTCTCGCTCTGTCATGCAGGCTGGAGTGCAGTGACGTGATCACAGTTCACTGCAACCTGTGCCTCCCGGGCTCAAGCAATTTTCCTACCTCAGCCTCCCAAGCAGCTGGGACTACAGGTGTGCACCACCATGGCTGGCTAATATTTTTGTTTTTATTTTTTGTACAGACGGGGTTTCACCATGTTGCCCAGGCTAGTCTCAAACTCCTGGGCTCAAGTGACCCTCCCACCTTGGCTTCCCAAAGTGTTGGGCTTACAAGGCTGGCCTTCTCTCTTTTTAAATTAGGAGTATCAAAAGACAAGTTTTTTGTATAAATTTTGTAAAAGACAGAATAAGAAATGAAAGCAACTCAGGCCGGGCATGGTGGCTCAAGCCTGTAATCCCAGCACTTTGGCAGGCCGAGGTGGGTGGATCACTTGAGGTCAGGAGTTCGAGACCAGCCTGACCAATATGTTGAAACCCTGTCTCTACTAAAAATACAAAAATGAGCCAGGCGTGTTGGCGCACGCCTGTAATCCCAGCTACTTAGGAAGCTGAGGCAGGAGAATTGCTTGAACCCGGGAGGTGGAGATTGCAGTGAGCCAAGATCGCACCACTGCACTCCAGCCTGGGCAACAGAATGAGACTCCATCTCAAAAAAAAAAAAAAAAATGACAGCGACTCTTAATAAATAATTTGCTTGTGATGTATCACAAATACTAGGAAGAGGTTTTGATTTTAAGGGAAAGGAATTAAAATCTTACTTGGACTGTAACAGAGAAATGAGGTAATTGGGGAACATAAGGGTAGGGGCCCCTGTGCGGTTACCTGCTGCTCCATTTCTAATACCCACAACAGAAGAAATTCATCAATCCATATTTGTTGGCAGAATAAATTGAGACTACCGTAGTCGGGGATTTTCACCCTCTCCAAGGGTGATAATACAAGGTACCTTGAATTGATGTGTATGCAATGTATCAATGGCTGCAAAAAGTGCAAGGGACACTTTGCGTTGCTAATCTGTTTTTTTATTTTAATTTAAAGTTCACATATTATAAAAGAGAGGGTTTATTTTGTTTATTTATTTTAACAGTAGAACCCTTTGCAGGTGAAACGGTGTGGATGTCCAGTGTATAATTAGATGAAAGCTGAAGTTGTGTCATGCCTGGGTATTTGGGAGGGAAACCCATTTGGCCCATGTCTCCGAGGCCCTGCAGACAGTTGCAAGTATTTGTGGAACACAGTTTGAACCACAGCCATGGGCAAAGCCTCCGGGACTCTGCTGACAGCCTGGAACACAGGTCTCATTTTTCTCCATGGGTGGCCAGCATCCCTGCTCCAAGGCCTCATCTCTGTAGCAGATTTTAGCACAAAACTGGTTAGAAAAATAATTTAGAAAACCATTACAGAAGCATTCAAAGCAAGGTGACAGGAATGGGACTGCATCTTTTTACAAGTTATTTCATGTTAGGATGATTAAAATAGCTGAAGGCAGACACAGAGGAATGGATTCATGATACAGGCAGCATTTGGAACTGTATCATTAACCGATTTTACAGTGTGAGAGAATATGGTGATTATTCTGCCAAAGATTTCAACTCTATTTTTCAACCTGAAAATATTTAAATATTTTTAAACATAGCAGCATTTGCAACCATATTAAAAAGACATTTCTCTTTTGTTGCTGATGATATACATACACACACACATATGTATATGTGTGTATGTATATCCCCAGCAACAAAAGAGAAATGCCTGTGTGTGTGTGTGTATATATATATATATATATATATATATATATATATATATATATCTTTTTGTAAAACAAAGTATATGTACTTGTTTTACAGTGTCAGAAACTCTGAAGAATCAAGAGTACATTTATGCAACAGAAAATCTGCATGTAGTCATTTAATGACATCAGTATGGGGCAAACAGAAGTATAAATACCATAAGTAAGAATCAATTAATAAATTCCCAAGGCTCTACTAACTAATTTTTTGCAATTTCTAATCAATTTGACACATTTGGGACAGGCAAAACATATTTCATTTTCTCTATAGAATTAATGTCTAGTTATATGTCTCGGTAACTCCCCAGTATCCAAAGTACTTTCACGTATATTATTTAATGTGGCCCAGACCATAATTTTGTAGCAACAGTACATTAAGTAGCTAATATCGGCTTTACCTCATGTGTGAAGAAACTGAGAGAAGTTGCAAAGCATGAAAAATCCCCATAGCAATATGAAAGTATCTTAAAATCATATGTGTATAGAAAGAAAAAAATAGTAGTCATAGATACAGAAAACAGAATGGTATTTACTAGGTGATGTGGTAAGAGGACCCAGAGCAGTTGTGTTTATTGGATACAGAGTTTCAGTTCTGCAAGATGAAAAGTTCTGGAGATCTTTTGAACAGCAGTGTAAATTTACTGAACACTACTGAACTATATACTTAAAAACATGGTTAAGATGGTAAATTTTGTGTTGTGATTTTTTTCTACCACAATGAATTAACAAAGCAGGTTATTGAATAGTATGTGTGCAATTTATATCAATTAAAATAAACATTTTTGGAACACTGGAAATTTTTAAAAATCTAATTTAAAAGATAAGTTGAGATTGGTGAGGCCATTTGAATAACATGGATAGAGTCTTTATTTGCTATTTTTCTTATCCCTTTATTTATAAAAAGGAATAAGAAATTTATCCCCTGATATTTTAAATCAATTTATTATTGCCTAAGAATATTTACATCTCTTCTCACAACAGAAAATTTTTCAGATCCTTACCCATGTTTATACAGCACAATTCACAACTGCAAAAATATGGAACATGCTCATCAATCAACAAGTGGATAAAGAAATTGTGAGATATACACACACACACACACACACACACACACACACACACACATATAGACAGAGAGGGAAATAAATACACACACATACGCACCATGGAATACTACTCAGTGATAAAAAAGGAATGAAATAATAGCATTTGCAGCAATCTGGATGGAACTGGAGGCCATTATTCTAAATGAAGTAACTCAGGAAAGGAAACTCAAACATCATATGTTCTCACTCATAAGTGAGAGCTAAGTTATGAGGATGCAAAGGCATAAGAATGATACAATGGACTTTGGGGACTTGGGTGAATGGGTGGGAGGGGGGTGAGGGATAAAAGACTGCACATTGAGTAGAGTGTACACTGCTTGGGTGATGGGTACACCAAAATCTCAGAAATCACCACTAAATAACTCATTCATGTAACCAATCACCACCTAGTCCCCAAAAACCTATTGAAATAAACAAAATTGATACTTTTTCTAGAATCAATAATATGCATAATAAGACACCTTCAGATGTACACCACATTGCTTATATAGATTTGACCATCCACAGAAAGATAGTCAAAAAGCAAGTCTTCATTAAGCATTCTCTCAGGAATGCTTCTTCCTTTATATTTATAAACAACCATCTCTGACTGGGTGCAATGGCTCACCTCTGTAATTCCAACACTTTGAGAGGCTGAGGAAGGAGGATCGCTTGAGCCCAGGAGTTCAAGACCACCCTAGGCAACATAGTGAGACCCCCATCTCCACTATAAATAAAAGAAAAAATTAGCTGGGTGTGGTGGCCTGCAGTGTCAGCTAATGAGGAGGCTGAGGTGGTAGGATCACTTGAGCTTGGGAGGTCAAAGCTGCAGTGAACTGGGATCGCACCAGTGTATTCCAGCCTTGGCAACAGAGCAAGAGTCTCTTCCAAAAATAAATGAATAAATAATTTTTTAAACCCTTCTCTTTGTATGGCAGCATACATTGGCCAATGATCTGGTAGCAACATTGTCCTTTTTTTTTTCCCTGAAATATGTTCTCAATATTCAAATTGGACCTCCCTGGAGTAGAATCAGTTGAGTTACGACAGGAAATGAGGGCATCCAATGAGATCAAATAAGAGTCTCACAAACATATGCATTCTATGTCTGAATTATGTGTAGCCCCCAGTGATTGGCTGAGCTCCCCCAAAATATAACTGAAAGCCATCACAATTGTTGGCTGTCTCAGAAAAAGGACAAACACATGACAAAACGCATGTTTCGCAGGTACACTGGTAGCTCTCCCTCATTAAACATATTGAAAATTTTAATCAGTGTATGGGATGGACACAAGTTAGTTATTCTAACACAAGTTATATGACCTTCATAGAGGGAGCTTAAACTCGCCATCTGAACTCAGTCCAGGAACAGAACTCTTTTGGCATCAAAGGAGCCACTTTGATGTCTTACTTCCATCATCTTACTTCCACTTTGAGTCTGTAAGGTAGTAAGAAGGCTACTATTGGAGCCAATAAATAAGATGTATGTTGCAGGTGATGTGAAAGTCATCTCGGTGCGTTGATCTCTCTAGGGTTCAGTGCTTCCCCTTTAGTATAGCTCTTCTTTTACAGTAGTAGTAGTTATATGCTCAGACCAACAGGAACACCAGCAAAAAGAGAGAAAAAAAACGAAAGCAAGAAGAAGCCCCACTATGATACAGAACGCAGGCTGGAATAAACCAGCTAGCTGTCATTTCTAGCTTGTCCAACCAGGTGTCCCAAGCTCACACCAGGTAAGGGAAGCGCCAGTGTCTAGAAGCTTAAACAGTGAGCTGGGGTCAGTAGCCAGGGATTCCAGAAGGCGAATGATATGCAGAAAGGATTTGAGTCACATATAATCTCAGGAGAAGGAACAGCCAATGGCTGGATTAGAAGTCAAAAAGCAGGACACCATTCTTGCAAAAGCGCGAGACATATGCCAGGCTCTCACTCACAGGCTGAGAAGGATTCTGTAAGAAAGTGTAACTACCCAGTGGGTTCTTCTTGTCTGCTGCACAGATAAAGCCAATTCGCTGAAACAGTGGTGTTGTAGTAGAGAGAGTTTAATTATTGCAAGGAAGCCCAGTGGAAGGATGGGACACATTTCTCAAATCTGCCTCCCTGAGAGCTCAGAAACTAGGGTTTTTAACCTTTTCCTGTTTGCGCTGAGAATACTCACTGGCGGTGCTTGCAGCATTTACCCTGAGATAACTTTGCTATGAAGTATCTTGCTTTTATTATTTTTTTTTTTTTTGCATTGCTCTAGTGTATCAACTTTGGAAACAAAAGACATCATTCTATTTTTAGCATTCGTTTGTAGTAATGGTATTTCCATTTACTAAATATAGTAATTCTTGATCGCTGAAAACGTCAAATCCTAGAAGACATAGCATTCCTATGTGTGATGTTAACATTGTTCTCCAACAGTTATTGGCTGGAGTTTAATCTGATGAATCCAATTTTTTAAAAATAGACAATTTTGATAATTCAGACAACTTTGATGTTATTTCTCTTTAGAAATAACTCCAAGAACAGCTTTTATATTTTATTTTCACATTGAAAATCAGTCAGATTTGCTTCAGCCTCAAAGAGCATGTTTGTGTAAAATTAAATGAGTGGTGGCAGAAAGCTGTACTATTTTTTTCTAAACTGGAAAAAGGTTAAGGATAATTTGGTGGGCAAAGGGCTAGGGAAAAGGTGCTGCTGATTGGTTGGGGATGAAATCACAGGAGTGTGGAAAACGGTTCTTGTCTGCCGATTCCACCTCCGGGTGAGGACCACAAGACTAGTTGAGTGATGAGTCATGAATCATGGGCCTGGGTAGGTTTGGCTGATGTCAGGTCACTAGTTTAGCCACAGTGCAAAAGTCTGAAAAATATCTCAAAGACAAATCTTAGGTTTTCACAATAATGATGCTATCTATAGAAGCAATTGGGGAAGTTAAAAATCTTTTGACCTCCAGCTAAATGACTCTTGGGCAGTAAGAGATTACAGAAAGGCAAACTAGGGAGCAATGGCTGGTTATCATTTAAATATACCTACATCTTAGCTGAATTCAGGTACCCCGTCCCCATAATTCTAACCTTGTGGCCTTCCATTAGTCTTCTGTTCCTAAGCAAGGAAGGGGTTAGTTTTGGAAGGGATTATTGTAATCTTCTTTAAAGTTAACAAAGTTAGTTCACTTGTAAGGTTAAAAGCAAGACGTAGTCAGCTATGTTAGATTTCTCTCACTGTCATATATCTTGCAAAAGGCAGTTTCAAAAACAGGCTTACAGAGCAAGCCAACTGCTAGGATGCAGGGTAGCCTCAAGGTCAGAAACTGCCCTTAGAATGAGCTGACACCGATGCAGGGGATGTCACTCTGGGGCTATCCAGGTGCATTATTTACCTGTTGTTCCTCCTGGGGTCAAGGCCATAAGTGCAATCTAAATGTGGAACTTTGCAGGAGCAATGAAACAGACACTGATACTGTGTTTGGGGGCTGTTCATTCATCATGGCTAGCTTGCTCCCAGCTTATGATGCAACAATTTCTAAATGTATCAGGGAATCTCTGATCATTGCATAGTCATCCCATTTTTCTCTAATCTGTATCCATGTTACAGGATACATGGTCCTCTGCACTGCAGAAACCATCCCCACAGGGTTAACAAGAATTGCATCCCAGGTTCTGGACATAAATACACTTATAATTAAGCATGAATCAGGCTGCACTTTGGCCCACTTCCTTGTTGCTAAAAGCCCTGCAGCACTAGACACTTACCATCTGCATCCACAAAGCTCCTATAGATAGGATTTCCGATATTAGCATCATAAGACTGTTTAAGAATTGATTTACATCTTCATTGCTCCTATAGACAGAATCTCTGACATTAGAATCATAAGGCTGTTGTTTAAGAATTGCTTAAAGTGTTTTCCAGGCCCTGAATTTCAGCAACCATTTGAAGATGCCCACAGAGGAACGGGATCAGCATGAGAACACAGCTTCTTCCTCTCTCTGTCCCATGACTCTATGCTGCAGTCTCCCACCAATCAACCATCTCCACACTTCAGCCCACTCTAAAACCCTTAAAATCCCTAGCACCAAATTCCACAGAGAGATGAATTTGAGGCTTTCTGTTGTCTGTTTGTTTGGAGGCTGTCGTTCTGTGCTGCAATCCAGTGTCCCTCCATATTGACTAGCTGTGTGCATTGCACAATGAATCTACTATGATTGCAAACTTATCTAGGAATTGCTGATCAGTGCATAGCCATCCCATTTCTCTCTAAGCCATATCCATTTTGCAGAATCCATAGTCCTATGCACTGCCAGTTGACTCAAGTCCATTTGGCCCTGGCAAATTATTCAGGGTCAAAAGAGACTGACTGCTTTTTTTTCATGCCTGATGTCATGGTGATGTAGCCCTGGCATCAGGTCTTAATCTGGAGGTTCCTGCTACCTTCCTATAACTACCCTATGGGTTCATTTTTCCTGCTGCCCAGATAGAGCTGATTTATCAAGACAGGGGAATTGCAATAGAGAAAGTTTAATTCACATATAGCCAGCTAAATGGGAGACCAGAGTTTTATTATTATTCGAATCAACCTCATCAAAAATTTGGAGATAGTTTGGCAGCCAGCGGGCTAGAGAATGGATGCTGCTGATTGGTTGTGGATAAAATCAGAGGGGTGTGGAAAACGGTCCTTGTGTGCTGAGTCCCCTTCTGGGTGGGGCCACAGGACCACTGAGTCATGAATCTTGAGTCTGGATGGAGCCATCTGGTCATCACAAATGCAAAAGTCTGAAAAGACTTCGCAAAAGGCCAATCTTAGGTTACACAATAGTGATGTTTTAGGAGAGCAAAAATCACCTGGGGTCCATTGAACTGGTCCTGGAGACAAAAACTCCCTCTCTGAGGAATTTAGAAGGGAGCAAACACCACTTGGTGACCATCAAACAGGCCATCCAGAGGCAAAACTCATCTAGATGATTTAGAAGTAATTAAACTTCCCTGGTATCTAAAGTCAGCATCTGGTTCCAGGCCTCTTTCAACTTTTATAAGTTACTAGAATTTCTATACGTCTCTAAATGCATGCATATCAAAACTTATTGTGCAACCTTTGCCCACATTAAGGCACCAACATGTCTACAAATGTAATCATTTATCATGAAAATTACCCTTCAGCTCCCCCTTTAAGGTTCATAAATACCTTATGAACTGCAGCAGCACTCTCAGTCCTCTCTCACTAAGGTGCCCCTCCCCTGCACTCTGCTACAGTGTTCTCTCTATCTAATAGAACTTTCCTTTTCAAACCTATACTGTTGTCGGTAAATTCTTCTTACCAACCTGCAAGTTGACCAATTCCTGATGCTGGGGCTCTGACAGCTGGCCTGGCAATGTTATTTACAGGAGTATTTGGGGAATTTGCAAATCTTGTGACCTTCATAATAATGGCTGGTAATGTTTTAACTCCATCTATTGTATTAGTCTGTTTTCATGCTACTAATAAAGACATACCTGAGACTGGGTAATTTATAAAGGAAAGAGGTTTAATGGACTCACAGTTCCACATGGCTGGGGAGGCCTCACAATCATGGCAGAAGGCAAAGGAGAAGCAAAGGTGCATTTTACATGGCTGCAGGCAAGAGAGAGAGAGTATGTGCAGGGGAACTCCCCTTTATAAAACCATCAGACCTGTGAGACTTATTTACTGTCATGACAATACCATGGGAAAAATCTGCCACCATGATTCAATTACCTCCCACCAGGTCCCTCCCATGACACGTGGGAATTATGGGAGCTACAATTCAAAATGAGATTTGGGTGGGGACACAGCCAAACCATATCACCTATATATTAGCAGACTTCAGGCACCTCTCATTCTCCTAACCTGGTTGCCTTTCATTAGTTTTACAAAGGCAGTTTAATTTTGGGAAGGGCTATTATCATTTAAACCATAAACTAAAGTTCTCTCAAAGTTAGCTTGGCCCATGCCCAGGAATGACCAAGGGCAGTTTGGAGATTAAAGGCAACATGGAGTTAGGTCAGATCTCTTTCACAGTCATAATTCTCTTACTGTCATGAATTTTGCAAAAGTGGTTTCATTACCTCTCTGCTGTTGCTGCACTTGAACCTTCACTTCAGTCTTGTTGGACAATGAGTTTCCAAAATGCTACTCTTGAGTAAAAATTCTCACCAGTAACTTTTACTAATCCAAATCTAGTTCCTCTACAAATTTAGAACAACATTCAAAATAGTGAATAATTCAGTAACTATCTAAAGTGCATAAACACTCTCCTATAATTTATTTGCTTTTTACAACTGAGAAAGTTGAACCTAGGTAAATGTGTGCCTATGTAGTAAACCTGCACATCCTGCACATATACCTCAGAACATAAAATAAAATTTAAAGAAAGAAAGTTGAGTCCAGGCACTGTGACTCAAGCCTGTAATCCCAGCACTTTGGCAGGCCGAGGTGGGTGGATCACTTGAGGTCAGGAGTTCAAGACCAGCCTGGCCAACATGGTGAAACCCCGTCTCTGCTAAAACTACAAAAATTAGCCAGGCGTGGTGGTGGTGCCTGTAATCCCAGTTACTCAGGAGGCTGAGGCAGGAGAATAGCTTGAACCCGGGAGATGGAGATTGCAGTGAGCTGAGATCATGCTGCTGGACACCAGCCTGGTCGACAGAGTGACAACCTGTCGCAAAAAAAAAAAAAAAAAAAAAAAAAAAAAAAAAGTTGAATCTTAGAGATGTAAGTGAGTTAGCAAAGGAAAAAGAGCCCAGAGATTCAGAGTAAATTCTTCACACCCCTGTGCCAGGATTCCACTGCCAGCTGAGTTTATAACCATTTGCACAGATGGTCATTTTTAATTTTCCTAGGTATATGTATGCAAGTTCAAAGAATGTTGCTCCTTCAAACTCTGAAAGCTATCTTCTTTCAATACTAGAGTGCTCTTTTATTGTTACTCAAAGCTCAATGCTTCTCAACATCTTTCAAATTATTAATTAGTAAGGCAGATAGTTTTAATCAAAGAGAGAGAAGAGATTTCTAATTGAAGTTAGAGAAAATATTTTTTTCCTACAGCAAATTACTTTCACCTCCAAGGGAAAGTAGTTATTCTATTTACACCTATGCTAATGGACACTTTTAAGAAAGAACTTGCAGAATTCAATTTCATTGAATTCACTGTGACTGTAGAAATACACAGGCCTTTGAGGCCACTGCTTGGCTAATGTTTGTATTCTACTGACACCCCAAGAAAGTCGGGAATGGTTGCCTGTGAATACCAACTCCTTTCAGATTGAAATCAGCCAATTACCATTTATATTTGAAGAGTTTTGCGTAATTTGGGAACCATTACAAAAATGTCTGCCCTCCATTCATGAGCCAAAATTTAAATTTGACTAAAGATTCATCCCGATTCAGATTCCAACCAGAGAGTTAAATGGCAGAAAACCCAAACATATCCTCTGAAAATCAGTGTAGGATTACAAAAGCTGCTAAAATATCATCACATTCCCCGCCATGACCAGGGTCCAAGGCTAGAATGCCCAGTAAAACACTCCCACTTACAGTTTCATTTTCCAATCTTCTAGCTGAGATGGAAATCATTCTCTACTGCAAATTGCTTTGCTGAAGCAAAAATGAATGGCTTTTCAGGCAAACACCTAACCTTCCAACCTGAAGATTTGCTTTTAAAAAGTTATATTTTTCCTCTTCATGTTAGAGATGAAAGTATCCCAGTAAGCACAGAGTGGGTTTGAATTATGCAGTGCCAGGAAATGTGAAAATAAGTTTAGTGTAAACAATCTCTTAGATTTCATAGTTTGCTGTCTTTTGGGTAATGATGCCAATCTTTTTCTTCCCATGACTGACTGGAGAAACATTTTTTTCTGGATGTTCTAATTAGATTAAGGCTTATGCACATATTAAAATTTAATTCTAATGAATACTGACAGAAATGGAAAATTACTTAGAAATTTGACTCTGAGTCTTAATTATCAATACTTCAGTGTGCTACCCTTTTTTAGGTGTTAGTGGATTCTGGCATATTCCAATAAGTCCATTAGTTAAAGAATACATGATAATTTACTCCTAATATTGACCTAAGCCCTAACGATATTTTAAAAGAAAATATCCACGTCTTTATTGATGTTAGGTCTACAACAGATGTAAATGTAAATGACTTTGCATATGGCAATCTGGCACAAAGAGACCACTTCACTCACACAGTTCAGCAAAAATAAAGGATGGAAAAATAATAACAGGAATGACAAAATAAACTCTCATATGCCACTTAGTATATAAGAGAAAGCATGAGATCAAATGGATACATTAACAAATGCATATTAAAGAAGATACCCCATTAAAATTAAAACATTCTTATGTTGGATAAGACAAGCACAATCCAGCTATATGATTTAATTTAAAAATACTTAAAACATAAATAACAAATAAAAAGTTGAAAGTAAAGCAATAGAAACATAATGCCAGGTAAATAGTGGCAAATAAAAAAACAAGTGTAACTATTAAATTAATATAAAACCCAGGATGAAAACGTAACTGAGAAAAGAGGATTATTTTATAATTATATGTAGTATGATTCTTTAAGAAACTTCAATAGCCATGTAGCAGTCAATGTAGAAATTAAAGAGCAAATTGTCAAAGTCCTTTTGTAGTTGGAGACATTCATCATCTTTTCTCAGAAACTGGTAATTCAAGTTAATTTGAACATATTTGAAATATGCAGGATTTCAAAGACACAATTAACAAAGATAATCTGAAACATTTCCCCAAACTTACAATGCATTCCTTTCAAACACCCATGGATTAATCCCAAAAGTGCTGATGTAGCAGGACTCAGAGAGATTCTTCAAGTTCCTAAGACAAGTATCAGGCATGGGGTTATTCTTGTGGGGAAAGGGACTGTTGGAATTTTTACCTTTACCCCTTCTCTTTCTGTTCCATTTTCTTTTCCAGACTACAGATGCACTTAGTTATTACTTATTTGATTGAATGTAATAGGGAAAATTGCAAAAACTGTATGCTAGGCAAAGAAAAATGTTCTAATTGGATTAATTAATCCATAAACTTATTGCTGGTTTAAAGTACAATGCATTTTCTTTAAGCAGCAGGCGTGGGAATGATAGACCCATAAGAAGTTTGACCACGCGTGATTTTCAGCATCACCCCAAGCCTTACTCTCGGTTCTCTATTGAAACTGGTATCCTATGCATCTTTTTGTTCAATAAGTTTCATTTGTGCTGGATCCTTGGATCTTCAGGAGTCCTTCAAAACATTCAAAATGTAAGAAGAAATATGAAGGGTTATTTGCTTATAAAGGTAAAGAAAATGTTGTCATTATATATAACAGGGATAGCTGGATAATAATACAAAATAATGTACAAGGAATTAGAATAAAGAATTTTATCATTAGAATAATAAAAGGGTCCATGAAGTTTGCTGATGAGTAAATAAGTCTGTAAACCAAGACAAGGCACAGAAAACTAATTTTCCTTTTTGGAAACTGGTATCATAAGCACAGATGGAGATAGTCAATATTTTAGAGGCAAATCTCTCTTGATCTTACATCTATTTGTGAGGTGCACATTCAATTAAATTTCAAATAGAGGCCAGGTGTGGTGGCTCACACCTGTAATCCCAGCACTTTGGGAGGCCGAGGCACGTGGGTCACTTGAAGTCAGGAGTTCGAGACTAGCCTGGCCAATATGGTGAAACCTCGTCTCTACTAAAAATACAAAAATTAGCCAGGTGTGGTTGTGGGTGCCTGTAATCCCAGATGCTCTGGAGGCTGAGGCAGGAGAATTGCTTGAACTTTGCAGGCAGAGGTTGCAGTGAACCGAGATCATGCCACTGCACTCCAGCCTGGGCAAAAGAGTGAGACTATAAAAAAAAAAAATCAAATAGAATAGTTTCAGTTATCAATAGTTGTATAATACATGAGCCCAAAAGTTAGTGACTGAAGACAACCACACTATTTGTTCATAAATTTATATAGATCAGGGGTTTGAGATTAGCTAGAATGGGGGAAGAGGTTCTTCTACTATTCATGGTGATGGTTGCTGAACTGCCTTTGCAAAAATTGTAACTGAGGAAATTATGACAGTGAAAGAGATCAGACCTAACTGACTCCATCTTGCTTCTAACGTTTAACCTGTCCTTGATTATTTCTGGGCATAGACAGAACTAACTTTGAGAAAGAATTTAGTTCATAATTTAACTCTGACACAAAATTGATAACAGCTCTTCCCCGCCCCTCCCCCACAAAAAACCTTTCTTGCCTGGGAACCAATCTGCCTTTGCAGTACTTACAAATTAGCTACAAAATTAGAAATTACTGTTTAGGGGCCAGGCAGTCTCTGGCTGCCAGAGTCTGAACCTCCCCAAATTGCTCCTGGGCATGACATCACTATTGTAAAATCTAAGATTCATGCTTCAGGTATTTTGCAGGCCCTGCACTGGATGCACCAGCTTACACCACCCAGACCAGTAATGTGGCTCAACCAGTTCTGCGATCCCACCCAGGAACAAGACAGCAAGAAAACCTCACTTTGACCCACTTTGATTATATCTCCAACCCAACCAATCAGCACTCCCCACTTCCTGAGCCCCTACCCACCAAATTATCCCTAAAAACTCCAATCCCTGAATGCTCACATAGACCAATTTGAGTAACAATAAAACTCCAGTCTCCCACACAACCAGCTCTGAATGAATTACTCTTTCTCCATTGCAATTCCTCTGTCTTGATAAATTGGCTCTGTCTAGCAAGAGGGCAAGGTGAGCCTGTTGGGTGGTTACATTGGGGCATTTATTTAGCTGCTTCAAATGATGGCTTGTCTGGGGTACAAGGTTTAATAAGGTTTCACTCATGTGTCCAGCTGAGAGATTGTTAGTGGAGAGCAAAGCTGAGGCTGCTGGCCAGAGTCTATGGTTCTTCTCCATGTGAATCTCTCCTCATGATGGCTTGAGCTTCCTTACAGCATGGTGGTTGAGTTCCAAAGAGTGTTCACAGCAGCAAAGGTGAGGTCTGCAGATGTCTGGAATCCCATCTTAGGAAATGACATAGTTTCACTTTCACCACATTTTACTGATCAAAGCAGAGCCTAGGGTCAGCCCAGTTTCAAGAAAGAACTGCAGTATTTAATGTCAAGACAACATTGCTAAAGAATTTATGAGGTGGGAGAATGGGACATCTTTGGAAACAGAATTCACCATGCACATTTTTCATGGGACTTGACTACGTAATCATAAATAGACTTATTATGAAGCTCTAGCAAATTAATACAGTGCAAACTGTTTTAAGAATATAAAGAAAATTAAAAATTTGAGAGCATAGAATGAGATGTATGCACAGATTGTCATTGAAAGACATATGTGTCATAAATATAGACACATGGTATTATAAATAAAAGATGAAATTTTGCAATTTCCACAAATGTGAGGCAATTGGTTATCATATGGAAAAGAAAACAAAATAGCTACTCACAATAAATTAAATATACATTAACTAACTAAAACTTCAAAAAAATTAATTTATGAATTGAATAATTTTTATAATAGAAGATGAAAAAAGTGCAAATATTAAATGAAAGAATGATAAAATGGATTTTGAAATAAAATCTTGTGGTCAAGCCAGCACGGTGGCTCACACCTGTAATTCGAGTACTTTGGGAGGCCTAGGCGGGTGGATCATCTGAGGTCAGGAGTTCGAGGCCAGCCTGGCCAACATGGTGAAACCCCATCTCTACTAAAAATACAAAAATTAGCCAGGTGTGTTGACATATGTCTGTAATCCCAGCTACTTGGGAGGCAGAGGCACAAGAATCAGTTGAATTGGACAGGCAGAGGTTGCAGAGAGCCGAGATGGCACCACTGCACTCCAGCCTGGGCAACAGAATGAGACTCCATCTCAAAAAAATAAAAAAATCTTGTGGTCAAAGACTACCTAAACACATCTGGAAAACAAGAAATGTGCAAATAAATTTGCAAGGGATATAAATGGCGAAAGAATAAAACCAATTATATGTAAATAGTTCTTAAAAGTCAATTTAAAACATTAGACAAAATGATAATAGAACATAAAGGAGAATAAGCACATTACTTACAATGACATTGAAACATCCAGTAAACATATGGAAAGATGTTATGCATCTCTCTAATGATAGAAAATAACATTTACTTATACACATGTAATTAACAAAATGTAAAGTCTATAAAAAGAGAATTACCATATGATCCAGCAATCTCACTACTCACTATACAGCCAAAGAAAATTAAATCAGCACTCCCATATGCATCACAGCACTGCATACAACAGATAAGACAGGGAATCAACCTAAGCATCTTTGGAAAAGAAAAAGTGATACCTACACACAATGGAATACTATTCAGCCTTAAAAAATGAAATTCTGTCATTCACTACAACATGGATGAACCTGGAGGATGTTATGCTAAGTGAAATAAGACAGGCACAGAGAGATAAATACTGCATGATCTCACTTATATGTGAAATCTACAACAGTTGAACTCATAGAAGCAGAGAGTAGAATAGTGGTTGGTCAAAAGATACAAAAGTTTAGTTAAATGGGAGGAATAATTTCAAGAGACCTATTGTAGTCATGGTGACTATAGTTAACAACAATGTATTGTCTACTGGAAAATTGCTAAGATAATCGATTTTAAATGTCTCAGGCTGGGATGATAGCTCATGCCTGTTGGGAGGCTGAGGTGGCAGGATTACTTGAGCTCAGAAGTTTGAGACGAGTCTGGGCAGCATAACAAGACCCCATCTCTACAAAAAATAAACAAAATTAACCAGGTGTGGTGGTGTGTGCCTGTAGTCCCAGCTACTCACGAGGCTGAGGTGGGAGGATCTCTTGAGCCCTGGAGGTCAAAGCTGCAGCAAGCTATGAACATGTCACTGCACTCCAACCTAGGGGACAGAGCAAGATCCTGTCTCAAAAAAACAAAACAAAACAAAACACACAAAGTTCTCATAAATATATACTATCGTTATTTGTCAATTAAAAATACATAAAGGAATAAAAAATGTAAAGTCTAACTCTATGACGTGTAAGATTACAAGAGAATAGTGATTCTCATCCTTTTTTTTTTTTTTTTTAATAAACATTGCTACAACCAGTAGGGAGAGATATATACAATTATTTAGTAAAATTGAAAAACAATGAGTTACACACTCTGGCTCAGAAGTTGGACTGCTAGCTTCCCCCCTTAGAAGTGTTCCTACCTGATGCACAAGAAGACATGTAGACCACCTGTATTAGTTGCTAGGGCTGCTACAGCAAACTACCACAAACTGAGTGAGGTTTTTAGGTTTATTTGTTTGGTTATTTTAGAGACAGGATCTTGCCTTGTTACACAGGCTAAAGTGCAGTGGTGCGATCATGGCTCACTGCAGCCTTGACCTCCCAAGCTTCAGCTATTCTCCTGCTTCAGCCTCCCAAGTAGCTGGGACTACAGGTACATACCATCATGCCTGGCCAATTTTTTAACGTTTTGTAGAGATTGGGTTTTCTGTGTTGCCCAGGCTGGTCTTGAACTCCTGGGCTCAAGCGATCCTGCCACCTCAGCCTCCCAAAGTACTGAAACTGCAGCCATGAGCCACTGTGCCTGGTCCAAACTGGGTGATTTAGAACAACACAAATTTATTTTTTCATGGTTCTGAAGACCAGAAGCACAAAATCAAGGTGTTACCAGAACCACGCTTTCCACTGAGCCTCTAGGGAAAGATTTTTCTTTGCCTTTTTCTTTGCCTTTCTAGATTCTGGTAGCCCTAGATGTTCCTTGGCTTGTGGCCCTGTTGCACAGTCTTTATATAGCGTTCTCCCTGTGTCTCTTCATATAACCCCCTCTTTATGTGCATATGTGTCTCTGTCTCAAAAACCCTCTTTTACAAGTCATGTGGATTAGGGTGCATCCTAGTGACCTAGTCTTAGTTTGACCCCATCTACAAAGACTCTATTTCCAAATAAACTCACATTCAGCAGTACCAGAGGTTGGGACATCAACATGTCTTTTGGGGAGTGACACAATTCAGCCCTTAACACCACCCTATTATCAGCATCTTTTTTAATGCTCCACCTATTTAAATAATATCCAGTCATTTAAGAACAAATAGACTTAGATATAATAATCTTTTTAATTTTTAATTTATTAATATTTTAAAAATTATTTTTGGGGGGATCTTTAACTTTTTTTTGAAGCAGAGTCTCACTGTGTTGCCCAGCCTGGAGTACAATGGTGCAATTATGGCTCACTGCAGCCCCAACCTCCTGGACTCAAGTGGTCCTCCCACCTCAGCCTCTCAAGTAGCTGGGACAACAGGCTTGTGCCACCATGCCTGGATAATTTTTTTGACTTTTTGTAGAGACAGGGTCTTGTTATGCTGCCCTAGCTGGTCTCAAACTCCCGAGCTCAAGCAATTCTCCCGCCTTGGCCTCCCAAAGTACTGGGACTACAGATATGAGCAATGCTACTCGGCCAGACATAATAATCTTATCCATTAATCACCTCTTACAATACTTATCAATGTGGTTAGAACTTAAAAAAAATTAAATAAACAAATGCTTATAGAGCTAATTGTAACATTGTTCAAATTGATGTACATTTTTAAATTAAAATTATAAATAGACAATGGTGGGAATAATGAATACCAATCTCATCAAAGTAGTTGTCTTTGAATATGAAGGAAATGGAAAACCAGGACTGAAAACTAAGGGGGCTTCAATGATGTTCACAAAGTCTTATGAATTAACAATGACCACAGCAACCATAAAACACACACAAATGTGAAGAAAAGAGGATAAATCTACTCACGCTTGTTTATTCTGAATGGTGGGCTCGTGAGTGTTTGTTTTATTAGTTTGCACTTTGGATTAATTTTCAGATTTACCCAATGAAAGCAATAAAACATGGTCGAAATGGATTTAAAATAATGACTTACAAACTAGATCATGATATGAATGCCAAGAGAACTGGCATTATCTAATTCGTGTTTTGGAGAGCCAAGGAGTAGTCTCTAAATTCCAGTGGAATCTTGTGAACGCATATAACGTTAATTTTAACCTGTATTTGAAATGCACCCCACTTTTTTCACATCTTTGCAATCTCCTCTCACCCACTTCCCTTCCGATTGGAGTAATAGTCACCATTTTGAAGAAGTTTAATTTATAGTGTGTATACCTCTGAAACTTCATATGAAGCTGTATTTCATATCAATGAACGAGTGGGGGAAATTGGCTATCCTCCTATTGATGTGGTATAAATCTTTAATATGCCTTATTTTTCTACTATGTAAGACTGCATATTTTAAGTACACATTTATATTAAAAGCACAATGAGAAACCCTAACTGTAGGAGCATAAGTCTCTGATGGTGGAAAAACATTGTTGAAGATAACAGTATTTTAAAATGTAGGCACTTTACAGAATTATAATTTGATGTAGCACTAATTCACTAAACTGAATTCAAATGATTTCTCCCATCCTCCCCAACTCATGAGAGTGAAGATGCAGAGTTCATCTTTAAGGTCCTATTTTGCTGGTTTCACCTCCACATTTTCACTGTGCATTTGCTTGGGAATTTAGCAAACATCTTCCACTGCATTTAACGTAAAGTGGCCTTCCAGAGGGAGGCGAGACGGCAGAGCCTTGGCAGCACGGTAAAACTTACTCTGTCTAGCGATGGACCAGTGCCAAGAGAAGAACTGCAGAGATAAATGGTTTGTTTAAAGTCCAGTATTACACAGACAGTCCTGGCTGTAAACCAATGTACTGTAAAATTGGAAGGCAAGGGATCTCTGCTTCCCAACGGGGCATGGTAATCTCCTTTCCCTCTTGCATGTCGAGGGCAACTTGGATCATTAAATAAAGAAGTTAGGAAAGAATTACTGGCAGTTCGCCTGTTGTTGCCTGCACAAACAACATTACTTCCCAATGTATTTTCATCTTTACCGCCTTCATTACTTTGCACTGCTGGATGCTAAATCCAAAAAATGCACCTGTCACCTCTCCTTTTATTTGAGACATTATGGCGCTGTAAGGTTAGACTTTAAATTAGCTTCATGGGCTTAAAGAGTATATGTCAGGATAGGGAAGGTGTTCTCCATCCACGCAGCCACTGAATTATTCAATCTCAGCATCTTTCTACAAATCACCGTAGGATGATATGCACATAGACTCAGGGTGATGATTCAGTAGTATATCAACAAAAGTGCATACAGGGTTGATAGTCATATTCAAGCCAACTGTTAATTAAGCATAATGGAAGCCATAAAACAGTATGAAGTTCTGAGGCTCAAAATGATATTCAGTACTCCTTCCACTTCTCCTTTCAAAATTTCCAACACCTATTTTTCCCACCCCAGGATATTGTATAAATATAAAAGCAAAAGTATATATTCAAATTCATTTACATCATTATTTTGCATATATATTGATATACCATATGTATCATTATATATATGTATGATGCATGATGCACAATGCATTTTTATGTAGAATGCACTTGTATGTACAATCCATTGTGTACAATGCATTTGTACGTACAATGCACTTTATGTACAATGTATTATGTACAATGCATTTGTCATACATCAATAAATCTTGGAGACTTTTTTATACATAAAGCAAAACCACCTTCTCTTTGTGTACTTGCACAGTGCAATAATCACTTGATGGAAGAAATAAGACAACTGTATTGAGTGGATCACAAAGAGTTTGGCATTCTTCTAAGTTCAACTCCCTTTTGCCAATGATTCCTAAAGAATTCTAGGCATTATAAACCCAGTTGATGCCACACATACGATTTCTCTGATGATCTCTGTTTTCATTAATATCAAGTTCATCTACATGCCCACTTAGAGACTTTGTTATGATTTCCCTAAATTCACATTTTTCATGCCATGTTATATACCAAGATATGTGAGCTGTACCCTCCTTTTCAAGGATCAAATTGTATCCTCCCTTATTCCCAAAATATGTTGAAGTACTAACCCCTAGTACTTCATTATGTGACCTTATTTGAAAATAGGGTCATTGCAGACGCAATTAGTTTAGGATGAGGTCATATTGGAGTGGGGTAGATTCTAAATCCAATATGACTAACGTTCCAGTGAGTAGACTGCCATGTGAAGACAGAGATGCACAGACAGAGCACCGTATGATGAAGAGTTAGAGATTGGAGTGATGCATCCTCAAGGCAGGAATGCCAAAAATTGCTGGCTACCACCAAAGCTAGGAGAGAAGCTAAGAAGGAGTCCTTCCTCAGAACCTCCAGATGGAACAAACCCTGGCAACATCTTTTCATAAAATTGGAAGGGAAGGGATCTCTGCTTCCCAACGGGGCATGGTAATTTCCTTTTATTCATGCATGTCCAGGGCAACTTGGACCATTAAATAAAGAACTACTGGCTTGTACCCATTGTTGCCTGCACAAGCAACATTACTTCCTGATATGTTTTTATCTTCACCGTCTTTATTACCTTGCACTGCTGGATGCTAAATCCAGAAAGGCACCTGTCTCTAGAATTTTGGAATTATGGCTTCCAGAATTGTGACACAATACATTTCTGTTGTTTTAAACTGCCCAATTTGTTGTTCTTTGTAATGGAAGTCTTAGGATATTAGATTTCCCTAAATCTCTTTATAATTTGCTCTTTCTCTCCAGCTCCCAAGCACAGCTAAAATTCAGAGCTTTCATTAATGCAGAATCTCCTCCCAGATACCAATTCATGCCAACAAAATTAGGCACCTAAAATATGCATGTGCAGTTATTTCCTTCCTTGAGTTGCTCATATGACCACAGGTTTACCGGGGAGATTAAGTTGAAGCCTGTCATCTATTCAATCATTGATTACCTGACTGATGATTGATTGATCGATTGATTGATTGAATAATTGATTGCAGGAAGCATTCGCTGAATGCTTAGTAGATGTAAGGAATTGCATATGACTTCCTGCCCTCAAGTTAGCCAAGAAATACCTCTCCCCATCTCAGGATATTTCCTTGAATGTCATTTTAGAACTTAAAGTTCTACTTTTCTCACTACTTCATTTGTGCTATTTCCTTTGCTTGAAACCCCTGATAATCTTAATCTCTAGGATTTAGTCTAAATCACATCTTCCCTGTGAAGTCATCTTTCATTCCTCAGAGACTGGGAAAATGTGCTTATCCTATTCCTCAGAGCAATTCTAGGAGGGAAGGTCTACCTTATTTTAGATATTATTTTTTTAAATGAGTAATTATGAAAATCAGACCCAATTACAAAGCTTAAAGAATAGTGATACTCTAAATACCCTGACTTGATCATTACACAATTCTATGCATGTAACAAAATATCACATTTACCCCATAAATGTGTACAAATATTATGTATCAATACATTTTTTAAAATAATATTTTAAACTGTTAATTATTCTTCTAAATCCCAAATCCCATAATACAATACAGTTCCCACACCTGGACAGAAAACATCCTTAGCCTGGAACCTATGCCTTAGAAGGCACTGTGCATCACAAACAGAAGTCAACAATTAAATGCATATGAGATTAAGGATGGACAACAGGAACCTGTCACTTGGGATCCAGGGCTCAACTCAAACATGGTGTAACTGCCTCCCTGAGCATCTGTTCTCATGACTAACACCTTTTATGCCTCCAAAAACCTTCCCAAGTTTGACCAATGAATGTTCCTGAAACCAGAGGTGACTTGTTTCAATGCCCCTAAGGTCTGTGAGTTATAGCTTAGACATTTCTGAGATGGACATTGCTTTACTGCTTTGGTATGTGGAAGGGTCTGAGTCGCAGAAGTGTTTAGGTGAATGGCCAAAAAATTAATTAATTAATTAATTAAATAAATAAAATAAATGTTACTTTGTCAAACACTTGTTCTCAGAGTGAAAATGCAGAATAGACACCTAAAGTGTAAGCTCTGGCTAAGAATGACTTTTCTCTTTACAAGTAGTTGCATCGTAAATGGTTCTATAAGCATCTACGTAATATCGTAGGCTTGACCACCTAGACTGTGAAGCCATCATCCTCTTTCCAGAAAATACCTAGGATCCTCAGATGCAGAGGATGGTTGAATAAAAAGGATCATTTCCAGCCGGATGTGGTGACTCATGCCTATAATCTCAGCACTTTGGGAGGCCAAGGCGGGCAGATCACTTGAAGTCAGGAGTTCGAGACCAGCCTGGCCAACATTATGAAACTTTGTCTCTACCAAAAGTACAAAAATTCACCAAGTATAGTGGTGCACGCCTGTAATCCCAGCTACTCTAGAGGCTGAGGCAGGAGAATCACTTGAACTTGGGAGGTGGAGGTTGCAGTGAGCCAAGATCACACCACTGCACTCTAGCCTGGGCGACTGAGCAAGACTCTGTTTCAAGAAAAAAAAAAAAAAAAGATAATTTCCTAGCACTGCCCAGTAAATGTTTACTCCCTTTCTTCATTTTCTATATTGTGGTTCTAGATGTACTTACAAATTAGCATGGTGTCTCCAAAAGCTGCACAAGGTCACTGACAACAAGTTGCAATATAAAAAAATTATATTGCATGTATAAACATATGTGGATATTCGTGTATAATACGTACGAGTATATGTATATGTGTTGTATGTATTTCACATATATAGAACACAGGTATACATGTATATATGGAGTTCAATATATTACATGGATATTACATGGAAATTGTGGTCATCATTCCTTTAGCTACCAAATGAATGTTAAAATATTAAATTTTAGACTAAAGTTCATGTTTAAAACATAAATTGAAAGCTCCAATATTACTTAAATCATTCAATTTATAAAATTTAATATTTATTCACTACAATTTTATATTTTGCTTTTTATTGCCTTTTTATATATTTAAGCAAAACCCAACTTTTGGAAACATGAAACATTTACTTGTAATGTGATTTTTATGTGTTTTAATTTACATAAGTGTTTTTAATTTTTTTACAATTACATTTAGTTTTTAATCATTCAAAACAGCACCAAATCAAACCTGCTGTTTTTAATTTTTTTTAAATAAAGTGTTATTGGAACACAGACATGCTTTTTTTTTTTTTTTTTTTTTTTTTTTTGCATACTGCCTGTAGCTTCTCTCACAAGGTAAAAGCAATTGCTCGGTGCTTTCAATAATGAAATATTGGCAAGATTTATTGGAGACATCCAATTGGATGTTTACAATGGACAGAAACTGACATCAAATCAATTAACTTGTAATCATTTATATAATTTGTTAGTGACTTACCAAAAAAATTCATCCAAAGGGATGCTAAAACTGTAGAAACTGCAACAAAACAAATATCAAATTTTAAAAGCAAATAGTCACCATCCTCTAATTTCTTCCTCTCTAACCTCCTCTGGGTCACAATAACTCTTGCAAAGAAAACTGGTGAGAAGAGGAATCTAGGTTCTGCAGTCAGCCAGTTACCATATTCTTCCTTGAATTCCAATTGGCATGTTTTGAACAGTGGCATAAAATTGTAGGCATGAAGGTTGACCTCAGATGGCATCAGCCAGGGTAGGTATTTGTATGGTATTCCCCACAAAAGGCGACAAAAATCCACCAATTGAAGGAGAGTCACCCACACCAAAAAGAACTATAAAAGAATTCCCGGAGAAGCCAAGTTGGCTTGTGGAAAGCTTTTCTTGTGATTGAGTTGTGATTGTTCAAAGATTATTCTCTCCTTAACCTTTTTCCCAGTTGCCCTGAAAATACTTGCCAGTGGTGCTGGCGGTTGCTGCGTTTGCCCTGAGATAACTTTGCCATGAAATATCTCGCTTTTGTTATTATTTTTGCATCACCTTGTTATATCGACTTTGGAAACAAAAGACATCATTCTATTTATAGCATTCTGTTTGTAGTAGTGATTTTCCATTTACAAAATACAGTAATTCTCAATCACTGAAAATGTCGAATCCTAGAAAATGTAGCATTACTATATGTGATATTAACATCGTTCTCCAACAGTTGTTAGACAAAGACTCATTTGATGAATCCGATTTTTCTGAAATGACAATTCTGATGATTCAGACTGTTCTGATGTGACTTCTCTTGAGAAATAACTCCGAGAACAGGTTTTATATTTTATTTTCACATTGAAAATCATTCAGATTTGCTTCAGTCTCAAAGAGAATGTTTATGTAAAATTAAATGAGTGCTGGAAGTGGGGTGCACTTTTTTAAAAAAACAAGAAAAGGGAAAAAAGTGAAATACATGTTTTTTGTTTTCTCATATGACCCCTGTGTATGATTCCTGCGGCTGCCTGGTAGGTTTATTTTGCTTTGTGTGTTATAACAAGCATGCTTTATGGATTGCCTATTGTGTGGGAGAAACTGTGTTGAGTACAAACCCTCATTATGAGACAAGATAGTTCCCTTGATCCGTTCCTGGGACTTATGAAGGGGTGGCTCGCTTACTCAGCCTACAGCTCTCAAACCCCTTGCAGGAGTGGGAGTACACAGGTGAGTGGGTGCAGGTTCTGGGGCAAACAAATCCCGTACCGGCCCCGTGGCAGCATCTAGGGGTTCTCCGTGACCCCTGGAGCCCCAGAGAGCATGTGTTGCAGTGCGCTCCCTTAGCTTTGCTGTCCGTTGATGGCTTAAGTGTTAAATAGCTCAGTGGAGAGTCAGCGTGACAGCCTCTTGCACCCACACCTGGGTTCTTGTCCAAATTCCAGGAGGACTGAGGTTGCGTGAACAAATTGGGGGGTGGTGAACATGGAGGATTTTATTGAGCGATGAAAGTGGCTCTCAACGGGAAAAGGAGCTGGAAGGGTAATTAAGCAGGAAGATAATCTTCCCCTGGAGTTCGCCCATCACCAGCTGAACTCCTCTCCAAAGTTCCACCGTCAAGCTGTCCCTCTGAAGTCAAGCTGCTTCTCTCCGATGTCCGGCTGCTTCTTCTCTGCTCTCCTTCTCTGTCACTCGCCTCTGTTCCCCTGCCAGTGGAGCTTGGGGTTTTTATGAGTACAGGGTTAAGGGTGGGGCAGGACAGGGTGGTTTTGGAAACGACAACATTCGGGTGGGAAAACAGGGATGTGAAGTTCCCATTTAGGGCCATGGGTCCAGACTTAAGGGTGGAACCCTTGCTAGGGACCCCACCCTTTTCTACCTAGTATTTCCCTGCCTCTTGTCCATATTGATTAGAGGTGGGCCCCCCATTATGGGAGCCCCTAGCTACATGGGACTCTCACACACTTGAAACGTGTGCAGTCTCAGCCATGATGTGCTGTAAGTTCAAAATACACAACAAACTTTTAACTCTTCATACAATGAAAGTGCATTAAATACCTCATTCTTATTTTATATTGATAACATGTTAAAATAACAATATTTTGCATGCATTGGGTTAAATAAAAGGTATTTTATTCAGATTAATATCACCTGTCCTTGAGTTCCCTATGGCTGCAGTAACAAAACACCACAGACAGAGTAAGTTAAACAACAGGAATGTATTCTCTCTTAGTTTTCAAGGCTGAAAGTCCAAGATAAATGTTAGAAGAGTTGATTCCTTATGAGGGCGAATTTTTGCTAAGGGTTTAGATATGCAGCAAATATTATTCAACTCTTAAATGTGGATGCAGTGCCCATGGGTCTCCTGACTAATGAGGAATAGAAGAGGAGAATTTTTTCTAAAGGTTGAGCCTCTTTGCTAGTTTTCTAAAGGAACACGTATCTTGAAACTCTGATTTCTTCTCCAATTTTAGCATAGTACTTTTCATAGCTTTGTCTGTAAAAGTGTCTTTCATATGACCTTTTAAACAACATTACAATCAAAATCTACAAATTTTTCATGCATTTTTTGGATAATATTCCTAAAACTTGCCATATGAAAAATGTTCCTTATTCCAAATATACATATTTGGAAGATATGTGTTTTTTTGGAAACATAAATGGATATCTGGAAGCTCTTCAAATTCATATTTCTAACAAACAGCCCTTCTGAAAAGAGGAAGATTGAAATTTGAAAAAAAAAAAATTGACAACATATTACGTAAATCTGTTTTCAGAGTTTTAAGGGAAAAAAACATTAGTTTTTCAATTTTCATGGTGACAGATTTTGCTATTTGCAAAGTAGCCTTCAGTTCACAATAAAATATATTATTTATGTTGAAGAGCTTTGATAAATTTCAAATAATAAATATTAAATTTTATGGAATCAGCATTTAATTCTTAAAATCAATAACCTTACAATTTAGAGGATGTTTAATTCACTCTATTCAAATTTTAAGCATTTATATGACTTCTTTTTAATTTTTTTGCTAATTTCAGGTTATGTATGACTTCCTAATATACACAAAAACAAAATGAGACACACAGAACAGTATCCAATATAAGAATGAGAAACACATTTACAGATCTCTGTTAATGAAAACTGAAGCATGGAAGCTCTTTTTCTGAAAGTATCCTAGTTTTCTGAGTGGAACATTATTTTCTAAATAAACTTTTTCACTGCTCATTCTGCTTCTTGCTTACATAAACCTTTCCAGGTAGATCAGGAGACATTTGGGAATTCTTGCATGCCAGTAGGGTTCCTGGCCATTTGCCATGGGTGATTCTTCATGTATCTGTGCATGTATGGCTTCAAACACTGCATCGAAATCCCTCCAGCAGGTTTCACAGCAACCATTCTATTCTTGAAAGATCATTTTTGACAAATTGCAGCTTGGGATGCAAAGGGAGTGTGATATGTTCTTCAGCATGCAGATATCTTGGTCCTAAAAACTTATGCATTTCAACATGTCTTAATATTTCTTTTTTTTAAATTATACTTTAAGTTTTAGGGTACATGTGCACATTGTGCAGGTTAGTTACATATGTATACATGTGCCATGTTGGTGTGCTGCACCCATTAACTCGTCATTTAACATTAGGTATATCTCCTAATGCTATCCCTCCCCACTCCCCCAACCCCAAAACAGGCCCTGGTGTGTGATGTTCCCCTTCCTGTGTCCATGTGTTCTCATTGTTCAATTCCCATCTATGAGTGAGAACATGCGGTGTTTGGTTTTTTGTCCTTGCGATAGTTTGCTGAGAATGATGGTTTCCAGCTTCATCCATGTCCCTACAAAGGACATGAACTCATCATTTTTTATGACTGCATAGTATTCCATGGCGTATATGTACCAAATTTTCTTAATCCGGTCTATCACTGTTGGACATTTGGGTTGGTTCCAAGTCTTTGCTATTGTGAATAGTGCCGCAATAAACATACGTGTGCATGTGTCTTTATAGCAGCATGATTTATAATCCTTTGGGTATATACCCAGTAATGGGATGGCTGGGTCAAATGGTATTTCTAGTTCTAGATCCCTGAGGAATCGCCACACTGACTTCCACAGTGGTTGAACTAGTTTACAGTCCCACCAACAGTGTAAAAGTGTTCCTATTCCTCTACATCCTCTCCAGCACCTGTTGTTTCTTGACTTTTTAATGATCGCCATTCTAACTGGTGTGAGATGGTATCTCATTGTGGTTTTGATTTGCATTTCTCTGATGGCCAGTGATGATGAGCATTTTTTCATGTGTCTTTTGGCTGCATAAATGTCTTCTTTTGAGAAGTGTCTGTTCATATCCTTCGCCCACTTGTTGATGGGGTTGTTTGTTTTTTTCTTGTAAATTTGAGTTCATTGTAGATTCTGGATATTAGCCCTTTGTCAGATGAGTAGGTTGCAAAAATTTGCTCCCATTCTGTAGGTTGCCTGTTCACTCCAATGGTAGTTTCTTTTGCTGTGCAGGAGCTCTTTAGTTTCATTAGATCCCATTTGTCAATTTTGGCTTTTGTTGCCATTGCTTTTGGTGTTTTAGATATGAAGTACTTGCCCATGCCTATGTCCTGAATGGTATTGCCTAGGTTTTCTTCTAGGGTTTTCATGGCTTTAGGTCTAACATTTAAATCTTTAATCCATCTTGAATTAATTTTAGTATAAGGTGCAAGGAAGGGATCCAGTTTCAGCTTTCTATATATGGCTAGCCAGTTTTCCCAGCACCATTTATTAAATAGGGAATCCTTTCCCCATTGCTTGTTTTTGTCAGGTTTGTCAAAGATCAGATAGTTGTAGATATGTGGCATTATTTCTGAGGGCTCTGTTCTGTTCCATTGGTCTATACCTCAACATGTCTTAATATTTCTATTGGTGGTTAAATCCAACTATAGCTTTTGGTTCCCCAAATAAGAATAGTGGGAACTGCTCTCATGATCAGTCAGCTCAGGTATAAAGCTGTGAGTCAGGCCACCTCATTTTGTATCACACTCTGTTCATAGTGCGAAGCCATTGACCACCCATGATGACCCCTGGTCACAGATGACCCATAGGAGTGAGTCCTTGTCCCCACTCCTAAATTAGGGGCTGGGAGAGGCCAGCTTCAAAACTGGCCACTGCTGCCACTGAGATGTTGGAAAACATCTCAACAGCAAAAAGGTAGTGAAGGTGATATCCGATCACTACTGAATACAAATTTTTATTGAACCTTTTCTTTTTTATTATTTCTTTTAAATTATTTTATTGCTCTAATAATTTTATTAAAACTTCTACAAATTTTTATTATAAGTTTTTCTGTTAATTAAAAATATTTCTCTGAATCCAGACAGTGGTAAGGGCTGCATAGTATTGGAAATGTACTTAATGCCATTGTATTGCATACTCTAAAATGTTTAAAATGCTAAATTTTAGGTTATATGTATTTTACTATCATGAGGTTTTAAGATTTACTGCACGGTATGATTATGATAATTAATAATAATGTATTTTATGCTTGAAATTTGCTAACAGAGCACATTTTAAACATTCTCACTGCAAAAATGAGAAGTGTATAAGGTGATAGATACAGTAATTAGCTTGATTTAATCCTTCCACCACGTATACATATGTTTAAACACCACACAGTACCCTATAAGAAAAAAGCAGCAAGATATTTTTAATACATAAAAGCAATTATGGAATTATTTTGTAATATGTAAAAAATAGTTATGTAAAATATATAGATGTACTATTTTAATTAATAGAATTATAATCTCATTCATCATTAATTTTTATCTATCTTTCTATCTATCTGTATGTATTTCTATTTCTGCCTTTTGGATTTCAGACTTGATCACCCACTACCACTCCAAGAGAACCAACACATGTAGTGAAGAAGAAAGAAGCATCCTGTTGTCTATTCATTTATCTCAATGACCAGACAGCTATTTCCCAACTGAATAAAAAGATCACCTTAAAAGCCAATTCTGTATGTTTTTATAGAAAATGATTTATTTGAGAGTCCTCAAACATACCCGGCATGTTTGAAACATCATGTCTGTCTGGAGTTATTGCAGAAATGACGATTATGACTTCTGCAAAATGGTTGTTAGAACACGTGTTCTTCAGTCTACCCCAAAACCACCAAAGAAACTTGAAATAGGAAAAAACATGCATCACTGCTTGGATCTAGACAGCTGGCCAAAGGTGGCAGATAGTTGGCAAATTTTTCTAGTATAGGAAGACATCAGATGGAAACAAGTCAGGGATGTCTACAATGGCTCTTCCTCAGAAAGTGGCTTGATGTTGTCAAAGGAACAGAGAGAAGATTCTGCAACTTATTTTTAAAAATTGTTCTTACAGTCATTTTCCCCCATCCATCATTTCCATTTCACCACCAGTTCTCCGGCTATCACCTGCTTCTCTTTCTGCTCATCCCCCTTCTAGCAACAAGAGTCCAAGATTTGAATGATGTATTCCCAACCTGGGCCACTGCACTGCCTTCTCCTTCTTTTCATAATTCCCCCACGTGCCTCATTTTTTCACTTTGTACATCCCTGGTGTAGGCTCCGTAGTAATTTATTTCAATCTCTCTCGCGCGTTTCTCCCTCTCCGTGGCACTAACCTGGAAAAACCTTGCAGGGCTTACAGTGAACTCCCTGCTGGCTCTCACACTGCCCCTGACAGCTGAATGTGGCTGGAAAGCTAAAAAACTTCTCCACACAGCCAGCTGCATGAGGCAGGTAACAACGAATGTTGGCTTCAAATTATCAAATAATACATTGTAAGGATCTGGCTGCAGGTTTTTGTTTTCCAATGGCAAGAATATATGCAATAGACCAATAATATTTATTACATTTATTAATTCTCTACAAGACTTTTGGGCTATTAACATGCTGCCACTCTGAGATCCAGTGCCCTGGGATACTTACAAACTTTCTTTTCCATTCCTAATTCTAAAATAGAAGCAGCAAAAGTTTCTCTTTTGATTTCTAACTATTAGCAACTTCGAAGGTTTTGTAAGGCAGGTGGGATGAATGGAGTGGTTTAGGAGGCTCTGAATTTCCAGAGGTATACTGGGTCCATTTTCATCATTCAAAACCTTTTCAAGAAAACAAATCATTCTTCCAAAAAGACACATGCAAGTGCATGGCCATCACAGCATTATTCACAATGGCGAAGACATGGAATAAGCGTAGGTGCCCATCAGTGGTGGACTGGATAAAGAAAATGTGGTATATATACACCATGGAATACTGCACAGTCAAGAAAAAGAATAAAATCACATCTTTTGCAGCAATATGGATAGAGTTGGAGGCCATTATCCCAAGTGAATTAATGCAGGAACAGAAAACCAAATGTTCTCGTTTATGAAAAAAAAAACATAACCTGAATGTTCTTGTTTATAGGTAGGAACTAAAAATTGGGTACTCGTGGACATAAAGATAGGAACAATAGATACTGGGGAATACTAGAGGGTGGTGGGAGGGATGGGGGCAAGGACTCAAAAACTACCTATTTGGTGCTATGTTTACTACCTGGATCCCTACCTCAAACCTCAGTGTTATGCTATATACTCAGGTAACAAACCTGCACATGCATTTCTTGAAACTAAAGTAAAAGTTGAAAAAAAATAAATACATACGTAAATAAAAATCTTTTCAGCAACTCCATGGAAGAGATAAGTCACCAAGAAAGGAGATTGAAAACAAAGCAGAAGAAAATTAATCTTAAGGAAAGGAATCCCTGCTGCAGTGCAGCTGACTGTTTTGTAAATAAGCTGTTGATGTTTATTGATGTATTTAGTATATCTCATTTCATCCAGGTTATGTGAAAGATTCAGTTATTATGTGGAAAACAGACTTTTAACATGCTTACATATTCGAATCAAGTTATCAGCTCATGAAAGTGTCCACCCATGCCATACTATGGCAACTGTTTTCCGATTCTGCTTAATTTACTATGTTAACAACATCTAGCTTTGAAACTTCAGGTGGACAGAAACTCAGACCTAGAAAAACAAACTTCACGTGTTATCATGGTTACCTCAATTAAGTTGTTTACAAAACTGGATTACAGGCAGATTTTACTCTCATCTTTCATTTTGCCTCTTAACCAGGTAACCTTAGCCTCTGGGAGCTTAATGGGACATTGTGAAGTCTCTCCCTAGAGATTATAACCAAACCACCACCACCACCACATTCTACATATGCTGCACTTGTGAGAATAGAAAATACAGTGAATAAAAGAAAAGACATTTTTCTGATTCCTAGGGAATATTTCTGGAAGAGCAAAATAGATATTTTATATGTTTCAACATATTCATCTTTTTTGTCCTTCTTGAAAAACTTAATATATGAATATTAAACAAACTTACCATTATATCTTCTTAACAATAGAAGGAATCCACATTGAAATAGTCAGAAATATATTCAGAGAGCTATTTTTTCTGATGAATTGGGTTAGACTGGAAATGGATGCATGCTCTGAAATCAAGTGTTTTCTAAAGGAAAAGAAATCTCTTTCTTCGAACTGTATCTGTAATTTTAGGGCTGCTGTACCTTCATTTTCCCCTCTGGGATCGCGTCGGGTTACCAGTTTCCCAGAGCACAACCCTCTGTGTAAAGACTTCAGACGTAGTCAACTGCACAGAGACAACGTATCCAGTGAGAACCCACTAAGCATTTCCATCTGCTATTTATAAAACAAGTTTGGAAGAAAGCAACAGCACATGCTGGGTAATTTGTCAATGATTCATTGCAGTGACAGGTTATGGTGTTATTGGGTTAATATCAAGCATGGGAAAATCCCCAGCCCTGAGTGATTTTCCATCATGAATTTGATTGGAATTCACATCAGAGTCCTCACAGTGGTGATGCATAAGACGAGATGGGCAGGTGGGCTGCCCTGCCGTGGTGGCAATATCAATAGCTTTTTACACAAGCCTTTCATGTAGAGACTCTGTCCAAACAGCAAAATGAGAACCATGGGGTGAATCGTAATGGCCTGTCTGGGTGTGTGTTTCTCTGGAGGTACTGGCTTCTTATTTATACGGCCATCACTGGCTATTTATCTACGTTTCAGCTGTGAAAGCAAAATCTGGAATTCTCTTTCATCATAGCTGACAGCCATGCCTACGCCTTCCTGGGAGAACTAGGAAACACTTCTTTCTGAGCTGTATGTGATTTTATCCCCAAATAATAGTTTACTGACCTCTATCAGGGAAATCCCACTAACTTAAAAGCAGCAACTTTGTTATTCACCAACATTTTCTTGTGTTTGCTTTTTATTTTATTTTCATGCTAGTTATAGATGTTTCAATGTTTTCTGAGTTTACTGCTCTGCCTTGCATATTCTTTACTTATACAGCCCTATTGGGAAAAGGGAGACAGAGTAGAAAATAATGAAAGGAGTTTTGCGTTACATATTTTAGAACTATCTTTTAATACACTCCCAATGGTATACAACAATCACCTCTCTCTAGTTCCACAACATTTGTGGCACTCCAGAATGAATTTCATAGCCGTTAGCATTCAATTCCTAGTCCTTTCTCCTCCTCCCAGCCCCTGACAATTATAATCTACTTTCTGTCTCTATGGATTGACTTATTTTGGATACTTTCTACAAACAATTATACATTATGAGGTCTTTTGTATCTGGCTTCTTTCACTTGGCATGATGTATTTGAGGTTCATACACATTTGACATGCATCAGTACTTTATGACTATTTAGGGCTGAATACTATTCTGTTTTATGCATATGCAACATTTTGCTTATCCACTCATCTGTTGAAGGACGTTGGCTTGATTGCATCTCTTGACTATTATGAACAATGATGCCATGAGTGTATGTGCGCAGGGAGCTGTCTGCGTCCCTGTTTTTAATTCTTCTGGGTATATACTTATGAGTAGGATTGCTTAATCATTTATTCGGCCATCACTAGCTATTCATTTACGTTCCAGCTCTGAAAGTGAAGTCTAGATTTTCTTTCATCATGGTTGACAGCCAAGCCCATGCCTTCCTGGGAGTAGAAACTAGGAACTAGGAAACACTCTTTCTATATGTGATTTTATCCCTAAATAGTACTCTACTAACTTCTATCAGGAAGTTCTTGCTAACTTAAAAGTAGCAACTTTATTATTCACTGAGACTTTCTTGCATTTGCTTTTCCTTTTACTTTTCTGCTACTTGTAGATGGCTCAGGATTATCTGAGTTGATCGTATGGTCATGTCATGTTTAACTTCTTGAGGAACTTCTATGTTGTCTTCCATAGCAGTTGAACCATTTCATCCATATACGAGTATTCCAATTTCTACACATTCTAGTCAATACTCACTTTCTGTCATTGATTATAGTCACTCTAATGAGTGTAGTTACATTTTAATTGAAATCCATTTTAATTTCTTTATTGATAACTTTAATATAAAACTAGTTGTGTCTTAATACACCAAATTTAGAAGCTTTACATTTTTCTTGAGTTTTATTTTTTAAAACCACAGTAAACAAATAGCCTTAAATGATATGCCCCGACAAGTTTTAGAAGTGGCCATCTCTTTCCAATAGTTTACAAAAAATGAGGCCAAGAAACATAAGTGCTTGCATAATCTGGGGGCTTTTGATACAAAGTCATGGGAATGTTATTCAGAAATAAAAATTACCCTTCATAAGGCTAGGAAAATAGCTGACTTAACAGAAAGTAGATAAACAATCGTTAGCAGTTGTCTTTGTTTTTCTCATCGTATGGTTATGAAGTTTTGACTTCTTCTTTTCTAAGTAAAAAGCAAGTTTCAGAGGAAAAATAAAAACACTTCATGTTGAAACTCTCAATTTTTCCCACTGAGGATCACAGATTCATCTACATACAAAGAAAAAAAATTAAAGCTTGATCTTTGCCTTTTGGAAGAACCCAAATTTTAATATGAAAGGTTATTTTAATTGTATCTTCTCCTGAGCAATCTGGACATAAGGATTCTTGTGTTTTATTTATTTGTTTGTTTGTTTGTTTGTTTTTTAATTTTGGGACAGGGTCTCTCTCTGAAGCTGGAGTGCAGTGATGCAATCACAGCTCACTGCAGCCTCAGCCTCCTGAGTTCAGGCAATCCTCCTGCCTCAGCCTCCTGAGTAGTAGCTGGGACCACAGGTGTGCACAACATGCTTGGCTATTTTTTTTTTTTTTTTTTTTTTTGGAGACAGAGTCTCGCTCTTTCCCCCAGGCTCGAGTGTAGTGGCGCAATCTTGGCTCACTGCAAGCTCTGCCTCCTGGGTTCAAACGATTCTCATGCCTCAGCCTCCCAAGTAGCTGGGATTACAGGTGCCTGCCACCACGCCTGGCTAATTTTTGTATTTTTAGTAGAGACGGGGTTTCGCCATGTTGGCCAGGCTGGTCTTGAACTCCTGACTGCAGATGATCCACCTGCCTCGGCCTCCCGAAGTGCTGGGATTGCAGGTGTGACCCACCACACCCAGCCCTTATTTTTTTTTAATGATCTGTAGAAATAGGGTCTCCCTTTGTTGCCCAGAATGGTCTTGAACTGGGCTCAAGTAATCCTCCTGCTTCAGCCTCTCAAAGTGCTAGGATTACAGGCATGAGCCACTGCGCCCAGCCTGGATTCTTCTATTTTAGTTGGTTTTATTGCACATGAGGTTAGTGTACATACCATATATATAAATATAAATATAAAATAATGTATGTATGCGTATGTATATATGTAATTATGCATTTTTCTTCAATTTGCTTATGTTTTATAGGTTTATTATTAAAATTTTACATTTTTATTAAAAAATACAAAAGAACTTCATCTTTGCCTAGGCTTATAGGAAACAGAATTTGAGGCAATAAAACTTGTGTACGAACACATTTTCAGCAAATGCAATTCCAGGGAAGAAAAGTGAGGGGCAAATGAAGTACAATGGGGAGAGAGAGGTGAATCTCAGTGTGCAAATTACCCAGCTGGCCACACCTTCAGGACAAGCTGAGAGCACAGTCTCTTCATAGAGGTTTCATGAAGCCCTGGCTACCAAAGACTCTCTCAAGGGGAAAAGCAGAGAATAAGTTATTATTGTCAGAAACCCCCGTATTTTCAAAATTATCCTCAAGGAGCATCAGCCCCTAACACTTCTGAACTCTTCAGTGCAGTTCCTGCAATAAAGGGGCAGTGAGCTCTGAACCCAAGACTCCCTCCCACCTGGTCTTTAGTACCCAGCAGCCTCCTAGACCCCCTGTAGACATCAAACTGGCCCAGCAGCCTTGCAGGACTCAGAGACAGCAGTGAGCCACAGACCAAGTTGCAGCTGAGAGTGCCTGAGAACCAGAGAGCAGAAGCCAGAGTGGATTTCAATCTGCAAACATAAACATCACTTTGCAAAGACAATTTTCCAATGGCCATGGCTCTCACTATAGTCAAGTGCCTTGAGGTGGACAGTATGCCTGCTGCATCATCCCAGGAAAAGCCTAGTAAAAGGTTTCCAATTGTGATCATTGTTCATGATCTTTTTCTTTAAGCATAGGCTGGGTTTGTAAAATTTGCTTTTGATAAAAATACAACTTTTTTCTTTTAAAAAAAGAAATAAGCCCAAATGACTTAGATACATGTATTAGTCAGGATTCTCTAGGGCAATAGAACCAACAGAATATATAAAGATAAACATATCAAAAAGATACCTGCACTTAACAGTTTATTGCAGTACCATTCACAATAGCAAAGAAATGGAATCCACCTCAGTATCCATCAATAGAGAACTGGATAAAGAAAATGTGGCACATACACACAATGAAACACTATTTAGTCATAAAAAAGAATGAAACCGTGTCTTTTGTAGCAACATGGATGGCACTGGAGGCCATTATCTTAAGTAAAATAAGCCATACACAGAAACATAAATACCACATGTTCTCACTCACAAGTGGGTGCTAAAAAATTTGTACACATGGATATAGAGAGTAGAATAATAGACACTGTAGACTTGGAAGGGTGGGATGGTAGGAGGGCAGTAGAGGATGAGAAATTACTTGTTGGGTAATGAATATCCTAAAAGCCCTGACTTGATCACTGTGTAGTCTATGCCTGTAACAAATTGTATTTGTACCCCTTAAATTCATACAAATAAATAATTTTAAAAAGAAAGATATTCGTTATGAGGGATTGACTCATGTGGTTTGAGAAGCTGAGAAGTCCCACAGTCTGCTGTCTGTAAGCCAGAGACCCAGGAAAGCAGGTGGTGTAGTTACAGCGCAAGTCTGAAGACCTGAAAACAGAGGGGTTTGATGTCCAAAGGCAGGAGAAGATGGATATCTCAGCTCAAGCTAGGAGTAAATTTTTCCTTTCTCCACCTTTTTGATCTATTTGGGCCTTTGGCTGATTGGACAATACCCATCTACCCACGTTGGTGAAGGCAGACCTTCACTTAGTCTACTGATTGAAATGCTAATCTCTTCCAGAAACATACTCACAGACACACACAGAAATCATGTTTCCCCAGCTATTTGAGCATCCCTTAATCTGGTCAAGTGGACATACAAAATTAACCATCATAGTACATATTAGTTAGAGTTATTTAACTATTTAGACAGTATTCATTCTTCCATTCACATTTAACAATATCAGTCCATTTCTAATTTGCAATTTGTAATAAGTTACTTCAAATCCTTTTGGAAGTATACGAACAAAATAGTGAAATATTTGAAGCATATGAACAAAATGATTGAGCCAGAATTTAAGCACAAAAATCCTACCCTAACCAAAACCCAAACGTCGCTTATTTATGGAACTTGTTTCCCAAGATACCATGTTCACGTGACCACACCAAAGGCAAACATCAGGAAGAGACCATTTAATTCACATATTATGGCCACCTACAAGCTTGAGATGTGTATTGGCACCACTACGGGACTCACGGGAGGAGAGAAAATGCTCTTTTCCTTTACATCTGAGCTGGAGGTTATAGCCTCCGGGAGGTAATATTTTAAGCCTGCTTCCTTTTATGAATTCCCACAGTAAAAACATAGAGCAGCATTCACCACACACTTTATGTTCCCCTTTAAATGACTGCTAAGTTCCTTCCCCAGGCTGTATAAATTCCATTTTTCCTACTCTGATATTTGATTTACTGCATGCCATTCAGCCAGACAGATTTCTAGCCCTTGATGGAAATCACCTTTATTTGGGTAGTTAATACCCTGAGGACCTCTTAAAAATGTGATATATATATATATAATTAAAGAATATTATTTTCTTAATCTTGGTATACTAGTATTTCACCTTCATCAACCTCTCTTATGCATCAGCTGACCTATGGACACAATATACCTGAACTTTCTGTTTGTCAACAAAGACCCAGGAATAGTAAATAATGTCTGTATCTCATGATTGGTGAAGCCAAAATTTAAGCCCAAAAAAGCCTTCCCTGACTCTAACCCTAACTAAGCACTGGCCCCTCCAGGATTTGAGTTTTTGTTTGTTTTTGAGACACAGTCTCGCTCTGTTGCTCAGGCTGGAGTGCAGTGGTGTACTCACAGCTCACTGAAGCCTCAACCACTTGGGCTCAGGCAATCCTCCCACCTCAGCCTCCCCAAATGCTAGGATAACAGGCACGAGCCACCCCTTCCAGCCCTGGATTTGATCTTGATTTCTATCCTACATCAACAACAAAAACATTTTCACTGTAACTCATGCAGATCCAGCTATTATGGCAGAATGAAAATGCAATTCTAGCAGGATTAATTAGTGTTGCTTTGAGGGAGAAATTAAATCCTTTTGCCAAATCTTTTAACAACCATGTTCTCATTTTCTTTTTGTGTTTTTATTAGTCCCTCCTTTTACTTTCTTTGGCTTTCTTTTTGCTTTACTTATTTCTAGTTTCCCAAGTTCAATGCATAATTCATTGGATTTGTATTCTTTCTTGATGCCAAATAAATGTTTCTAGTATGGAGCTTTTACTCAGAACACTACTTTAGCCATTCCTTAGAGGTTCCTATATGAATTTGTCTTTAATGCTTGTTTCTAATTGATTAAAATTCTAATTAAAGTTTTGCTTTAATTATTAGCCTAATCATTTATCTGGAGGAATGCTATTTAATTCTCAATACAGAGGGTTTATATTTTTAATTGTTTGTCCTATGTTGAAAATATATAATTTTATTGCATTGTGATTAGTGACATTTAATTATTATTTTTTTAGAGTGTGGTTAGGGATATGTTGATGACCTTTTTGCCTTAATGCATGGAAAGTATGCAGACAAAAAAGAAAAGAGGTGATGATAACTTGCTGAATTTGACATGAGATTTGGGCAGGGACACAGATTCCAATCATATCACCCCTGCAATAGATATCATGGCCCTCCACAAGAAAGAATCCAGCCCCAAATATCAGCAGTTCTGCAGTTCAGAAACCCTCCCTTAAAATTTCCTGAAAGAAAAAAAAAAAAAGCTACCACAGTTTACAATTATGTACCCGATGTTATCACACTTTCTAGCATACAGCTAACAATTGAAGATTTAAAATATTGAATGGCATTGAAGTTATTTTTGAGGGATGGCTGAGTAGAACTGTATGGTTTTGTTCAAATTATTGATGAAAATAATACAGTAAACGTGCGCTGAACTTTTACTACATGCTAGCACACTCTAATTATAGAGGAGTATTATTTAATTACTTCAAAGCAACACCCTCTGGAGACAAGAAATAATTCCATCCCCACTTTATAGATGAAGATATTGAGACCCAGTAAGTTATGTCTTTTGCCATGGATAAGATGTCCATCTCAGATAACCTCCCAGCCCGCCCAGCCCAGGGCACAAGGTTCAGCCCTCAACCCCCTTGAGGGGCTGCCTGTCTAAAATGCCCATGGGTGCATGCCATGCTGGAGATATTCAAATATTTTAATATCTTTTGTATTAAAATAAACTGCTTCCTGAAATTAGGGCAAAACAATATTTGATTAAAAACATATCTACAGGCTGGGTGTGGTGGCTCACACCTGTAATCCCAGCACTTTGGGAGGCTGAGGCGGGTGGATCACCTGAGGTTAGGAGTTAGAGACCAGCTTGACCAACATGGTGAAGCCTCATCTCTACTAAAAATACAAAAATTAGCCAGGTGTGGTAGCAAGCACCTGTAATCCCAGCTACTTGGGAGGCTGAGGCAGGAGAATCGCTCAAACCTGGGAGGTGGAGGTTGTAGTGAGCCTAGATCACGCCACTGCACTCCAGCCTGGGTGATAGAACAAGACTCGGTCTCAAAAAATAAATAAATAAAATAAAAATAAAAACATATCTACAGTCACACACCTCATAACAACATCTTGGCCATAGATTACACTGGTCCCATGAGATTATAATAAAACTGAAAAATTCCTGTTGCTTAGTGACTTTGTAATTGTTCTAAAGTCTTGCATTACTCATGTGCTGAGGTGATGCTGGTGTAAACAAAACTACTGCAGTGCTAGTCATATAAAAGTCTAGCACATACAGTTATGTTCACTACATAATACTTCATAATGATAAACGACTACGTTGCTGGTTTATGCATTTACTATTCTATACTTTTAATTGTTATTTTAGAATGTACATCTAATTTTTTTTGTTGTTGTTGTTTTGAGACAGAATCTCACTCTGTTGCCCAGGCTAGAGTGCAATGGTGCAATCCTAGCTCACTGCAACCTCAACTTCCTGGGCTCAAGTGATCCTCCGACCTCAGCCTATTGAGTAGCTGGGACTACAGGCCCATGTCACCACACCAAGCCAATTTTTGTTTGTAGTCTTTGCAGAGACAGGGTTTTGCCATATTGCCCAGGCTGGTCTCGAACTCCCGAGCTCAAGTGATCCGCTGGCCTTGGCCTCCCAAAGTGCTGGGATTACAGGCATGAGCCACCCTGTCTGGCCACTCCTTCTACTTATAAAAAACAGTTAACTGTAAAACAGCAGCAGGCAGGTCCTTTAGAAGGTATTCTAGAAAAAGACATTATTATCATAGGAGATGATAGCTCTATGCATGTTATTGTCCCTGAAGACCTTCCAGTGGGACAAAATGTGGAGGTGGAAGACAGTGATATTGATGATCCTGACCCTGTGTAAGCCTAGGCTAATGGGCATGTTTATGTCTTAGTTTTTAACCAAAGAGTTTAGAAAGTAAAACATAAATCGATAAATATATACATAAATTTAAAAATAGAAAAAGAAGCTATAGAATAAGGATATAAAGAAAGAAAATATTGAGGGGCCAGGCATGGTGGCTGATGCCTGTAATCCCAGCACTTTCGGAGGCCGAAGTTGGTGGATCATTTGAGGTCAGGAGTTCAAGACTAGCCAGGCCAACATAGTGAAACCCTGTCTCTATTAAAAATACAAAAATTGGCCAGGTGTGGTGGCGGGCACCTGTAATTGCAGCTACTTGCGAGGCTGATACAGAAGAAAAAAAAATATTTTTGTGTAGCTCTACAATGTATCTGTGTTTTAAGATAAATGTTATTACAAAACAGTCAAAAAAGTAAAAAAAATTAAAAAGTTTATAAAGTAAAAATTACAGTAAGCTAAGGTTAATTCATTACTGAAGAAAATAAACTATTTTTAAAATAAATTTAGTGTGGGGTAAGTGTACAGTGTTTATAAAGCCTGCAGTGGTGCACAGTAATGACTGAGGTGATCACATCCACACACTCCTCACTCACTGAATCACCCAGAGCAACTTCCAGTCCTGCAAGCTCCATTCATGGTAAGTGCCCTACGCAGGTGTGCCAGTTTTTATCTTTTATACTGTACTGTGTCTCTTCTTTGTTTAGATACATACAAACTTACCATTGTGTTACAATTGCCTACAGTATTCAGTACAGTATCATGCTGTGCAGGTTTGTAGCCTAGGAGCAGTAGGCTTGACCTTACAACCTAGGTGGGTAGTAGGCTGTGCTATCTAGGTTTGTGTAAGTGTACACTATGATTTTTGCTCAACAGGGAAATTGCCTAATACATTCATCAGAACATATCCCTGTCATTAAGTGGTGCATGACTGTATATTTCTATATATCTATGGACATATATGGATATATACAAACATATACCATTTATATACTGTGCTATAATATATATCTACTATACATATACATTATATTATATATACTGCTACATGTACTATAGATATTATATATCACTATAAATATAGTATATATTTTGTTACTACAAGGCAACACACTCTGGATATATGAAATAATATTTACTACATATATAATATAATATCTATCTATATGTATATACTATATATACAGTAAATCCTCACTTAAAATCATTGATAGGTCCTTGGAAACTGCACTGAAGCAAAATGACATCCTGTATGACATAGGAACTTAACTATTATTTATATCAATTAGCCTATGGTAAATTTGTTTTTCTATTTTTATTTTATTTTATCATTATTTTTTTGAGACAGTCTTGCTCTGCCATCCAGGATGGAGTGCAATGGTGCAATCTCAGCTCACTGCAACCTCGTTCTCCTGGGTTCAAGCAATTCTTGTGTCTCGGCCTCCCAAGTAGCTGAGGTTACAGGTGCCCGCCACCATGCTTGACTAATTTTCGTATTTTTAGTAGCTACAGGGTTTCACCATGTTGGCAAAGCTGGTCTCGAGCTCCTGACCTCAAGTGATCCACCTGCCTCAGCCTCCCAAAGTGCTGGGATTACAGGCGTGAGCCACAGCGCTGGGCCAAATTTATTTTTTTCAATACAGTAGAGTACAATGTTTCAGTTAAAGTCACAGCTTCCAAGAACGTATCAACAATGTTAAATGGGGGTTTACTGTAATGTGCATGTGTGTGTGCGTGTGTGTGTGGGAAGGGTGTGTATGTACACACACATTATATATAGTATATGCAATATATTATATATAGTATATAGAGTATACCATACATGATAATATATATTATATAATATATAATAATATATGTTATATTATACATAATATGTACGTAACATACATAATATGTATGTTATATATACATAATACTATATATTATCATATATGGTATACTCTATATACTATATATAATATATTGCATATGCTATATATAATGTGTGTGTACATACACACCCTTCCCTACACACACATGCACACACACATACACATTACAGTATGAATGTGAATATGTATGTAAAATGAATGTAAGAATGTAAAATATGAAAATTGCATATATATTATATATACAATACACATATAAACTGTGTATACTATGTATATATAAGTATAGTGTACTTAGTATACATAATATATACTAATATATATATAATATTGGATATGTACTATCCAGTTTATAGTATATATTTATACTACTATAGTGACTTAGAATAATGAGTATGCTTAGAATAAATAATGAGTGACTTACGATAAATAAAACAAAATACCTGGGTGCCAATTTTGGATCCACAACATTTCATATGATGTTTAACTTTGCTGTGTATATGTCCTCAAAATCAGGTGTTATCATCTTAGATGAATTTTGACAGTGATGATCCAATGGCTACTGTATAGAAAGAATGCCACTTTTTTTTAAGCTATCCTAACGTTTTAAGAGGATAGTTAAAATCCTGAAACTCACAAAACAATATTTCAGTGGTGATACTAGTTCGTTGTTTCCATTAGTAACTTTCTAGAATGAGGATTCCATATATCCAAGGGCCAACTTTAACCCTGTGGTCAGCCCAAGATCACAGCAAATCTATGGAAAATGTGACATTTTAAGTAGACCAGTTGAGTTCAGAAAGTTCAACTGTAGCTAAATAGAAACCACACAGCTCACCACAGTTGGAATTAGACTCAGAAATGGAGCTGAAGTCTTTCCTGGACACTGAGCTGGTAAAAACACACACACAAAAAAATACATTTGTAATATATAAAATGTCTTATTTTTCCCTTAACATTCATTTTTATCAAATGAGTAGGGCTAGTAGTGGAATATGTTTTTAATTAACTTAATACTTAAATGAGATTATGACAAAAATTGTATATATTGGTGACTATAGTTAATGTTTGCATCAATAGATAAGCTCTTTAAAAATGAGAATTAATAGTTAAAATATAGTCTATGTTCTCTTCAGTATATTATGAAATGTCTTGTATTAGTGTCCCAAGGCTGCCAACAACAAAATACCAGAGACTAGGAGGCTTAAATAATATGATTTCATTTTCTCATGGTTCTGCAGGCTGGAAGTCCGAGATCAAAGTGTGGGCAGGGCTGCTTCCTCCTGAGTCCTCTCTTCTTGGCTTGTAGAGGCTGTCTTCTCCCTGTGTCCACACAGGGTCATCCCTCTGTGTGTGTCTGTATCCGAATCTCCTCTTCTTATAAGGACACCAATCCTATTGGATCAAGGTCCACCCTAGTGACCTCATTTTACCTTAATGACCTCTTCAAAGACCACATCTTCAAATACAGTCATGTTCTGAAGTTTTGGGGATTAGGACTTGTTAGGACTTCAATATATGCATTTTGAGGGCATGCAATTTAGCCCATAGCACTTGTGACATCATATTGTATTATTACAACAACAGTTCCTACAAATAAGAAGAAATGAGGGAAGACTTTGGAACTGAAGAAAACATGAGTATTCTTTATAATAACATGTATACATACACTAATAATAACAATCATGTCATAGAAGTAGAGAGAATTTTGGTTATTAGAGGCTGGGAAGGGAAAAGAGAAGGGAGGTGGGGACAGGTTGGTTAATGGATACAAAATTATAGCTAGATAAGAGGAATAAATTCTAGTGCTCTAAAGCACTGAAGATGAGTATGGTTAACAATAATTTATCATATATTTTCAAAAAGCTAGAAGAAAGGATTGTGAATGTTCTCAACACAAAAAAAATGTTTAAGGTGATGAATATGCTAATTACCCTGAAATGATCATTACACCTGGTACACAAGTATGGAAAAGTCACTCTGTATCCCATAAATATGTATAGGTATTACGCGTTAACTCAAAAGGAAAAATAAGAATGTCTCGGGGGAAGGAACAACACTACATGTTCATAAGCAGGTCTTCATTTTCAACACAAAAATCAGGCATTGATATAACCTCTTGATAAATCTTGAAAAGCTTCCCTTACTCTTCACACCCTTCAGCCTCACCCTCACTCAATTTCCTTACATTCGTTGATGCTCACTAATACTTTTCTATTTTATTCCCAATCACTCAACCAAGAAGGGTGCTGAGTTTTATTTCAGAGAACGCATACTGAAATCAGAATTTCATGCAAACACACACACACACACAAACACACACACACACATACACTTTCACATTTTCTTATACATGGTATTCAAAGAACTTTCTTGCACTAATTCTATAGAGATCACCATAGATGCATCCACATTCTGCTGTTTCCTACTTATGGGGACAATGTCTGGCTGTTTCAATTTTGCTTTGAGCCTCTTCCAGCTAAATTTACAAACATGCCACCTCTGCACCCCGGACCAATAATTCCATCTGGATTCCTGAGCCAGATGCCCATCTGCCTTCCAGAGAGCCAGCACGCTGCTTCATTCTATGCATTCATTCCATTGAGATGCCATGTTTCCTTGCGGGGTTTTATCCTCCTGAACTCTCCACCACCTTCAGCCCCTACACGAGACTGCTTAGAAAATTCCACACCCATCCCCTTTCCCAGTCTCCAAGCCAAAGTCCAAAGCAGAAATTAAACTCTGACCTCTGGGATGTGTTCCAGAATCTCATATAGCTTTTTCTGCTCAGAAATATCTGTTGAGGATTTGACCTTGGACAACACCAAGAAAATCATCAACGAGGGAGAGATGGCGATATCTCTCACTCTCAAAAGGGGATCTGGATGTGCATTTTCTGAAACATACAGATCGCTTGAAATGTTAGAGGAAAAAACCCAGCAGTACAACGTACACCCTTTTGGAATTAAAGAGACAAAGCTAGTTGTTTTAGTGACCATTTAACCTCGAAAAAAACATGGCCCTGAGTTTCTTGCTTCTTAAAGAAGAATGAGAAGTAAAGGGTCTCAATATTTAATAGGTTTACTGTGACAATCAAATGAGCGTAAGAGACAAAGTAATAAAAATTTTAAAGTGTTGTATAAATGTAAGTTAGTATTAAAAAATTTCAGCATGGGATATGAAATTTCATAAAATGTATAATGATCTAGAATGTTTAAATACACTATAAAATGAAGAGGAACTGCCTCATTGATTTCAAAGTAATTAGTATGGGTAAGATAATTACAAATGTATTACCAACATCCCTTCTGAGAGGATTGTGACCCTTTCTTTGGAAATTTTTTTTAATGAGAAAAGTCATTAATAAAAAAACACAATCTATAACACTTTACATTAAATATTCTAAGGCTCATATTCCCCTTTCAAAACATAATCGTGTTATGACTGTAAACACTATTTTTTAGCTATACCATACAAATGAAGTTAATATTTTGGAATCCAAAGAAAACCAGGGTGTGTGCTGTATACATTTAATTTGCTTTCACTGGCTTTATTCTGAGAAAAATGGCCAATGAAGTCAGACACACACCATTGTCTTTAGCATACTCTTCTGGAAGGTTCTGGAAAGTTCTAGAAAATTCTGGAAAGTTCCCCATCTGACTAAGCAAAAGTGAACAGACAGCATGTACAACTCTGCTGACTTTATCAAGAACATAAAAACAGTTTTCTTCTACTATTCAACATGGCCCATATTGCTAGCTCTAAGCTATAACTAAATAGCTTAAAAAGCAAGTTTTTGGGGTTTTTTTTCCCCCACATTTATTGGAGAGGGATGAGGTGGAGAGTGCTGTGTATTCATTTATCCACTTCTTTTTCTGCCTTTTAGAAGTTCTCTCAGGGCACAAGGCTGTCCAACTGAGACACTTCCTGAGTCCCACTTGGCTCTAGATGTGACCTCAACACTCATTTCTGGACAGCTGGAGGCAAGATAGAGACAGAAGGCAACATTTAGGTCTTTCCCAAAGAAATCTATGCTCTCTACTTCCTCAGCCCCAGTTCCACCTCTCAGGAACCTGAAATTACATTCGACCAGCCAATAGGAAAAACACTTTTTCCACATCTCTCTACAGCAATATTATGAGTTGAATTGTGTCTCCTTCAACCCCAAAAGACAAAGAGATGTTGAAATCCTAAGCCCTGGTAATTTAGAATATGACCTGATTTGGAAATAGGTCAGTTGCAGAGGAAATTAGTTAGGTTAAATAGAGGTTATACTGGATTAAGGTGGTGCCCTAATCTAATAAGACTGGTGCCCTTATAGGAAGAAACTCTTGAAGCCTCTCTCCCTGGCATAGAGATGCCATCTTCTTCCTGTGTCCTCACAGGGTCGTCCCTCTGTCTGTGTCTATGTCCTCTTCTCCTCTTCTTATAAGGACACCAGTCCTATTGGATCAAAGCCTACCCTACTGACCTCATTTTACCTTAATTGCCTCTTTAGAGACCTCATCTCCAAATACAGCCACATTCTGAGGTCCTGGTTGTGAGGACATCAACCTATGAAACTCTACTCCATCATTAGTAGGCTCCAGTTGATTTTTCCTCATTGTGTTGCTTCAGGCTGAAGCAACAAAATATCAATGTCTTGGTGATGCTTGAACCTGGGTCCCTCACACCCTGATAAACATTCCTCTCAATCAACTCCATCCCATTACCTTTTAAGTACACCATCTGTTTCCCATCAGGGTCCCCAGTGGTAAATTTCCTCATCTACGTTTATGAGAACATTATAACCTGCACTGAAAATATTTTTTTAATAAAATAGAATACATAAAGTGAAGCCAGGGTCTTATAAGAAACCTATAACAACGTACTTATGAACATGACTGTAAATATCCTAAATGAAAACAGGAAAGTGAATTCAGCTAGGTCAAAAAAAAATCCATCACAATCAATTTGGATTTATCCTAGAAACCCAAGAATGTTGATCATTAAAAAATATATGAGTATGAACTGTCACATCCACAGAATAAATGACAAAAGTCATAATTTAATAAAGCATTCAACAAATGTTAATGATAATTCATGATTAATATAGAAACTTTTAGCAAACTAAAAAAATTCCCTTAACCTGACAAAAGCTATCTCAAAAATGGAGATAAAGCAATTTTAAAATTAAGAAATGAATGAAGAAGATGATTACAAAACCACTTCAAAATATTCAGACATTTCAGAGCTATGTGGAGTATTCATAAGGTGTTAACATATGAAATATTGTACTAGACACTAGATAGTACTGTATGTTTCAAACATATTTCATATTAAAATTATTTTCAAAAGAAAAGTTTACTCCCATCATGCAGATACAGTTAAAGTAAATTATAATGGCAAGTCAGGTCTTAATAAATGGAAGAATTCTAGAAAGCAAAATACTTAAATGAGTCATACCACAACAAATTAAATATCATGCATTTTATCCAGTAAAAGTACTCCTAGAAATTTATTTTAAGAAAATCTCTGAACAACATTTAGAATATTCATGTACAAATATACTTGTTTTTTATTTGTTATAGCAAGACTTAGAGAAAAAAGTAATCCCAGTACTTTGGGAGACTGAGGTGAGAGAACTGCTTGAGCCCAGGAGTTCCTGACCAGACTGGGCAAGGTAGCAAGACCCTGTCTCTACAAAAAATTAGTTGGATGTAGTGGTGAATTCCTGTGGTCCCAGCTGCTCCAGAGGCTGAGGCAGGGGAATCACTTGAGTCCACAAGTTTGAGGTTGCAGTGAGCTATGATTGCACCCCTGCACTCTAGCCTGAGAGACCTGAGAGACAGAGCAAGACCTCGTTTTCATCCCACCCCCCAAAAAGAGAGAGAGAGAAAGAATGAGAGAGAGGGAGGGAGGGAAGCCGAAAGAAAGAAAAAACATGCTAAACATATGACAACAGAGAAGAATTAACTAAATCATAGTGCATTTATTCAACAAAATGAATTGCATAATATATTTAATTTTAAATTTAGTTTGCAATGCATATTGTATATCATCACCATATGATTCTCCCTGGATAGTAATTTGGGAAGATATTTCCCTTTATCTTGTAAAATTTAATTTTAAAAATAATTAAAGTGTTATTAAAAACAGTGAAAATATATTTTAATATATTTTAAAACTTCCACTTCCCCTCAACTTTAAAAATAATAAATAGATCACAAACATATATTTGACACTGCCTTTCAAAATGATGTAGATAGAGGAAAAAGCAATATTGTGTGCTAGTGAAGAAAAAGATGCAATATCCAGTATTCCTTAGAAAGCTGAAAATATATCAAATTTGTCAACAGCAAGCAAAAAGAAAAAAAAGCAAAGTCAGCATTGGGTCTTCCAATGTGCAGTTGGTGGCTTGGCTTGTTCGGGTTTTAGGGGCTGATAAGCAAGTTTGCTGATATTTTCCATTATGTATTTTAAGAGGAGCAGCTGATTGTGGACACCCATTTGTTCCCAAGTTGTTGTGTAGATGAAAGATAAATGGACCACACAATTCTTTCCTCTGGAGACAAGGATGCCATGTGTGATTGAATCACCCTGGAGGTTCCTCCACCCTCAATTTCCCCAGAAAAGATGTGGAATTCTTGGAGCCTTGGAAAACCAGGCTTTGCCCAGAATCAAGAAGTAATAAGATGCCCCGTGCTGACACAGGCATCCTTACTAGGGAAGATATGCTCATTAGTGGAAAAACAACGTCAGATGTTGGCCCTATTTGCATATTTGGGCTTTAGGACACCACAGACTGTCAGCATTTAAAGACTATTCAGCAAGTGTTAGAAGCTTGTTACCCTTTCCATTACCGTTGCCATTTTCAGATTCCCGAAATATTTTGCCTAAGAATTGTCGTGCAACTCGTCTATTTATCTACATATATTTTCTGCCTGACCAGACATCCAAAGCTTGTCATTTGTTTGACCTTTGTTTAAAAATAAATTCCTTTGCCTATCAAGAGATGAAGGTGATGAGAGGGAAAACAATGTACCGAGCTGTCATTCTGCCAAGGTAAAAAGAAAGAAATTGGATGAGAAATCACTGAGCCACGAAAGAAGTCGGAGCTTTCCTTGACATTCATTTAGGTCATAACAAACCATTTAATGATGTCCCTTCTCCGTTAAACCCTAGCACATTAGTGCCATTTGCTTATAAGGCTGGATGGCTTCAAAGAATCATTTTCTTTGGCGGAGAAAGAAAGGATAATATTCAATACTGTGATTTTAATATAGTCTCAACTCTGGTGTGTTCATGTTTTTCACTCCTTTATCTTCAAAATATACAAAGGCGACCAGAATGGTTTGCCTTTCTGATAAACAGAAATGCAGCAAGCATTGTGATTTAAACAAGCATCACCAACATTTATAATTCTGTATCCAATGCTTGATATTCTTTATTAGAGGTTGAAAAAGAACTTTCTCTGAGTCTGTTAATGACTACTTTTTCTAAAGGAGTTACAGCCAATGATTTCAGGAAATATCATGAAAATCAAAAGAAAACTGATCCATGCTATTTATTATGCCATTCACTAATAAAAAGGGATCCATTGTATCAAATTGGCAAAAACAATGTAATCAACCTAGTGCATGTGTTTCTGTATTTGGAGTATCACGTAATTCATTTAGCTATCTCTGCTATGCTGGATATTGTATTTTATTTTCCCAAGAACCTAGCAAAAGAACTTATATTCACAACTTTCCTTTCTTTCTTTCTTTCTTTTTTTTTTTTTTTGAAACAAGGTCTCACTCTGCCACCTAAGCTAGGGTGCAGTGGTGCAGTGGTGCAATCATAGCTCACTGCAACCTCGACATCTCAGGGTTCAAGCAATCCTCCCACCCTCAGCCTTCCAAGTACAGGCATGCGTCAGCACGCCCAGCTATTTTTATTTTTTGTAGATACAGGTTTTTGCCATGCTGTCCAGGCTGGTCTCAAACTCCTGGCTTCAAGCGATCCTACTGCCTCAGCCTTCCAAGTAGCTGGGACTACAGGTGCACACCACCATGCCTGGCTGATTTATTTTTATTTTTGCTTTAGAGATGGGGTCTCACTATGTTGCCCAGGCTGGTCTTGAACTCCTGGCCTCAAGAGATCCTCCTGCCTCAGCCTCCTAAAGTGCTGGGATTACAGGCAGGAGCCACTGTGCCTAGCCACAACTTTATTTTTTACATCATAATTTTAACACAGTCTTTAAACTATTTAAGTATAACTGGGCCTTCCTATTACCGTCTTGCATTCACTGTGTTCCCTCCTCATTGATCTCAGCGGATTATCTGCTTTTTTAGACATTATTATTCCTATTGTAGAATAAAAATTTGGCAAAATATATCCTTGACTACCCTTGCCAGTTTATCTGATCCCAATATGATTTCACATAATGTTGCAGGAAAGGTTATCTCTTTACTTAATAGATGTCACTTCATATTTCATTTTTCTGAGCCTTCCTTTACAGTGTCAATTTTCTCTTTTCTCTGAATACATTGAAGGGAAAAACTCTTCCATTATTGTTAATTTGCTATGGTCTGTTCTGAACTTGTTCGTTTTTATTCTTCATAACCTTGACATCTTTCCCTGATTCTGTCTCCTGTTAGATATAAAGTTATCTCTTGCATGCAGCCTTAGATTTCCTCATCCATTGTGAGAAAATAACTGGTTTTCCTGTAATATCATAAATAAAACTTTTCCAGCTGCTCTACTTCTTGGCCTAGAATCTATAGGAATCCCTGAATCTGTATTGGTTGTAAGTCTCGTTGTTCCTTCTCTGGAACCATTTTTACTTGCCCTTGATTACCTCAAAGTCCTTTAAATACTGTCTTTATATAATATGCATTATATAATGTGGATCATATAACATACATTGCATATGAAAACATAATATGCATAACCTGACATGCATCACATAACATATATAACAAGCATTACGTAATACGACATAGCATAACCTAGCACAACACCTAACAGAGCATAGGATAGCATAACATAATGTATAACATAACATCACATAGCATATAAAATAACATAGCCTAGCTTGGCATAACATATAGCACAACATAACCTAGCACAGCGTGACATATAACATAAGAGTGCATGGCATGGCATAAAACAATGTAGCATAGCATAGAAAAACACAAAACAGAATGATAGATAGCACAGCATAACTAACATATAACATATTATAGCATAGCCTACCATAACATGTAACATAGCATTAAACATAAAGCAAATGATATGGGAGTGCTGGGAAGGGAAGAGCGTGGTCACTTTAAATGACACAGAGTGGGGGAAGGGAAGTGCTGGGTATAGAAAGGCGGGTCCCTGGCTAGGGCTCCACCTCCACGGACCTAGGTGAGGACAGGCACTCCTGCTTTCCCACCCAAATGTTGCATTTTCCAAGACCAGCCTGGCCCGCCACACCCTCATCCTGGGCCTATAAAAACCCGAGATCCTAGCGAGCACACAAGTGACCAGATGTCGAGAGGAGCACACCGGCAGAAGAAGATGCAAGTGGCTGGTCATCAAGAGGACCTCGAGAGGAGCATACCCGCAGAAGAGCACACTGACAGGCACCAGCACACGGGCAGGCCATTGACCGGCAGGACAAGGTGACGATTGGCTGGGGCAGTCGGAGGAGAGCCAGGGCTGCTGAGCGGCCCAAATCCAGGGGAAAACCATCTCCCTGCTGGCTCCCCCATTGGCTGAGAGCTACTTCCACTCAATAAAACCGCACTCATTCTCCAAGCCCACGTGTGATCTGATTCTTCCGGTACACAAAGACAAGAACCTGGGATAGAGAAAGCCCTGTCCTTGCAACAAGGTAGAGGGTCTAATTAAGCTGGTTAACACAAGCTGCCTATAGGCAAACTAAAAGAGCACCCTGTAACACATACCCACTGGGGCACAGACACTACCATGGGGTCGGAGCCCCACAGCCTGCCTGTCTTTATGCTCCCCTAGAGATTTGAGCAGTGGAGCACTGAAGAAATGAGCCACACCCCCATTGCACACCCTGTGAGGGGGACAAGGGAACCTTTCCCATTTCACTAACACATACATCATGGTATAAAACATAGGATAGCATAGCATAGCATACCATAGCATAGCATAAAACATAGCAAATAATAGTATAATATACCAGAATGTATCATATGACATCATAGCATAAAACATATCATAGACTAAGCACGGTATAGCACAGCATAACATGTAACACAGCATAATATAGTGTAACAAATTATCTAACATGTTATAGCATAGGAAAGCATAGCATAAATCATAGCATAGCATAACATGACATATAACAGTATAACATAGCCTATAACACAGTATAACAGCATAACATATAATACAGAATATAACACAACATAACATAGCACAGCATAGCATGACATATAACACAGCATAACAACAAAACATAATACAGCATAACGTAACATATAACAGCATATAACACAGCATAACATAGCACAGCATAGCATAAAATATAACGTAACATAGCATAACGTATAACCTAACATAGCATAGCATAGAAGAGCATAGCATAAGTCATCACATAGCACAGAATAACACAGAACCTACCATAGCACAGCACAGCTCAGCATATAGCATAATCTGACGTGACACAGCATAGCACAGCAAATATGACAGCATGCAATACCATAACAGAAAACATGTGACATGCCATCCCATAATAATACATAATGAAGACATCATTCTCCTTCCTTTTTAAGTCCAATATCTTCTCCTTTCTTTCTGAGAGGCAGTTGAGTGAGCACGCAGAGAACTTGGATTTGGAGGTCCTAGACTTGGATCCTGACCAAACTTGGCTTTTTATTTTGCAAACCCAGGGCAATAGTCCTAAGGCAATTCACCTAATCTATGTCTGCATATTTTAAAGTTATAACCAAGCAAATGGGTAAAATGATGTATATTTTGTATTTCGATTTTAACAAAACACACCTTTATAACAACCTGGAAGCACAGGTACAGACTGGGTGGGGAATGGGGGAGGTGAACTGGAGAGAGGGCCTGAGGAACTGGCCATGCCTGAGACCCATCCCCTTCTCTTCCAGTGCCCAGGCTATCTCCTAAGCTCCTCCAGCACTCATGAGTAGAGACCCCAGCCTGTATGTCTGTATTATTTCATCTGCCTCCTAAAACACGTCTGTATGCATTCAACCCCTAATGCATATCTGTATCCATCCACTCTCCCAATGCATGTCTATTTTTCATCCATCCCTCCCCACAATGGGCATTATATTCCATTCATTCTTCATGGGTATTTGTGCTCCATCCATCCCCGCATGCACATTCATATTTGATCCACCTCCCCAATATGAACCCATATTCAATCTGCCTCTCCAATGTGTGTCCATATTCCATCTTTCCTCCCACAAGGGCATCTAGATTCTGCTCACCCACCCACAACACAAGTCCTTATTCTAACTTTCCAGCAACCACCACATGGCCACTCCTCTGAATAGAAGTGTCCTTTACAGGCACAGCTTAGGGAACAAGCCACGCTAATTCTGGAAGTGTGTGTAGAGTCATTTGGGTTGGGAAGTCCAGGGCCCTAGATACCCAGAGTGGGTTCTAAACTGAGGTATAGAGCTTTGACATCTTGGAGTCCTTCCACAGATGAATGTGGCTGGAGGAAGGTCAGAATTTAGTCCTTGAAAGCAAGGCTCAGTACAGGAGCTCTTCTAACCTGGATTTAAGGGTCGTAGTGTTCTGTTGCTTTTTCTGCCATCAGTGATTGGTCCCAAGGGTTATCGTGTAACCAGTTCATCTCACGGCATGTCTTTGTCTATTCCAGTCCTGCTACTGACACTCTTTGATTATCAATTACCAGAAAGGAAATTACCCAGTGCCAGAAACTACTTGCAAAAAACCAGTGATGAAAGAACAATATCTATTCTACATGCACCTCAATGACTAGGAGTGTGTCCCTGAATTTGGGGCCAAAACTAGATTTGAACAGACTACCTGAGCTACAGGTATTCTAACCAATCCCTTGGGAGGCCACCAAGGCCAAATTTCTTTCTGAATGCCAAGTATTCCCCTTGGTGCTCAGATCCTGCCAGGCACATTTGGGCTCAAGGAAGGGAGGATAGCAGAAAGTTCAGTGCCCAGCTGGTAGACCAAGGAAATTACACCTGCCCACTGGCTCTGCCATCTTCTATCCCTGGGACTTCCCTGTCACACGGTCACCTTCAAGTTCAGCATAAGCCGCTACACAAACCGAGTGTCTATCCTTGCAGAGATTAGCTTTGGCTTTCAACCACGATTCACTGACCCGGATACATAGAATGTAAACTCTTTTCTATCAATATGTTCTACTTCAATAATTTCTTTAGGGATGGCTCTTTTTTGGTTTGAGTATCTTCCCTTATCATCTCTGTAAACATGAGGGTCCATTTAGACCTTAGTTCTCTTTCCACGGACTCACTCCTTTTTCCAACGTATGTGTTTCATACAAGAGATTGTTTACTTGACTTGCCTCTTCCCTGTTCTCATAAAGCAAACTCTGGCCTTTGATATCTATGGAGAAGGAAGAAGCGCTTATCTCCTTTCTTACAAAAAGCCTCATGACACTTTGCTTTGTGCACAGAGGTTTATTTTGCTTATCTTTTCTGTTGCACAAACCCAGGTGTTCTGAAGCATTAACTTCAGTTCTCTCTAAACCTTAATGTATATCGTCTGAGTTCCTGCAGGGGGATTATGTCCAACTTTCCTCCTTCAATGCTGCAACAGACCTTAGTACTATTTTACACTTCTTTACTGATTCTTTTTGAACTCAGGTTTACATACTAATCATTGAGACTCTCAATGGAAGCACCTATGATTCAAGCAGATTTCCCCTTATCGGATACTTCTTTGCAGCATTATGCAATATGATCCCCGTTGGTTCGACATCTTCCCTCTCCTCTTATCTTCTTTATTCTTCTTCGAGACATTTCTCAGGTAAGGGCAAGGGTAGACTGCTCATTTAGATGTTTCTTGCACTCCAGTGCATTTTATAAAATCAGTAGAAATGAGTATGCATTTGTCTTGGACTCTCTTTTCCCTTTGACATATCACACGAGCAGCATTTTAAGTGAATTGGTTTCATGAATATAGCCTTATGGACCCATGAACACCAGAGTTGCACTCTAATAAAAAGTGTTGGACAAGCCACTACAAATGAGTGTATCCACATTCTTCTTTGTCCTATGATGCATTTCAAGAATGACACTCACATAGAAATAAGTATCTGAATATCTGACATGGTAGAAGAACCAACTATAAGGTCCTCTAGAAAATAACCAGTCCAAGGAAATTGACCTTTGAAAAATTCACACTAAGATATTTTTTAACCACAAAGAACCTCCGTTTTAACTTCCCAAGAGGAAACGAACACCTCAACCCCAACATCTCACATTCCTCAATCCTTCCTCTATCTCACATTCCTCAATTCCACTTTCCAAGTGTCATGTGGGTACATCTACAGAGTGCAATATGGGAAAAATAAGAAAATCTGGCCACAAGGGAATCAAGATTTCCATACCATATAGAAGTTGAAGAAAGGCCTCTAGAAAGAGACTAAGACTGGTGAAAAATGAGCTGGTCCTCAACATCTGTCTCAGAACCTTTCTTTAGCTACTCTACTTCTTTGCATACCCTTGTTCCCCTGGATTTTGCTTGTTCCTCTTGTAGGTAAATCATAATCTCACATTGACATCTTATGAGCTAAGAACTAAATGGTGAGGCTACCCTACCAACATCCTATGCAAACTTAAGCAAAATATTAAGTGAAATTAGTAGATCCATCATGATAGTCAATGCTCTTTCTTAGCAAATGAGCCCCAAGTGGTACTCCTTGAAATTAAATCCACAGGCAAGATTACCTTTCTCCAGAGTACCCAAAAGCTATCACCAAAGGAGAAATAAATCTGCAACTGTCTGCTTCCAGCTGATGCCAACACATCCTGCAGGAACATCAATTAACTAGAAGAGAATTTGGTCTCCACAATCAAATAATTATAGGAAGCCCCTCATGAGGTCACAGGTGTAGATTTAGGGAGAATGGGCTAAGACAAATGGATAGGACCAGTACTCTCAAATGAAATAAATGTCTCAAGAATTCAAACAAGGCATGCGAGAGGCAGGTCACCACACATCAGTTACCAATCCCAAGTTTGCTACACTAATTTCTAGCACAGGTCAGGTAAAACAATTTATTACTCACAGATGGGCAGCAAGAACCAACAGAACCCTAGGATTCATGGCAAGTGGGTATCCTAAGACTCAAGAAAGCCATCCAGGGCTAATGTGGTTGTGAGTGCGTGAATACTTCACTTTGCACCACAGCTGAGAGATCCCGAGAGAACTCAATTCTGAGTTTTATATACTAGGAAACACCTGGGTCATTGAGATCAAGCATTGCAGGACATCTTTTTCTAGGAGAGATGAAAAAAGCCTGGGCTGTTCTGAATAGTTTATTCTTATCTCAGGATGTTGCATTCTTGCTACATTCTGCCCAAAAGTTGCAAGCAAAAAGGATAAGAGCTAGGTCAGCCAAAGTCATTTGGGAAAGTGTCCTCCTGCAGGGTGAAAATGCAGCATCTTTTCTTTTACTTAAGATGAAGTGAACAAATTACAACCAGTGGACTCCAAAAAAATTTTACCAAAGTGGAATATCCCTTAATTTTTGCAGTATTCATTTTCTACTCTTAGTAAACATTTCTCTCTAAGTCTTTTAAAGTACTTGCTTCTTCTGGCTCAACAGGTCCTCTTGGTACAATGTAATCTTAAATGTGGGCAAATATATAAATATATATATATAAATGTGGGCATATATATATATATATATATATATATATATATATAGAGAGAGAGAGAGAGAGAGAGAGAGAGAGAGAGAGAGAAAGAGATTGAGAGAAGAGAGAGAGGGTCTCTGTTGCCCAAGCTGGAGTGCAGTGGTGCAATCATGGCTCACTGCAGCCCCCACCTTGCTGGGCTCATGTGATCCTCCCACCTCAGCCTCCTAGGTAAGTAGGACTACAGCCATACACCACCACGCCCTGCTAAAGGCAAGTATGATTTTCCTGAGATAGTGTAGAAATCAAATCCCCTTTGGAGTAAGAAAGTGTGTCAATTAATTTGAGTTAATCATTACTCAATGTATATCTATATCAAGTCATCCCATTGTACACCTTGAATAGATGCAGTTTTAATGTGTCAATTAAGTATTTTAAAATTTTAAAAGAGATTAGGACACAGACACATGCAGAGGGATAATCAATAAGCATGCATGCTGCTATGTTTATTGAACTAGCCCACTCAAACAGTTTCTCTCTATTGATTAGAATGGCGAGAAAATATCAAAAGCATTCCTTAGATCCATAGATGCTTCCCAAGTCCCAGTGTCTCTATTAACCACATCTGGAATAGAAACAATATTGGGATCAGCACATGAGTAAGCACACCGCTAGTCAGGAAACCTTTAAAATCTATCTATCTTCTGCATATCCCAAGAGGTTTATTAAATGGCCATTGGAAAAGTATGCTCTGGCTGCCATAACAAAGTATGAGTGGCTTAAAAAACATAAATTCACTTCTTACAATTCTGGAGGCTGGAAGTGCAAGATCAAGGTGTCCACAGGGTTGGTTCTTCCTGAGGCCTCTCTCCTTGGCTTGTAGATGCCATCTTCTCCCTGTGTCCTCACACGGTTTTCCCTCTGTGTGTATCTGTGTCCTCATCTCCTCTTCTTACGAGGTGTCTTAGTCCATTTCAGGCTGCTATAACTGAATACCATAGACTGGGGGGCTTATAAACAACAGACATCTATTCTCCCATGGTCCTGGAGGCTGGAAGTCTGAGATCAAGGTGTGGGCAGGGCTGGTTCCTCCTGAGGCCTCTCTCTTTGGCTTGGAGATGCCATCTTCTCCCTGTATCCTCACAGGGTCATGCCTCTGTGCATGTCTGTGTCCTCATCTCCTTTTATAAATCTTAAAATACTGAATCAATAAAAATTCTACATATCCAAGGTGTGCAATGGGATGATTTGATATAGATATACATTGGGTAATGATTAACTCAGTCAAGTTAATGAACACATCTATCACCAACCATAGGTAACATTTGTGTGTGTGTGTATGTGTGTGGTTAGAATACTTAAAATCTGCCCTCTTATCAAATTTCAATTAGATAATACAGCATTATTAACTATAGTTACCATGCCATGCATTAGACCTCCAGAACTTATTCATCTTATAACTAACTAAAAGCTTGTACTCCTTAACCAACATCTGCCTATTTCTCTCATTTCTAAGGACACCAATCCTATTCAATAAGGGCTCACCCAGATGACCTCATCACACTTTAATTACCTCCTTAAAGAAACCATCTCCAAATACAGTCAAATTCTGAAGTTCTATGGGTTAGAATTTCAGCATATGAATTTTGGGGAGGATACAATTTTATACAACAGGCTTAGATCAAAGATTTCTATGTTAGAACTCTGATGGTGGCCCCAATATTTAATTTTTCAGGGATGTCTTCTTGGTTGGGTTTGTCATTTTGGTAAGAGGAGAACACCTGGAATGTCCTCTGCCATAATCCTCACTTGAAGATCAGAAAGCCAATGTTGGGGGTCCCTGGCAGGTAATAAGTATATACACTCCTAATATATATTCAGAAACATGAGATACAATGGCAGGATGTCTTGAAACTATTTTGCTCATTGTGAGATAGAGTCACATCACAATTCTATTTAAGTGACCCCCCCACCCAGGCCAGTGAGCCCCTATTCTGACTCAGCTACCCTAGAAACATTCCAAGTCACCAGAGACATTTGCTTAACTCTGAGCCAATGACCTATAAATCCTGAAAGAGCTGAATAGTTTTTTTTTCTCATATAAACTTCCGTTAATGGCTTCCGATCACTTGGATACAGTGCTTTGGATGTTATCAAGGGCTTGGTCTTTAAGGACACTATTCAAAAGATTCTTAGTCTGGAAATAACTGTAGTCTGGATATGGTTATGGGTCCACAACTCAGGATCATGGTGGCCCAAGAGAAACACCCGCTCACCCTATTTGATATCTCCATGGTGTACAACAACATGTGCTCTTTCCCTTTTGGGTCCCTAGAGATGCCATGATAAATTAACCTGCAACAAAGATCTCTGCAAATGAAACATTCTGGTCCACAGACTGCCTGATGCCTCTTCAGCAACCACATCTAATAATGTTTAGTGGTTAAACAATCTCCCTTGATCTTGCCCATTTCCTGTTTCCCGTGACTTAGTGATCCCGTTTCCAATGTCTCACAAACACAACCTTCATTTCCTGCATTAAGAAAGGCAGATAAGGGAACATATTTGCAAGGAGCAGGATTTTCCCTTCGTCATAAATTTCTTGATGCTTTGATAAAGGGAGAAAGTGCTGAGCCCCCCCTGGGGAACAAAGATGGCAGATATGTGGATCCCACATGCTAGATCTACCCAAACTTTCACCAAAAGTCTTCCGATTCCTTCTTTCCTATTGCTGCAGGGGCTTTCTGACATCTGTTTATTTAAGATTCCATCACCAACAGATCAAACAGTTAAAAACCCTCTCAGCTACTCTCATAGATGCAACTGTGAAAATAAATTCTAACCAATTTATAACTATTTTCTGTCTTCCTTGACTAGCATGATTAGAATCTATTCCTATTTCCATACATATTCCCCAGGTTTGCAGATTATAAAAAAAAAAAACCGCAGAAACAACAACAACAGAAAAAGCAGCAACAACAACAAAAAAAACAAAACTGCAAAATAGTGCCCTATTTTGGTGTACTTCTCTTCTTCTTGGATTCATCTATGGTGTAGGCTTCTCTTCCTTCTGGATTCATCTATGGTGTAGACTTCTCTTCCTTGTGGATTAATCTATGATGTAAACTTCTCTTCTCCCTGGATTCATCTATGGTGTAGACTTCTCTTCCTCCTAGATTCATCTATGATATAGACTTCTCTTCTTCCTGGATTCATCTATACAAGTAATCACAGAGCCTGCTAGGATCTGACTCTCATTATAGGTCTGGAGACCACAAGAAGTCACAAGGGTGGGGCATGAAGAAAATTTGCACTTCCGTATCAGGTAACATCTCAGGTAACATACTTCAGGTAAGGTAATATATCAGGTAAGGATATTACAAGGTCTTCAAACAAGGCAGGGACAGCCTCATCAAAGTATCCTGAGTTTTCATGAGCAAGGATACATCAGGGTAGTCTGAAAGGTTTGCATTACAATTCCTGGAGTCACATACTCTCCTCATCAACTTCACAAGAGACTTAGAAAAGCTGTAATTAATCTTTCATTGAAATCACAGTTAAATACTCCTCTCTGGAATTTCAGATACACCAACCCTGGGCCCGTAAGAAATTAGATCTTTTGGCCGGGCACAGTGACTCATGCCAGTAATCCCAGTGCTTTGGGAGGCTGAGGAGAGCAGATTACCTGAGCTCAGGAGTTTGAGACCAGGTTGGCCAAGATGGTGAAAACCCATCTACTAAAAATATAAAAAATTAGCTAGGTGTGGTGGCACCCGCCTGTAATTCCAGCTACACAGGAGGCTGAGGCAGGAGAATTGCTTGAACCCAGGGGGGCCAAGGTTGCAGTGAGCTCAGATGGCGCCACTGCACTCCAGCCTGGGCAACAGAAATTAGAGCTTTTCTTTAAAGTGGGTGATAATAAAGTTCTTAATTTTCTCACTATTCCATGAGCTAAGAAATTAATATTTTGAACGAGTGACTTTTGTTCTTTAAGACTCTAGTGCACAGTAAGAAGCAGCCAGCATACTCCACCATCCTTGTATTCCTAAAGCCTATTAAAACGGTTCATTGCAACAGTCACATGGACAGCCAAACCAGTCCTTTCACTAAGCACTGCATTGAAATTAGTAACTTAAGTGACTTTGTACCATAACATCCAAGTGTCAGTTCAAATAATAATGACCCACCCAAAATTCTTCTTGGTGGTTTTTTACCTGCATCTGTTACAGGAACCAATAGACAACGGTTTTTCATTGGCTGACAGTAGAATACACTTAATTTACTTTAGGTAGAAAGGTATTATTAGGGATTTTGTAGTTTAAACATTTTATTTTTCAGAGAGGAGCCCAGTCACAAGGCATCCCTTGTAGAAAATATTAATCTGGCCAGTAGGACATTCCATTTTTCAGCTGAGGATCCCAGAAGGACAAAATAGGATTGATCCCCAGAGCTCAGTGAGGTATCTGGTCTACCTCATATAAGCAAGCAAGGCTTTGAGAATGTCTCAAATCAGAGAAACTGGAATGGGGCCTGGGACCCATGCAGTTTCAGAGGTTTCTATGATAATTATTATGTCGCTTACCTAGCCTGCAAAATTCTAGGAGGAACATTAAGAACAGAACTTGAAGAGGTATTGAAAAATGCAGAGGGATTTGGAGAATGTGAATATGCTATCTTCATGCTTTGTTTACTTGACATTTAGGTCTGCAAACAGAAAGTTGAATTGTGGTTGTCTAATTAAGTGCACAAATTTTATATATGTGTGTGTGAAAGAGTATAAGTGTTTTATTAAATTAACATAAGACTGTTGAGTTCACTTAACACTCTACATACACATATGTGCATGTGTGTGGATGCATGTTTACATGCACACACAGAGTACACCTATTTATCATGTTAACCAAATGCCATTTGAAAGCAATAAGGAGAATTGGTGTTCAGAAATTATGAATAAATTTCTGGTTTAAAAAAATTTATTTTCTAATCTCTGTAATTCTGCAGTATTCTTTGGTATGATCTTAAGGGCTTGAGGTTTGACTCATTTTACATTTATGGCACATATTCGTAAAAAACAACCGAAAATAGTCCTAATACAGTGCACCAGCTAATTTTTAGAAGTTACCATATTTATACAATCACCTTAAGATATACTTTGATAAATATCGTTTTGATTAATAATCAGGAAATCCACCCAAAAATAAACTTAGGATCTCCTTCCCTCTTTCTTTGATATAGTCAGCATTAAATGAACAAGAACAGCAACGATCAATTCTAAGTTTTTATTTTCATTTTATGGTAGTTTATGTTTAACATTCCATCCTTACTAATGTAAATCTTGGTTGGCGGCGTATACATTTTCCAGGGCTGCATTTCCATGTTGCTGCATTTGCACATTTTGCATCACATTTTGCATTATTCAACTAATGCTGTGTAAAAGCATTTTATAGTAAGATCTTTGAAATGGAAGGGGAATAATATTAGCATTTTCTTGATGAAATGCTTTTAATGAGTCATTCAGTTCTTAAGGATTGATTAATTCACTCAAATGACATAAAAGCCAACATGATATGTAAAGTTGTCAGAGTGCAAATTTCAGCATAGATATCTTAGGCCAAATCTTTTTGACAGGAAAATGCACGATGGCTTAAAAATCAGGAGGACTTGATGAATTCAAAACCAGTCCTTTGTTAATGGACTACATCCAGTGCAGCAGGTCTGGAAAGCGTGTTAGCACTCTATATTCCGTTCAGCAGGAGGAAAAGAACATTTTGTATTCAGTAATGCCCTTCCCCTAAAATGTAACTGTGCCTCCAAAATATAAGTGAGTTTTGGGGCTTGTAAAATGTGCCATGCATTAAAACTAGCATTTAGTAGACCTGGGCATGATGTCATTTCCATAAAAATGGGTGAATTTCTCTCACTTTTCTTCCCTCTATCTTTGCAGGCTGTCTAGCTTTGCATTTTTTAATGTGGCTAATGGCAAGCATTTTATTGCTCAAAAATACAAAAATAGTAAAGAATTGACTTTTGTAAATTTACAAATGCATTAAACGTATTTTTGTAGCTAATTATACTCTTGTTTTTTACAGGGATTCTAGATCAATCTCCTGGAATACTTTTACTCCACAGGGAATATACTACACAATTTACATAACTAGTTGATTTATTAAAACATATAATGTGGGAGTATACATGTGCACACACACATATACATAGTAAGTCCTCAGTAACATCATGTGTATATACATACAAATATACATACATATATACATATATATATGTATATATATACACACAGTAAGTCCTCAATGTTATCAATAGGTTCTTGGAAATTGCAACTTTAAGAAAAACAACACATAGCAAGTTCTTGAGTAATATTATTTTCATTCAAAGTTGTTACAACGGTGATGAGAGAAAAAGATTGGTTTCATTATGTCATTTCCCTTAAAGTTGCAGTTTCCAATCTGTCTACAACATTGAGTGAAGACTTATTGTATATAAATACAAGTTTACTTCCCTGGGATATATAGAATGCATTTATCTGTATCTATTCAAATAAATTTTCATAACCATTCATATATCTATATATACATAGATTGCATATATGTAAGGGTGTGTGTGTACATATATATGCACATATATATGTACACATACACACTATATATGATATATGTCTAAAATCTGTGTATGTCTGTCTGAAATTAGAAATTAGAGACATACACCATATTGAGTTATTATAAATATACCAAAGACATTATCATCTTTGGTTTGCAACATTTCAACCCCCAGATTTAATGTCTAAACAAGATTAGAGGAGTTAACCCCCACTTTCTGTTAAGTATGACAAATAACTTCAAAAAATGTTTACAAACCACTTTTCAGTCTGACATGTTGAAATGAAATCAGGATTTTAATATTTCTGAGTGCTTATGAAAATAAAAATGTTTAACCCTTCTTACCTGTTGAAGAAGGTGTGTAAGAAATATAGTTTCAAGAACCAGAGGCATCAGACATCTTTCTTTTTTGTTCAAGTATTTTTGCCACCTGTCATTACATCCCTGAAATCTTATATTAAATACACATCCTAAATCATGTATATTGAAAATCAGGCCAGGCTTTCAGTCTTTACTGCTATGAGAAGGAGTTGAAGTCCTCGAGTTTTGTCCAAAAACCATAATAACATTAATAATCTCTCAACCCTATGGCTCTATCTTGTTACGGCTATTCTCTTTCTTTACTCTGTTGCTATTTACTCACTCCAAAGTCATTCCTTCACCCAATTTAATCTGTACGGTCAAGGCATAGAAATTGCATTTGCTAAGCTCTCTGATCACTTAATTTTCAAACTCAATGAACAGCAAATAACTGTTGATATTGTTCCACCTTCCTGGAATATCTTTCTCCATCTACAGCTTTCAACATTCTAGCCATCTTCAAGTGAACACTGAAATACTATTTCTTTCATGGAGTATATTGCTTTCTTTCCCCATTCCCTAGCTAAAAGTCATCCTTTCTTACTCCTTTTTCTTTTAACATTAAACTCTATCTAGAAAGACTATTAGTTATAAATACAAAGAACTAGGTAAAGCTGCCTTATCCATTTTGATAAAATTATTCCTGTCTAACACATTATACCTGTTATCTTTTAAGCCAGCAAAATGAAAAATGGCATTTATCTCAATATAATGGGCACATCATTCTCCCCTACCTGACAATGAATTCCAGAGAACAATGACTATTTTTACTCATCGTTTTATTTCTCACAGTTTTTAGATAATTCAGAGTAGGTTGTAGGTACTTAATGCATGTTGCATTGAATTTTCTTTTTTTAAAATCAAACATTCCCTTATCTGAGAAAGTATTTAAACTACATATAAAACATATGTTCCTTCTCTTATATATTTGATATTCATACTTCAGGAAAGTCTTGCACTCTTATACCACGTAAGAATAATACATGTGAGTATGCTTCAATTACAATTAGTGTTTTTTAATATATTTTGAATTAGCCCAGCCATCACTGATCACTAATGTGAATGGTTGTGCCTATTACAAATAGGTATGGCCCCAAAATTGTTATTCCACTCAATAAGAATTCCCCCTTATTTTGAGGGTGCCCCCACACACTATACCCCACACACTCTACCCTCTTAGAGAGAAAGAGAAGACCTAGATGATGTCAAATCCACAGCCACTATAAGGCCTTCACCCTCTAACGTGGCCAAACCAAAGTTTGCTGTTTATCTACCTTGTATAGTCAGGGTTTGAGTATTATTTGTTTGAAAAAACATGGTCGTATCCATGAAAATGTGTCTGCACCCATTATCAAAGACCAGGACATTATTTAATACGGTGATTATGGCAAATTGGTTTGTTTAGCTACCTGGAACATCACAGAAATAGAATTGAAGTTGCCGAAGAAAATACAGGCTGCTCAGTGGAATTTAAATCTTAGATAAAACTCACTTTTTTTCACATAAATATTCACTTACTTTTGTACCAACCTAATATTTCCCAGATATTGCCTGTATATACTAATACTACAAATATTCAGTTTATCTGAAATTTAAATTAAACTGGTCACCTTGTACTTCCGCTTGTGAAAACTGACAATCATAAGGGTCACTTATTAAAATGTTTGTTGGCCAACTGGGTTGGCAAACAATGTATTCAGGAGCTGAAGTTCTCACACCTGTTTTTGACGGAAGACTCCATTAACCACCATGCAAGTGTATCCTGTAAAAAAAATACAATATATACTACTAAAATTTCAAAAATACATAATTTTCCCCCAAACTTGGGCTGGTTTCCTATTTTGGTATCTTTAAAGGTATTTGGTATCTTTAAAGAAACAGTTGCCGTCTGCACAATTTTTTGAAGCTCAATCATTTCTTAGGTTTTACTTCTTTAGGCTAAATTATCTCAATTCTTTGATCATTCTCTTCCTTACCAGTTAAGTATTTCAAAATAATGGTTTTCATTAATATACAAAATTGATGCTACAGAAAAATTAGAAAAAGACCTATGGCTAATGACTTCTTAGAAAATGAAGGTTCTTTCTGTGCTCCTTAATGATAATATTACATGTTAACTTTGAATCAGAAGAGCATCTATGAATAAGGATAAGAAGGTACTGTCTTAATGAGCCCAGCCCATATGCATAACAGTTATGAAAGTCACTGCTGGGTTTTTTATGGGAAATAATGGGCTCTGAAGATAAATATGTTTGGCAGGCATTTGATAACACAGCCACCGGATTTTATTCATCTTAGAACTTTGTTATTCAGATATTATCAATTTGGATAGGTTTAGACATCTCAAAGAAAATACTACTTCAGTTGCATTATTGAAAGAAAGTGTAAGTCAGTTAAAAGACATTATAGCTATAAAATCTCAGGAGTTTGGCAGAAATTACACAACAGCTTTGGCATACTAATACCCCGCCACCAATAATACTTGTAGATAATTCTTTTCAGAGGGTTGGGAGCAGGTATTGAAAACTCTAATTAGTCGTCCTAACATGGATGATTAAATAAAGGCTTCTCTGGAGTGAATTATAAAACTATTTCATTTTTCTGGCAAAAGGGACAGACAGGAAAAAACTCTGACATATTGTCTATGGAATAAAAATAATAAATTTGCTATCTCTCACATTTCTCTGGGTTGATCCAGAGTATTTTGGAATTGATGTGAACTATCTGTAAAATGGTAACTGTTTCTTGAATTATGATGAATATATTGCTCATATCACCAGCTATACTGAAGGATTACTCTTTCTGAAACATCACTGGTGATTTTTAACTACGATTAATGATGGAATAGAGAAAGACACCAGCATCCAAACATTTGAATAGAGTTCCCAAAAAGGGCAAAAGGGCTGGATCTTGAAAAATTAGATATTTGCCACAAGATGAATAATAGACATTTTAAGATGTAGGTTCTCCCTAGGATAATAAACACATTTAACACAGTTCCATAAAAAGGTGCACAGATGATGTTAACGAAACACAGAAGGATGTTTTCAAAGTATATGGACCGGGCGCAGTGGCTCACACCTATAATCCCAGCACTTTGGGAGGCCAAGGCAGGCGGATCACTTGAGCTCAGGAGGTCGAGACCAGCCTGGGCAACATGGTGAAACCCCATCTTTACTAAAAATACAAAAAATTAGCCAGGTTTAATGGTGCACGCCTGTGGTCCTAGCTCTTCAGGAGGTTGAGGTGGGAGGAATCCTTAAGCCCAGGGGTTCAAGGGTGCAGTGAAGGAGATTGTGGCACTGCACTGCAGCCTGGGTCACAAATGTGTAAATATAATAAAAAATACATTGGAAATACAAAATAGCCATGAGGAGTGACTAGCCCTATTAAACATTAAAAAGCAACACAGTGTCTCTATTTTGAAGAGAAGTGTAGTCTTATTTATAAAAGACAAGCAAGTGGAGCAGAAGAGGAAGTTCATAATTAGATTTAAATACATAAGGAAATATGCATAAAAATATGCCATCTCAAATTGCTGGGCACAGATTAGCTTTTTGCCAAATGGTATTGAGACAACTTGTCAGACATTTGGAAAAAATGACATTAGACATGTCCTTCACAAGGAAGGAAAAGATAAACTCTCAATAAGGAAATTAAATGTTTTAAAAAATCTATACCAGTATTAACGTGACATAAGCAGATTCATATTCATAACTCAAAATCCAAATGCCACACAAATATAAAAATATTTTGACTACAGTGAAAAAGAAAACTTTTAAATGGCCAAAATGGACAATAAACAAAGTCAAAAAGCAACTGATAAAAATAGAGAAAATATTCACAACATACATTGTACATTAAATGCTGAATAAACCTAATAGATAAAACTTTTTCTTTAAACAGAGAAAAAGATTAAAATCAGGTAGAAAGCAGTAATAAACGATGCATGTAAAATGCAACTCATAAACACAGGAAAAGAATGTTAAGCCAAACTCAGAAAAAAATGAAAATAAAACAAACTTTATGAGATACCAGTTCTCCAATTCCAATTTTATAAAATTTTGGTGTGCCTGTGAGAAAACCTTCATCATTTTTTAGTTGAAAACAAATTTGCATTATTTTTTGGAAGATAATTTGGAGATATCTTAGAAAAATAAATAAATAAAAATAACCAAAAAAAAAAAATCACTAAGACTTCATTTTCCATTTCAGCCTTCAATGCCACTTCTCAGAATTTATGCAAAGGATGCATGTCCAATAATATGAAAATCCACATGTGTAAAATTATCTATTGCAGTGTTGTCTGAAATTGCCTATTGGGAATAAAACTAAATGCTCTTCCATAGGTGAATGTTCTAATAATCTATGGTGCATACATGCAATTGTATATTCTGAGACTATAGAAAAGAGAAAATAAAAACATTATTTCAAACCTATATAGAGATTTTAAAAAATATTAAGTGAAACAATAAAAAGCAAAACAGTGCCTGTGTTAATGAAACTTTTGTGCAAGAAAGAAGCTAAAAGGTGAAATGAGAAATAAGAAGGCTCATTTGTGTAAAAAGAAGCATGGTCAAATAAAACAGAAACTAATGAAGTTCAAAACCTGCAGGGCTGAATGCAAATAGGATGGAAAGATCGGGGAGGTGAGGATGAATAATAAGGAATGAGGAGTGACACTGTTCTGAGTACTTTTTGTATTATTTTCATTTTTAGTATTACATATGTTCACATACTCAAAAATAGACATATAATCAAAAAGACAGGGAGGGAAAAGAAAAGCAAAAGTTCATACAAACCAAAACAAATGAGCCTAAATAAATAGCATAACCACATTGAAGGATGGTGGGGGAAAAGTAACTCTCAGATGAAGTATTGTGCCTATATACCTCAAGCTAAAAACAAAAGAATGTTTTGAGCGTCTAGAACTCTACTTGGTAGGTTTGTTTTATACTGGTATAGTTAGCAGTTCTGCAGGTCTAAAGATTATAGTCTTGAAGAATTGTTGATTTGCTGACTTTCATCATTGTTCTGATGATATACAAAAGAATGTCCATGTATTTTAAGAAATACCCACTGAAGTAGTTAGGGGTAAATGAGAATTACATTTGCAACTTATGATGCAACAGTTATAAAATTAGACACACAGTCACACTTACAGAAAAAGACAGACAAAAAGACAAAATAAAACAAAATAGCAAGCAAATAAAAAAGTCACTAAGAATTCATTTTTCTTATATGTACCCATGGGTGCACACAAGAAGTGATAAAAGCAAATGTGGCAACGTGTTAACATTTAGCAAATTTGAGCGAATTTGGTGAATGTGTGCGGACTTTTTTGGTACTCCATAAATTTCAATAAGGCTGAAATTATTTTAAGTAGAATGATATCAAAAGGAAGGACATAAAATAAATCTACCTTCATCATTGCTCAGCTATTTAAATGTTTCTCATTTGCGAGGAGAGCAAAGACCACCTGGTGACTATCAAACCGACCATCCGGAACCAAAACTCCTTATCTAAGGAATTTAGAAGTATTTAGACTTCTCTATTATCTAAAGCTGTCATCCAGTACCAGGCTTCTTTCCCCAAATTTGTGAGTAACTAGAATTTCTACACATCTCTGGAATGCATACATGTCGAAATTCATTGTGCAATCCTTGCTGGCATTAAGGCATCTAAATGTCTACAAATGTAATCATTTATCATGACCTATGTGGCTAATGTGGTCCAAGTTACCCTTCAGCTCCACTTTAGGGTCCATAAATACCCCTAAGGAAAAGCCCACCAGGTGCGCTCAGTCCTCTCTCACTGAGGCACCTGCTGCATTCTTCTGCAGCATTCTTTCTATGGGATAACACCTTCCTTTTCAAACATATGCTGTTGTCGGTAAATTCTTGCTACCCGCGAGCTCGTGATTTTCCATTGCTGGGGCTCTGACACCTGGCCCAGCAATTCATTGCATTTATTTGAGGGATTACCAAAAGGAGCAACCCCTGCTACGTCCTGGCAGTGGAAAAATCATAGAGAGACAAGCTGTAGCACCAAAGCATATTGCAATGCTGTTGGATCGCAACATTGTATTCCTGGACCACAATGAGGACTAGGGATGCTAGACTGGGGGAGGGTCCTGGGAAGCTGGAGAGGGGCATGGGTACAAAATGAACCAACAAAACCGTGTTAGTAGCACTCACCAGCCATCTATGCTACACCACACATGCTACACACCCTAATGTGAAGAGACACCCCACTCTCAGCGAACATTTAGAGCAATAAAACACCTGGGCAAACCAGATGCCTAACTTCAGAACAAACAGATCACTCAAGAACAAAAAGGGAATGTTCTAATTTTTGTGTCAATTTAATACTCTCAAAGTGTTTCTAGAGGATGGTCCAGGCAGAAAACAAGAAAAGGTTCCTATAAAAAGCAGGAGGGTAAGATGTGTTTACGTGTGTGCACACATATGTATGTGTGAATGTGTGTGTGTGCAGCATAACATATATACATCGAGTCTAATATACAGTTACATAAATAAACATATGTATAAATAGATATTACATTTATTTATATGTAATTAAATAAATTTCCCTCAAAAAAATTTTGAAATTTAGAAATGAGTGGCTCAACAAATGCAAAGTAGAATGAAAACAAAAGTCCTACTCCCTGATGAAAAATTCTGAAAAGAAAAAAGTCAAGAAATAAATAATCCAAGAATTTATCATGATAAGTTTGATGTCATACTTTTCCTCACAATGAAGTCAAGGTCTCTCAACAGCCAAAGAGGGAAAATATATATATATATATTATTTTAACCCAGGAATCTGAGAAGAAGCCAAACCTTCAAGGGTTAGAACAAAATTTTATTAAATATAAGAATTCAGATTTTTTATATTTATCTCCCCATTCACGCTTTTTAATTTTTTTTTTTTTTAAATGGTTATTCTTAAAGAAAACTTCCAACTGAATGGAAAGAAACAGAAGACATATCAGGACAGATCACCAGGAAATAGCACCAAATCGAAAGGATAGGTGATTAATTCAGGATCCAATAAACCTCGATCCTTGAAAGTATCTTTGTTTAGCAGTGAAGTTTAAATAATGCAGAAATACATTTTCATCCATTTGAATCCAATTAAAATTTGTAAATGAATAATATTTACATAATATTGGAATACTTTCTCTTATTGAGTTAGAACTATTTTGGAATTCAACCAACAATAAAGCCCAAAAGACTTTCTCACATTATAGAAACTTGGAAATGTAAAAGTGTTACTATAAAGATAAAAGTTGGAAGAAAGAAGAGATGTACCAATTTTCTGAAATTTTAGAAAAAACAAATACATCAGAAACTAACTTGGATGCCTCTGAAATATTGAAGGTTATTAAAGTGGAAATGTTCACTATAAATTATAAAAACTACATTTAAAATGTTTAATTAATTAAGTTTGACATCGGAGAGCGAGATACTTTTTTGGATTTTTTAAATATAAGAGCATTTTAATGAACTTCCCAGTGGGTTTGAATAATTTACATGGCTTGATTTGAAACAGCATGGGGTATAAATGAATTGTACATCTACATGTGTAATTTTCATAGCCTAAAAACACCTGTAATTAATTGGAAAGCAATGACCCTTTTGCTGAGAAGGGATTCTGCTACAGAGATTCAGAATTCTGACTTTGGAAAAAGCAAACCTCTTCTGGGGTAAGTGGCCACGGACAGGCTATCGGACCCCTAAACCTTGGTTTTGTCAAAGCCAAATAAAATACAGAGGCAAATCTCTGAAATGAAAACATTTATTTAGGAAGAAAGAATTGCAATTCGGGGCATATACACAGACCTGAAGAACAAAGAGAAAGAGGTTTTAGGAGAAGGAGAAATGTTATGTATTGCTCTTTGTGAAAGTTCATTGGCACTAATAAGGTTTTGGGGAGAGGGCAAGTTTCGATCCATCAGTGAAGGCAACCACAGCTGGTTGTTTCAGCAGCCGGTAGATAAAACCAGTTTCAGGTCACAGCAGGCAGTTTTAGCTGCTGGGCTTGCAGAGAATTCCATTTTTGGAGCAATCCTCTGTGCCCAAGTGCTTTTTCCTCCTGGTCGACTCTTGTTTTCGTCGGGTATGACAAGAATGACTCACTTCGTAGGATCAGCTTTCACAGTTTCTTAGCCTGATTTGGATTTTTATCAAAATCTTGATACCGCAGTGGGCTGTTGTGAAGATCAAACACAGAAACAAGAAGAAGGATCAGTGGAATCACAGCAACAGCAGAAACTGGTTCGCTGTAGTTATTGGTATCAATTGGAAGTTACTGAATGAAAGAGGAGGTTAAGCCATCAGATAGTAGGAGTCCCGTGTGAGTTTTAAGATTGGAGTGACCTTTAAAAGGAATCTGACCCTACCAAGACACATCTAAGACTCAAGCAGAGCAGTAGATTACAGCTTATAAAGGCTATTCTAATAGGTCAAGAAACGCCAAGTAGCGTTTCTCAAACTCCCTAAAATCTCTTTATATTCTTCAAACTTCTTGAGAAAGCTTTGTTGATGTGAGTTTTACCTGTCCAATATTTACCACTGTGTACTTAGAATTAAAAATATATATAAATTTATTAACTTATTTTAAAATGGCAATAATAAATATTACAAATTAATAAATACCATATTTTGCTTAAAATAACTCTATGTTCTAAGGCAAAAAAAATTAATGAGAGGTATGGCATTCTTTTACATGTTTGCAAATTTTTTAAATGTCTAGTTTAATAAAGGACAGATGAACTCTCTTATCTTCTGTATCCAATCTGTTGCAATGATTTCTTTTGTTTTTTGTTTTTGTTTGTTTGCTTTGGGACAGGGTCTCACTCTGTCACCCAGGCTGGAGTGCAGTGATGCCATCATAGCTCACTGCAGCCTCTACCTCCTGGGCTCAAATGATCCTCCCAGGCTCAAGTGATCCTCCCACCTCAGCCTTCCAAGTAGCTGGAACTATAGGCGCATGCCACCACACCAAGCTATTTTTTTTTTTTTTTTTTTTTTTTAGAGATGGGTTATTTTTTTTAGAGATGAGGTTTCACCCAGACTGGTCTCAAACTCCTCAGCTTAAGCGATCCACCCACCTTGGCCTCCCAAAGTGCTGGGATTGCAGGCATGAGCCACTGCGCCTGGCCTGCAATATATTGTTTTGTCTGATATATGTAGAAAATCTGGCCTTTCACAGATGGTAATTGGAAAAGGGAGAAATATTCTAATAGTGTTTGCAGGTAGCTGGGGTTTGATACTACACCAAAACCCAAGGAATGGCAGTTTTTTAAAGAAATTTTAGATTGCCATATGGAATCTGAAATCATTATCAATGAAATTTTCTTATTTTGTTAGATTAATATCAATAATTAACTACATTAATTATCTATTGCATTTTTGAGGGGCTCTTTTAACCATGCATGATTGTGTAGCATCATACAATATGCACTTGGAAAATATCGCTTCCCTAAGTTTTGCTGATCTTACAGATTTTGACAAATTTTTATTATGCAATATTTAAAAAATCACATGTTAGTCACCACCGATGTATTCTTTATGAAACACCTTATGTATTGGAAAATTGTCTAGCTTATAGTATTGGATGCAAGTTTCCCAAAATTCTATGGTTCTTTTGCAAGTCCAAATGCATCACTGTCAACAAATGCTGTTAGTTGTTTTCCATGAAATGACTAATTCACTTCATTCATTTTGGAAGAAATGTCTGCCCTAGACTGGAAGTCAGAAGAAACATAGTTTATCATTCCCCTATTCTAGTAAAACCCATGTTCCACCGTAAAAAGATGTGTACTCAGGGGTTGGTCAATATATATGTAATAAGTGAATGAATTTGTTTCATAAAGGACTTCCTTAGGTAAATTTTGTTTTCTTTCTTTTTTGTTTGTTTGTTCTACTGTTAGTGCCAGTCAGAAAGAATGAAATAACAAACCAATAAGGCTTAGTACCACTGCCTTCATCCATGCTAAGTCACTAGCTTTTGCAGCATAAGGTAAATGTCAACCCAGTGAGAAAGGAAAATAATGTCTTCATATTATTATGAAAATACTTCTGGCCTGCCTGTTTCCCTGAGTGGGTCTCCATGACACCCTGGGTTCTACATACCAAACACACGTTTAGAAGCACTGTCCTATAGGAAAGCCTATTTAGGAAGAAAACATACCTTGAAATTTTTGAGCTAAAATGAACATAGGTAGTAAGAAACTTTCTAGGTGATTTAATGAAGACTTCTGCAACAGGAAAAAAATATATTTTCTGGATTAGTTGTCTCATAGAGAAATGCATCTCATTTGCCCAACATATATTTATTCAGTGCCAAGTACGTGCTTTAGGCATGTCTTCTGGGGTTGTTCAGCAGGTAAACAAGACAACTGAGGGAAACTGGTGGTTTCTGATAATGAGAAGGGATTTCTTTTATTAAAGATGGTACTTAGTAGTAGGAAAACCCTGCGACATGCTCCTGTTGGAAGGAAACAGGCTTGTTAGTGGGTGGAAAGTTAGAATTTACATTCTGACGTGCAAGCAAGCTATTCCTGCAGGTTAATCCATGACCACACATAGTCCTCAAAGACATTTTCATGGATCACTGGAGGATTCCTAATCGCTGTCCAGCTTATGCTGCCAAAGCTCTCTTTGGAAACTTCCAGGAAATATTATGTTTAATTGAGGAAAATTATATGCAAAAATATCTTCCTATTTATGTAAGAGATGGGGTCTGGGGTGGGTGGCTCAGAGCCCAGTAGAAGTTGTTACTGGTGTAGCTGCCATTGTTGTTTTTGTTATTTCATTTTGGGCTGTGTTTAGAGAGTGGTTCATATCTAAACCAAATAAGAAACAGATATCTTAGAATTTAAATTTCTAACATTTCTTTTCAAAGAAATGCTTCGAATTTTTTCAACAGAAATGATTCGATTTTTTTCCTTTTTTCTTTCCTTTTCACTTACCCAACTGGAAGTAAGTATTCCAATAGCAAACTGACCCTTTGTTGCTCTTCCTGTCACCCATAAATTTTTCCATTACTGCTTAAAGCTGAGCCATTCTAAATTGGATCCTCTATTATGTCCCGTGCCTCTGATTATGAACACAGAAGCAAGCCCCTGAGAATGCCTGTGCAACTGCAACCATGATTCCAGAAGAATACCATTATCTAGACGACATCTAGATCCTGATAGCATGTCTTGAGCAAGTGGGTGAGAATTCCTTAAAAATCACACCTGTGTGCCGAACAGTGTCTCAATTCCATAATCTCAGTGACTCAGGAGGTCAAGAAGGGAGACTCACTTGAACCCAGGAGATTGAGGCTGCAGTGAGCTATGATCACACCACTGCACTCCAGCCTGGGCAACAGAGTGAGACCCCATCTCTTAAAAAAAAAAAACACAAAAAGTTGCACCTGTGCTTGTAGTCCATTTAAAGGAGATTGCAGTAAATATAAAAACAGGGCATTAACAAGTTTCTCTTTAAAAATTTAAAAAAAAGTTTTCTCTGCATACAGCTAAATACAAAGTCTCGGATTTAAAATATCATAAAAAACTATGGTTATCAAACAATTTTCGTGACAAGAATGAACGAGGAATGTCAGCAGATCCTCAATTAACCCCAGAGAATAAATTCTTCTAAATAGCAAGAAAAATAAGATCACAATCAATACCATGGAAAAACACAGAACCAGCCTTCACTGGAGGTTTGGCCTACAGTAACCCTCCCTGATTGAATGCAAAAGTTCAAAATTATAGAGATCCAACAACAGAAAGCCCACTCACATACTACTGATCCTACACGTTTTCTTAAACATGAGAATTTTTTCTAAGCAGGCATAAACCTTTCTGAAAATGAGTAACTCAAGTAACTATGTGCACTTATCATCAACTAGGAATAAACATTCTAGGTCCCTCATCATTGTGTCCCCTGGGCCGAAGCAAGCACAGCCTGCCTTAGTGATTATGGACTGCTTTTCCAGGGCTGAAGTGATCAGGGACCACCATCTCCACCATGGATTAGTTTCCCTGGATAGAGGTGATCATGGCAGAACATCTCTCTCATTGACTGCTTTTCCTGGACTGAAGTGATTATAGCCACTCAACTCGGTCACCCACTAGTTTCCCTGGAATGAGGGTTCTCAGCCCAACCTGGCCTCATTCTTAGAAGTGGGGTTGCCAAATTTTTCAAAAGTGCTTTGGTTGATCTTTGTTTCCCTGTCATCACTTTGCAAAACAAAGAGACACCTCAAAAATTCATTTCTTCCACCAATAAACGCAGCTTTGACAAAGACTTCTGTGTAGGAAAAATAAATTTAAAAAATAAAAAATAAAAATTATAAAAATAAATAAATAAAAATAAAATAGTGATTTGGGACTCCCAAATCACTAAGCCAAAGGGAAAAGTCAGTCTGGGAACTGCATCAGGCAAACCTGTCTCCCATTTTATTCCTAAGTAAGAAAGCTACAAAGATTAAAAAAAAAAAAAAAAGTTACATACCTCCCTCACAGTTTGCTCACAAAGAAATTCCTTGTGGACCTCAAGATGTTTACCCTAAAAACAGAGTTCTTTTGAATTTCACCCTAGCAATGTAAGCGGATAGCTTATCTTCATAGGTGCAGGACAGGTCATCTTTCTGCTCACCTGAGAAAAATGCATATCTGGTTGCTTCCCCTGCCCAATTGTTTACGCAAAAATGCAGAGTCACTGAGCCAGTCTATAGTATAAGTGACTATTGCTCTATTCCACTCTCATATGTAAATTTTATATTCAGTGAAAGGCTGAGCAAAGACTCAAAAGAATGCAACCTTTTGTCTGTTATCTACCCATGACCTGGAAGGCCCCCATTTCCTGCCCCCACTTTGAGTGGTCCCGTCTTTCTGGACTGAAACAATGTATATCTTACACATATTGATTCATGTCTCATGTCTCTCTAAAATGCATAAAACCAAGCAGTGTCCCAGTCACCCTGGGCACATGTAGACAGGACCTCCTGAGGCTGGGTCTTGGGTGTGTCCTTAACCTGGGCAAAATTAACTTTCTAAATTGATTGAGACCTATCTCAGATAGTTTGGTCCACAATTCTATGGCCCCAACCCCTTTTTTGCTTCTCAGAGAGCGACAAGTTCCTGCCCCAGGCACGTGGCTGCCTAAATGAAGGTGTGCGTTGTCTTGTGTGCGAACATTTTCTGAGGTAGGAACATCAGCTTGTGCTGGGGGGCTGGGGAGATGCCAAGAAGAGATTTATAGCAGGAGGGATGTGCCCATTGCATGCTCACCTCAACCTGAGTGTCTACAATTCTATGTTCCTCTCAGAGAAACGTAAGGAAAAAAACACAATTTCTTCCTTTTCTGAAGAGAAACTGACCAGAGATTCTGCTGTGTGTTAATCCACTGGGAGTACACATAGCTCCTGAATCACGGAGAGGGACACAGGGCTTGGGACTTTCTTTTCTAAGCCATTTGTTCTGTTAACGATCTTGTTTTATCCAATGATCGTTATTATCTTGCTTCTCTCTTTTGAAAAGTACTGTGATTCCCACCTGAACTCGCGTTATAGACTGAATGTTTGTGCTCCCCCAACCCCAAATTCCTATGTTGAAACTCTAACCCTTGATAGGATGCTGTTTGGAAGTGGAACCTTTGGAAGGTGATTAAGTTTGCATGAGGTCACGAGGATGGGGCCCCCATGATGGGATATGTCCTTATAAGAAGAGGAATAAACATATGAGCATTCTCTCTATCTCCTCTCTCCTCTTTCTCTCTCCATTCCCTCTCTTCTCTCTCTCTCTTCTTTCTGTCTTTTTCTCTCTCTCTTCTCTCTCCTCTCTCTTCTCTCTCTCCTCTGTCTCCTCTCTCTCCTCTGTCTCTTTCTCTCCTCTCTGTCTTCTCTCTTTCTCTTCTCTCTCTCCTCTCTCTTCTCTCTCTCTTCTCTCGCTCTTTTCTCTGTCTCTCTCTTCTCTCTCCTCTCTCTTCTCTCTGTCTCTCTCTGTTTTCTTTCTCTCTGTCTCTCTTTTCTATGTCTCCCTGTCTCTCTCTCTTCTCTCTGTGTCTCTGTTTCTCTTCTCTCTCTCCTCTCTCTTCTCTGTCTCTGTGTTATCTTTGTCTCTGTCTCTCTTCTCTGTCTCCCTATCTGTCTCTTCTGTGTCTCTGTCTCTCTTCTCTCTCTGTCTGTCTCTCTGTTATCTTTGTCTCTGTCTCTCTTCTCTGTCTCCCTGTCTCTCTCTTCTCTCTGTTTTTTTTTTTTTTTTCATACGGCGTCTCGCTCTGTCGCCCAGGCTGGAGTGCAGTGGCGCAATCTCGGCTCACGGCAAGCTCCGCCTCCTGGGTTCATGCCATTTTCCTGCCTCAGCCTCCCTAGTAGCTTGGACTACAGGCGCCAGCCACCACGCCTGGCTAATTTTTTTTTTTTTTTTTTTTGTATTTTCAGTAGAGACAGGGTTTCACCGTGGTCTCGATCTCCTGACCTCATGATCCGCCAGCCTCGGCCTCCCAAAGTGTTGGGATTACAGGCGTGAGCCACCGCGCCCGGCCCTCTCTCTTCTGTCTGTGTTTCTGTCGCTCTCCTTTCTCTCCTCTCTCTTCTCTCTCTATCTCTCTCTGTTATCTTTGTCTCTGTCTCTCTCTCCTCTCTGTCTCCCTGTCTTTCTCTCTTCTCTCTGTGTCTCTGTCTCTCTCTTCTCTCTGTCTCTGTCTTTCCCACCCACCCTCTCTTTCTCTCTCTTCCTTTGCCGTGGGAAAATACAGCAAGAAGTCAGCCATCTGCAAGTCAGGAAGATATTCCTCACCAGGAAGCAAATCAATGGACACCCTGATTGTGGGCATTTCAGCTTTGTAAACCTTGAGAAAATAAATTTCTGTTGTTTAAGTCAACCAGTCTATGGTATTCTGTTATAGCAGTTTGAACTGATTAGTACAACACTCAAGGTAAATATTTTTAATTTAAAAAAAAATTTAAGAGCTTTTGGGGCACAAGTGGGTTTTGGTTACATGGATGAATTGTATAGCACTGAAGTCTGAGATTTTAGTGCACCTGTCACTCAAGTAGTGTGCATTGTACCCAACATGTAGTTTTTTATCCCTTTTGGCTCCCATCCTCCACCATGAGTCTCCAATGACCATTATACTACTCTGCATACCATTGGGTATACAAGGCTCTACAACTATTACAGCCAGTCTTGCCAATGAATTTTAAAGGGTGTCATGCTGATGAAGAGAACATCTCATCATTGTCGTAATTTGTTCATAATCTTGATATAATTTCTTTTTAATACAATATTTGCTATGAGAAATATTAAAGCATTTCTGCTTGTTTGTTGTTTTTACAAAAATGAGATATATTAGGGAATAGACAGAGATGGTTAGTATGCTCCTGTTAGACAGAAATGATTGGGAATATTCTCTGATGAAATACATAGGATGCTCACTCAGTAATCAATATTAGTGTATATCAAGTGTTAAAAGAAAAACCTTAGCTGGATTAAATCGAACAGAGTTTAATTGCTGTTGCTGAGCCAGAGTAGGCTTGGAGACTCCAGTGCAGCCACGTGGTAGAAGAATTATGGACAGAACAAAGGAAAGTGTTGTACAGAAATGGAAGTGAGGTACAGAAACAGCCGGATTGGTTACAACTCGGTGTCTGTCTTATTTGAACACAATTTGAACAGTTGGCCGCCTTTGATTGGCCAAAACTCAGTGATTGGCACAAGAGTAGGCTACAGTCTGCTTACAACTTTCTTTAGATGTTATAGTTCAAGATGTACAGAGAAGTCTTTAGGCTGAACTTAAAATACATAAGGAGGCAGCTTTAGGCTAAACTTGATTTAATGTAAGTGATGCATAGAGATGGATCTGAGTTTAGCAAAAGTTCGAGGAAGGCATAATTATTACCCTTAGTCCTTGAATCCTATGATCCCATGCTGGAATTTTCTTCCAAAGCATTCCCTAAAGGGCACAGCAACATAAATTTAGCCTTATAGAAATGTCAGCTTCAAAATTCTCATAATACTTTATTCTTCAATTAGTCAAGGAAGTTGGAAAATTGGGGTTTCAGTAGCAGTTATGGAGGTCAAATATTATGGAGGAAAAAACTAATCAGCAGCTTTGAAGTTCACTGACACAGGATGTCTATATATGGGTAAAAGGAATATTGACCAGTGAGTTCCACCAGCATGTTTTTAAATGCAAAAACTGGAAAGTACACACAAATTCTAAAATAGGGTGCTGAAAGTACTCATTAATTACCAGCCACAATAACGAATGTATAGAGCACCTCAAAGTTAACTGACACAAGATGTCTATGTGTGGGTAGAAGGGACGTTGAACACTGGGTTCTACCCGCATATTTTTAAATGCAAAAACTAGAGAATATGAATTCTAAAATAGGGTGCAGAAAGTGCTCTTTAGTAACCAGCCACAATAAAGAATGTATAGAGCACCTCGAAGTTCATTGACACAGGATGTCTACGTGTGGGTAGAAGGGACATTGACCACTGGGTTCCACCAGCATGTTTTTAAATGCAAAAAATATAAAGTTCACAGAAACTCTAAAATAGGGTGCTGAAAGTACTCATTAATCACCAGCCACAATAAAGGATGCATAGACCACCTCAAAGTTCACTGACACAGGATGCATATGTGTGGGTAGAAGGGACATTGAACACTGGGTTCCACCAGTATTTTTTAATGCAAAAACTTGAAAATTCTAAATAGGGTGCTGAAAGTTCTCATCAGTAATCAGCCACAATAAAAAATTTATTGACCTAGCTATTTCTATTTGGCATTCCCTAAATTGCAGAGAAATGGAACCACTGATGTTTAGAGTTCTGTGGGTACTCAGAACTCCCTTTTTAAATGAAAAGTTGGTTGCCCAGGAAGTGCTCAGATCGTAACCACCTTCAAATAGAGTATAAACGGAAGTCTTTGTATAGCAGAGGAGTTCATTTTCAAATATAAGCATTTTATATTTCAAAAAGGTTTCCATAATAGATTGTACTATGAGATAAAAATCCAGGTATTGATTTTTGTTTCAAATACCCAACCACAATGTGCCTACCTATTGTACTATATTTCAGGATTCTTTTTTTTTTCTTTAAAAATGCATGAATTGCCAGGTGTGATGCTACATACGGAGGATGTAAAATAAATAGGACGCAGCTCCTGTAGGAGAGAAGTAGTTGCAAATAATGAGACAGAGTTACATTTTTGTTTTCATTGGTGCCTCTTTCGGGTATCCCTGCTTAGTTTAGAAAGGGAAGTCATAATTACATTTTGCCTTATTCTCTCACATGTATATATAGTTTCAATATAGATTTACAAAGTATGTAACAAAAGATGAAGGTGCTTTCAAAAGTAGGACACACCACCTACTCAGGAGGCTGGGGTTGGGGCATCACTTGAGCTCAGGGGTTTGAGACCAGCCTGGGCAGCATAGTGAGACCCTGTCTCAGAAAAAAAAAAAAAAAGTAGGACACAGTAAATTTGGTGAAGTAGAGACTAAACCACCAGCCTCACCTACTCTCCCCAATCCTTGAGCAGATTTGGGAGGTTTCCACTTGGCAACACAAAAAGAAGCTTCCTTCAAGCATTGCTGTTTTCATAAGTGTGGATTATTGAAACAGTGTTTGAAGTTTGCATATTAACACTGAGAAATTTAAACATTGAAATTGTTGGAAATTTGATGATTGGAAAGTTATTTAAAAGACTGAGGTGAGAAGGCATATAGAAAGAAAACTAACAATATTTTCTAATTTCTACTTGTGGTTTTACAGGTATTTGTCTTCTGGAAGCCAGCAACCTAAAAGTTGGTGAAAGGTGTTTTTGAAAGTTCTAGGCAAAGGCTTAGGGTAAGGCATAGAACTAAATCTTGGCACAGTGCATTGCACGTAGTAGATACTCAATTAATGCTGGTCAAATGGTGAGTCTTTCAAATACAGAGCAGATCTAAATACTCCATTTTCTTGATTTTGAGTCCCATGCTTTTTCTCGTAATCTGTATTTCTTTCACCAATTGACCAGAGTCATTTTCATCTCTGCTCCGTGAAGAGAATTCTTGGGAGTATTATATGCTTAGATGCTGATTTATTTTTCTTTTTATTTATGTGAAAACGCCATTCCATTGAAAATAAAAGAAATGCATGGTGAACAGTTACTTATAATTTGCATTCTGTGTGGAAATTTTCTAGCTCATCAATCATGTCATTTTTAATTTATATATTGTGAGGATAATGAGACCAAGTAAATTAAGAAAAGTGAAGAAGTGTGTAATTCCTAGTGTGTATAAATAGATAAAAATTTAAGTTTTAAAACTAAAATAGGATTGATAATGAGCAATGCATTGTATTAGTGGGTCAGAGATAAACACAGAAATGAACAAACATGACCTCAACTAGAAAGCATCATCTCCAAGGACGTGAAATGTAGAGAAATCCCAATTTAAATTTGTCTTCCATTATTATCAGTGTGCTCCTATTGAAGCTTGATTATGATTGCCACATCATACATTTACTCACATGTAAATGGCAAATATAAAAATAGGATATCAAAAAAATTGTAACACACTTCAAAAGTGTATGCTTTCATGATTCAGATAAAATCCACTCTTTTTTTATACATTAAGCATGGAGTGGAAAATGTACAGGATGGGTAACACATGACTGACATACAGAAAGAAAAGAAAAATAGCCGGGAAGCATAAACAAGTGGCATTTTCAGCAGTTAAATAGATACATGATAACTATGAACTGCAATATTTTTTGCAAGCTGTTGGCAGTTTTGGTCTTAAGATCAACATGGTTGTCAAATATTTACTTTGTAACTCAGCAGTTGTTTGTTATGAAGTATTAAAAAGTATATGCAACTTTGGTGCTATTATTACAGGAACAAGTTCACCACTGCTACGAATGTTGAAAGTGCATTTATTTTCTTACTATTCTATCAGTTTCTCTTTGTCACTCAAATTAACATGGTATGATCAAGTTAACGTTGCTTTTAATTTTTTTAAATTTTAATTTTAATTTTTGTAGGTACATAATAGGTGTATATATTTATGGGGTACATGAGATATTTTGATACAGGCATGCAATGCATAATAATCACATCAGGGTGCATGGGGTTTCCATCACGTCAAGCATTTATTCTTTGTCTTAAAAACAGTCCAACTATACTTCTTATTTTTAAATGTACAAATGTTATTTTTAAATGTATAAAGTATTGTTGACTGTGGTCAACCTGCAGTGCTACCAAATACTAGGTCTTATTCAGTCATTACAACTGTGTTTTTTGTACGCATTAACCATTCCCACCACCTCCTCCACCCCCAACTAACATTTCTAGCCTCTGGTAACCATCCTTCTACTCTCTGTCTCCATGAGTTCAATTGTTTTAATTTTTAGCTTCCACAAATAAGTAAAAACATGTGATGTTTGTCTTTCTGTGCCTGGCTTATTTCACGTAACATCATGATCTGCAATTTCCTCCAGGTTGTTGCAAATAATAGAAACTCATTCTTTTTTATGGCTGAATAGTACTCCCTTGTATATATGTACCATGTTTTCTTTATCCATTCATCTGTTAATGGATACCTAGGTTGCTTCCAAATTTTGGCTATATTGAGTAGTGCTGCAGTAAACATGAGAGTGCAGATATCTCTTCAATATACTAATTCCCTTTGGTAGGAGTATATACCCAGCAGTGGGATTGCTGGATCATATAGCAGCTCTATTTTTAGTTTTTTGAGGAACCTCCAAACTGTCCTCCACAGTGCTTGTACTAATTTACATTCCCACAAAGAGTGTACAAGGGTTCCCTTTTCTCCACATCTTCGACAGCATCTGTTATTGCCTGCCTTTTAGATAGAAGCCATTTTAACTGGAGTGACATGATATCACATTGTAGTTTTGATTTGCATTTCTCTGATCAATTACGTTGAACACCTTTGCATATGCACGTTAATCCAAAAGAACAGTCTATGGGATTTTTGGGTCAGTTTCACTGTCAAGGAGAGGTAGCGACAAAGATTCTCTGTTTGACCAAATTTTGTTTAGGCCTCTGATCCTTCTCCTAGGTCCAGTACCTTACAAGGGTGCATTTCCTTGTAATTGCCAGTTTTAGCAAAGAACCTGCCAAGTCAGATTAGCCAAAGTAATATCTTATAAAATAGTCTTCAAAAGAAAGGATAACCAGATATAAATTGCAAATTTCACAAAGATAGCAGGGTCAACTCACCAAGAGGATATAAACATCCTAAATACGTATGTCTCTAAAAACAGATCTTCAAAGAAAATAAAGCAAAAATTGACAGAAATAAAGGGACATACAGACAAATCCATAAAGTTGGAGATGGGGACAATCCTATTTCAAAACAAGTTGACAAAAAAAAAAATCCCAAAAAACATAAGTACATAGATTCAGGTTGGAAAATACAGAGTATTTGAACCACACTATCAATCATGTCAACTTAATAGATATTTATGAAACACGATGTCCCACAACTTATGCACTTTGCAAGTGTTGCAGGACTTTTCCGTTGTTCAGCTAAAGGCGGGGTCCTTGTCCATCCCATGGCCAGGAAAATTCAGGCTCGCAGACTATTTGAAGTGTGAGTAAGACAGGGTTTTATTGGGTGAAAAGGAAGAAAAGGAGGAACCAGGGACTCTTCGCAAGGCCGGAGTCCCTGCTAGAGCACTTTCTGCCTGGCCATTCAAATCCCTAGTTCCGCACAGGAAGAGAAGGGGCCAGGCTCCTTCTCCCTGTAAATGGTGTGAACTTCCTGAGTCTCTACCTCAGTGCGCGTTCCTCGCAGTGTGCAGTATTTCAAGATTTATGCAATACAGCTAAAATCATGTGAAGAGAGAAATTCATGGCTTTAAATACTTACAGTTAAAAAAAAGACAAACTATCTAAAATCAGCGATCTGGGCTTTAAACTTTAGAATGTAGGAAAGGAACATTGGCTAAAGTCAAAAAGAAAACACAGGTCAATAAAAAAGGAAAAATAAATAACATAGAAAGAACCAAAACCTTAGAAAAGCAAAACCTTAAGAATATTTATTTGAAAAGAGCAATACAATTGATAAGCTATTAGACTGATCAAGGAAAAAAAAAGAGAAAACATGGATTACCAAAATAAAAAATGCAAGAGAGGATATTGCCTTAAATTCCATAGAGATAGTAAGGGAATATTATGAATGACTTTATTCTTAGAATTTTGATAGCATAGATAAAATGGATGATTTTATTAAAAACACGACTTGCCAACACTGCCACAAAAAAATAGACATCCCAAATAGCACTGTATCTGTTAAAGAAATTGAATTTATAGTTAACAGCTAGCTGCCGCCACTGCCCCCTCCCCAACCTGCTCCAAAATCAACCACTTTGTCTTGACTCGGATTATCTGGTGAATTCTACTGAATGTATATATTTTTAAAACAATCTTAGATTAATGTATTTAAAAGGAGGAAGTAATACTTCCAGACTTTTAAAATAATGAAGCCAGCATAATCCCAATACTAAAACCAAAGGAGCAATTTATAGACTAATATCACTCATGACAATAGATGATGCAGGAACTCTCCTCAAAATTTTAGCAGATGGAATCTAGCTAAATATAAAAGAAAGAATGCTTCATTACATTGTGAGGTTGATACCAGGAATGCAAAGTAGGTTTAACATTTTAAGAAGAGTGTAATTAACCACATCACTAGCAAATTAAAAGAGAAAAACACTATGATCATCTCAATGAATGCAGAGAAAGCCATTCACAATATCCAACATATATTCACGATTTAACACACACATTCAATGATAACAGAGTAGAAATGGAAGAGCCAGTTCTTCCATTGGATAAAGAATACCTTTAAGAAACCTTCAGCTAACATAATACTTTAAGGTTAAATATTGAACACATTCTATCCTAAAATTGGAGAGAATGCCAGGAAGGATGTCCCTCTTAACACTTCAAATGAAATTTATAGATGTTCTAGCTGATCTTATAGTACAAAACAGACAAAAAGGAAGATACGTAGATAGATAATGGGTGGGTAGATTGATAACAGACATGCAAATGATAATTTATAGACACCGAGATGGATGGACAGATAGGAAGGATGGATACATAGATAGATGATAGATGGATATTATAGACAGATAAAAGAAAGAGATAATAATAGTATACTGATGGATAGACAGAGGGATATGATAATAGATATGATAGATATAGATAAATAGATATGCTAGATAACATGGATAGGTAGACATGCTAGATAATAAATACATAGACAGATGGACAGATAGAGATAGATGAAGAAACAACGTCTGAGAAAGAAGAAATACAATTATTCACAGGTGGCATTATGCATGTAGAAAATTCAAAGAAATCTATAAATAAACCACTGGATCCTATAAATAAGTTCTACAAGTTCCCAGACTGCAAATTTTCTATACACTAGTAATAAACAATCACCGTATGTGACTCCATTCTATTTACAATTGATTGTAAATCACTTTTGTGTACAATGGCATCAAAAAACACAATGTATCTAAAATATATTTAAGAAAAGTAGTCAAAAACATCTACTCTGAAAACTGCAAAACAGTGTCAGGTTGAATTATAGAAGCCCTAAGTAGACAAAGAAATTTACCCTGCTCATGGGTTGGAAAACTTAATATTGTGAAATTGCTAGTTATCCCTAAATTGATCTATAAATTCCAAACAAATCAAATGAAACACCCAGAGTTTTGCAGATATTGGCAAGCTGAGACTACAATTTAATGTAAGTGTAAAGGATCTAGAGTTGCCAAAAAGAAACCTTGAAAATAAAGGAAAAAATTATTTGACCTGATTTTAAATGTGTTATGAAACTACGGTAATGAAGACAATGTGTTACTGGTATAAGGATAGACAGAGACTGATAGAATAGAGTCGGTAGTTCAGAAATAGACCCACTCATACTCACAAACAATTTTGACAATTGCATCACACAAATCAATGGGGAAAGATAAGAGGTTTTAATGACTGGGACTGGATTCACTAGTAAAGGAAATGTACGTCTTCATCTATATTTCACACTGTCCCCTAAAATAAACTGAGAATGATTTGTAGACTGAAATATAAAAGACTAAAATGATAATAAAAAGTAAATAAAACTAGAAGATGACATGGGAGAATGTCTTTGCAACTTGGGAACAGACAAAGATTTTCTGAGCAGAATACTAATCTTATAATAATAATATAAACTGGAGACATCAAAGTTTAAAACTTTTCATCCAAAGAAACATTAAATAAATAAAAAGGGAAGGCATAAAGTGAGCAAATGTATTTGTAATATAAATGCCTGGCAATGAACTCATAGTCATATTTTACACAAACTTAATATATATCAATAATAAAGGCATAAACAATTCAAAAAAAGAACAAAAGTTTTAAATAGACACATATAGGAACAAAGATAAAGGACTGTACAACACACTCATAAAATGATTCTCATTATCATTACTTATTAACAAAGTGAAAATTAAAACAACCATGGTACGCCACCATGCACCCAATAAAATAGCTGAAATTAGCCAACTGTCAACACCAAGATTTGGAAAAGACATGAACTACTGCAGTTCTTACTGGTAAGGGTGTAAAACTGTGCAATAACTATGTAAATCGGGCAGTTTCTTTTATGACCAACAATCCACAATTCCCATCAATACACTTTTATGCAAAAAACAACACATTCACTAAAGACTTCATTTGAGTAATGTTTTCACATGAATAGAAACATCTACATTTATAAACTCATTGGACTATACATTGAAGTTCAGCAAACTTCAATGTATATACTTACTGTATATAATTTTACTCCAATAAAATGCACAAATCCTAGATCGAATATCGTAAACACAAAAACTCCAAACGCTACCACTGTTTTCAGTCAAGCTCCAGCTCAGTTTTCTGTATGCAGTAGGAAGGTGAAAAGAGTAGCAGTTTACTTAAAGATGATCAACAGCTTTCGAGGTAACATAGGAAGGATGTATCTTGATATGTGTTCACATGTATATGTCCTTTTGTGTGTATATATGCTATAAATACATATTTATGGATACAAAGAGAGACATTTCTTCATAGGTGCCTGTGTAAATATTTTGGTTGATAGAACAATAAGGATATAAAAACGCTTTTTTTCTTTTGAGACAGGGTATTAGTCTGTGGCCCAGACTGGAGTGCAGTGACAAGATGAGATCATAGTTCCCTGCAGCCTCAACCTCCTGGGCTCAAGTGATTCTCCCACCTCAGCCTCCCGAGTATCTGAGGCTACAGGTGTGCCACCAGGTCCAGTTATTTTTTTTATTTTTATTTTTTGAAGAGAGGGCTCTCCCTATATTGCCCAGGCTGGTTTTGAACTGGTGGGCTCAAGGGATCCTCCTGCCTTGGCCTCCCAAAGTGCTATGATTACATGTGGGAGCCAGCACGCCAGCCTAAAAACATGGTTTAATCTGCCACTATTCAGACCATTGTGTGGATAACTGAAACTGTCTTTATTAGTTATAAACATACATTTCAGAGACAATTCTGTCTCTACATATTTAGAGGCAGCTTTAGTTTACTTGGCTGGTTAAGTCATTACCAGAAGATGACTTTTATCATATAATCCATAAAGATTTCTATTTTATAGAGATTTCTATTTTACTCACTGCCCTAAAATTCCCTTCTGAATAGGTTGCAGTAATAAGATAATTGATGTCCTTCTCCTTGCTTAATAAGAATCTGAAAAATTAAAACAATCAATCGATAAGAATCTGAAATGGAAAATGAAAGAAAATACATTATGTCTACACACACCCACACACGCACACACACAATGTTGTGTAGTGAACTCCTCATTAGATACTTGTTTTTTAAAACATCAGCTTCTATGTTCAAGTAAAGTCATGCTGAGATGAATGCAATTTATGAAACTTATTTTCCAAACTTAAGTGAGGAAGGCTTAGGTAAGAATCTAAAATAAGTTATGCACCGAACATTGATTATTTCAAGAATGGATTCTCAGAATGACTTTGGCAACATTGGTTCCAGATCTGGAAACTACCTGATGATTACTTGCCTGACCTTTGTACAGAAAGAATACATGGCTTAGAGAAGTAACTGGGAATTATCTAAGTAATAAAAACTATTGTCTACATGTTCTCCTGCCTCCTTAATTATTCCTAGAATCCGAACTTAAAACAAGGCAACTCATTCATGCGTAAGCTTTATTTCAACATGAAGATCTAAACAGAGATCATTTTCTTCATCCATTCATCTGTTGATGGACACTTAGGTTACTTCCAAATCTTAGCTATAATATTATAAACAGGGATGTAACAAACATAGGAGTGCAGGTATCTCTCTGATATACTGATTTCCTAGGTGAAATAAGCCAGGCACAGAAAGACAAACAATGCATGTTCTCACTTATTCATTGGGAGCTAAAAATCAAAGCAATTGAACTCATAGACATAGAGAGTAGAAGGATGTTTACCAGAGGCTGGGAAGGGTAATTGGGGGCTGATGGTAGGGAGGTGGGAATGATTAATGGGTAGAAAAAAAAAGAATAAATAAGACTACTATTTGACAGCACAACAGGGTGATTATAGTCAATAATAGCTTAATTGTACATTTTTAAATAGCTTAAAGAGTTTAACTGGATTGTAACTCAAAGGATAAACGCTTGAGGGGATGGACACCCCATTCTGCATGACGTGTTTATTACACATTGCATCCCTGCATCAAAACATCTTCTGAATCCCATAAATATATATACCTACTATGTACCCACAAAAATTAAATATTAAAAATGATTTTAAAAGATAGGAAAGGAAACAAAAATAAAAATAGATTATTGACCTGCTATGGTGAAAGGTACATCATCCTATATAATGCGTATGTTAAATCTCAAACTAGGTATCACTATCCATCCATCATGTAAAGCAAAAAAAAAAAAAAGACACAAAACTAGAAATGTCAAGGCCCCATATTGTTAATAAAATAAAATATTTAAGGGAAGTTAGGTACCTGAAATATCTACAGATGTGTAGACTCCTTAAAATATTACCCATCACTCATGTTTCTAGCAATATATGAAGCTCTCAAAAAAATCTAGTGTTTTCTAACATGAAGACATTTAACACAAATGCTGCCTTTTCTAACTGTTGTTCAGAGATTTTAACAAATGTGTGATTCCTGAAACGAGCATATTTTTAAAAGTTCTATCTAATGTAGTAGCTAATTTAAAGCTCTGAGTCAGTTACATTGCGTTAAAGTTTATTTATATATGTATTTTTTTTGGCATAGCAGTTTATAAATAAGTTTTGCACATGGGAAGAAACTACCACATTCTATGTTACAGTTTCCAGACTCATCCACTGGTCTTCTCAGTTAGAGTAAATATGGTGCCAGGGAAGGTGGATGTCAATTGGGACATGTGGTCCAAAGACACAAAGACCCATTTCAGTTCAAAGACAGCAGATAATTATCCATCCAAGGGAATAGCAGAGGGGACCAACATGCACTTTTATTTACATACATAAATTCAGGTCATATTTTAAAAATAATAATTTCATATTTGTGTTTACACATATGAAAATTTTCATTGAAAGCACCAGTAATGAAGAGACCAACTCAAAAACAGGGATCAATGTTTTGAATGGACACTTATAGGAGCAGTGATATATGAATGTCCTTATGTCATTATTGCTAAGTAGCAACCTGTTTCTATTGAATTTCCAGAAACACAGTTGTATCCAGTCTTCAATATTCTAGAGTAAACATAGAAATAGTTTTTCACTCAAATACACAGTAATACGGTGGAATACCTGTGGCTGCCTCTCTTTTTCTTTTCTTTAAAGTGCTTATGACTTATACAGCAAAGCCTTGTTCTATGAGTTGTAATATATTCAGTTTCTCAGATCACCAAATATTTAAACTGCAGACCTTCCCTGTTTATAAGGATGTGAAGATATAAGAGATTTATTACTTATCCAAAAGCATGGAGCTGAGCCCTTTGTGTAGATGGAATTAATCTTATTTTTAACTGATGAATCAATTACAACATAATTTTTCCAGGCACCTCTATTATGCATTGTTTTGAAAAGTTGGGACTAATATCCAAGAGTATTTTGTGGACAGTTTCTTTATCTTATCACTAAAATTTAAACAAATAAATATTTAAATTTGAAATATTTTTCTAGATATTTTGTCCCAAAATACCTGTTTGGAGAAAAAATTATGTTGGGGGAGGGACAGAAAAGAACACTGATAACTTGTAGCACAATACTATCTCTTTCGTTTAAATAAGGAAGTTAATTTGTTTTGTAAATGGCAGGTTGGGATGATTACGGCACGGAAATGAATTTGTGGATTACAGAGGCTCTTTAAACAAATCCATTGGATTTCTGAGTTTTCTTTGCCTGCACATTTACTGACTTTACCATGCACAAGTCCATCCTAAGAAACTATATTAGACAGAGAAATGTACCCATCCAGTTACAATGTGCATGTGATTTGCAATTGCATATTCTACTGAGGAACAGATCAGATAAGCATATTATATATAACTTATGGGCTGTGTAGATGTTCTTTGAAATGTTTACAACCATGCATCCCAGGTATTCTGGCTTTAGTGCAAGTAGGTTAATTACACGATTTCAAGAAACAATGAAAGAAGAGGTACTGAAAGAGAAAATGAAAGTCTATTCAAAGATGCCTTACGAAAGGATGAAGAGAAAGTGGAACCCTCCTACACAGTTGGTGGGAATGTAAGTTAGTACACTATTAGTATAAAGGTTCCCCCAAAAGCTACACGTAGAGCTATCACACAATCCCGCAATTCCACTGCTGGGTATACCTACAAAAGAAATGAAGCCAATATTGGAGAGATGACTGCATTCTCATGTATATCACACTATCCATAATAGTCAAGATATAGAACCACCTAAGTGTCTGTCAATGGATGAATAGATAAAGAAAATGTGCATATCCACCATGGAATATTATTCAGCCATGTAAAAAATGAGATCTTGTCATGTTCAGCAACATGGATGGAATTGGAGATCATGCATGAAATAAGCCAGGCACAGAGTGACAAATACTGCATGACCTCATTCAGCTGTAGGAGCTAAACAGGTGGATCTCATGGAGGTAGAGAGTAGAATAACAGGTACCAGAGGATGAGAAGGGTTTTTGTGTAGGCAGATGAAGAAAGATTGGCTAATGCCTACAAAGATGCACTTAGATAGAAAGAATAAGTTCTAGTGTTCAATAGCACAGTAGGGTGACTATAGTTAATAATGTATTGTATATTTTAAAATAACTAGAAGAGAAGAATTGGAAGGTTTTCAACATAAAAGATAAATGTTTCAGATGATGGATATATGAATTACCCTGATTTAACCATGACACAGTGAAAGCATGAGTATTAGTTCATTTTCACACTGCTATAAAGATACTACCTGAGACTGGGTAATTTATAAAGGGAAGACATTTAATTGACTCACAGTTCTGCATGGCTGGGGAGGCCTCAGGAAACTTACAATCATGGTGGAAAGCAAAGTGGAAGCAGGCACCTTCTTCACAAGGTGGCAGGAGAGAGAGAGAGAAGGATAAAGTGCCAAACACTTATCAAACAAACAGATATCGTGAGAACTCACTATCACAAGAACAGCAAGGGGGAAATTCACCCCCAGATCAAATCATCTCCCATCAGGTCACTCTCCCAACACCTGGGATTTCAATTCAAGATGAGATTTGGGTGGGGACACAGAGCCAAACCATATCAGCATGTATCAAAATTTCATATGTATCCCATAAACATGTACAACTATTCTGCATCAATTGAAAACATGATAATTTACTACCCAAAAAGTATTTATTTCAAAGAAAAAAGCAAAAACAACCTCTCCCCACCCCACACACACAAAGATGCCTTATGGATGGAGTTCACCACTCAATGGTCAAATGATGTTAGCATCTATGAGGCGTTTTGAGGCATCTTGTGAAATATATATCAGAACTGTCTACTCCCAGTATACATGGAGGATTTGGTATCCATTTATCCATTGGTCTCTGCCTCTCATTCATCAGGAGTTACCTTTCAGAGGAAAATCTTCCTAGAAGGAAGTAAGAAGTTAAAGGTCAGATACTGTAAGGCACAGCTGCATAAAATGAGTAAAAACCTACATGGATGAACCATCTCAGCAGAAGCTGCAGTAAAAAAATGGGCAAAGTCTGTGGAGAGACCCTAAAGCTGTTCATAAATACATGTATGCCCTCACTTCTTCCTCTATAATTCACTCACATTCAGCAAATGTTTACTGAATGTCTACTATGTGAAAAGGTCCATGTCTCTCTCTCTCTCTCTCTTTCTCTCTTTAATCTCAAGCAACATTGTCAAAATCTCATAAAAACCACAAGTTCTTCCTGGAAAAATACAATACACATGAACTTTTGTTCATAATCCTTGAAGGTGGATTAGAGCTCCTGGAAAACTATCTAGCTCAGAAGTAAAAGTCCAGCTATAAGCACCATGCTAAGCACTTGAGAGGTATTAATAGGATGAGTAAAACCTTAATTATGCCACTGAGAATGCTTTAATTAATGGAATAGAGCCATAAGCATGTACCAATGTTGTAAGAGAGATTGAAGACCTGTGCTAGAACTGTAGATAAGTTTCTAGGGAAGCCACAAAAAAGAGCGTATGATTATTTCTAACTGGGGATAACATGGGTAGTTGTCCCATACAACTACAAAATAACACATGATAGGATCTCATTCTTTTTCATGGCTGAGTAATGTTCCGTTGTGGATATGCACATTTTCTTTATCCATCCATCCACTGATGGACTCTTAGGTTGTTCTATATCTTAACTACTATGAACAGTGTTGTAATATACATGAGAGTGCAGTCATCTCTCCAATATTGATTTCATTTCTTTTCTAGGTATACCCAGCAGTGGAATTGCTGGATCGTATGGTAAATCTATTCGTAGCTTTTGTTAGGGGGTGGGGGGGTGTGGAGAGCGGACATCTTGAGTATTTAGGGAGGGTCTTAATGATATCATAGCTTAGGTGGATAGATAAGGGAAATCACCTTGAAGCCATGGAGTAGCAAAAAGTTTGCACATTCCTGTTAGGTACAAAGCATTATCTATATGATACCAATAAGTACTTTCAAGTTCCCAATCTTCATATAGAAAAGGGGAAACAATAGCAGTTGTGATTTTTTTCTCTCAAAGAAACCAAACAGCATTTCAAAAAATGTACTGTAAATCAGTACAAGATAAAGACATGCTTTTAGGAGAAGGCAGCAGGAAGGAGATTCAGGGAAAACAAAATTCTCTAAGGGGAAATTGGTCACGAAAATTGAATTTAGAAGAGTCTAAAATTTAATACATGATTTCACAATAAAGTCTACTTTTTTAACAGAGACTAAGAAAGTGAGTTAGGATCTGGTTCTGGCTCCTGTAGCAGATTCAAAATGACATTGCTGTGAATATGAGAATTTTGTCAAAAGAGTGTGAATTACACCATCATGGAGTTGTCCCAGCATAAACAGTCCAGGTTGGTGATGGCTCCGGGATTTGAAGAACCCAGAGTTTTTTGACCCTGTTGTTTTTCTGTTCCTGGATGTTGCCTTCACCAGTAGGTCCAAGTGGGCTTATCACAATGCTCACTATGCAGAAAGAATGAAGGGAAAAAGGAACAGGAGAAGTGAGTTCTGCCTGTTCAAAGCAGGACACAACACAGACTACATGCACATCTTTTGGGCAAGAACTTAACCATATGACCACATCTTGCTGGAAGAAATGCTCGATGATTGAGACTTTATTCTGCACATCTCTGCCTCCTCCTAAAAAGAGAGCATTTTCTTGTGATGAAACAAGAATCACGTTCATAAGAGTCTCTGCCTTGCTGAGGTAATACGAAAGCAAACCTGTTGTGTGTGAGTGCATGCATGCATGTGCATGTATGTAGGGAACACATGTGTGCAAGTGTTATGTATATGTAGGCACATGAGTCTGTGTTACCATATGCAATAGGAAATTTTTAAATTCAAATACATGTATAAGGGGGCATAACTGATTAATGGATTAATTGATCTCATTAATTAATCTAATTAACAAATTAGTTTCCAGATGGACCCCCAAGTTCCTCCTGATGTTCTGAGTACATGCATTGGTTTTCAAAATGTTACTTTTTCTACCTTAGGGAAAACTACACTGAGATTTGGTCCAGAAATAAAAGTCCCCTTTGAAGCCAGTAGAGAGACTCCTCACCCTCAATGGCTGAGGTTCCAGAGAAGAGCAGCAAAGCCCATAAATAGTAAACTTACTAAACAAATGCTAGGAGTACTGCAAAGAGCTCCTTGAAGTCTTCAAGGACCTGACTTGGTATCCATAAAAATACTATGGAATTTACACTTCAGAGAATTGTTAGTCCAAGAACTGGTTGAAGATAAGAATGCAAAGATTATTAAGTTCCAGATTAAAAAAGATTTTTTAAAATAGATTCATAATGGGTAGTCAAAAGGATTAGGGAAAATTGAGGGTAACATTAGCAGAGGCCCATGTGCTTGATCTCAGGAAAATATCTACCTAGATGTACCAAGGACTTGATTCAATTGTAGTATTTATATCTCAAACTAATCAGGAATTCATTCACGAGGTGATTCACAAATAAGTGCATGAGTATAAAATTTAACATGTTAAGAAACTTCAAGGAAATAGAGTGGGAAATACTTTATTTATTCAACAAGGATTTATAAGGCATTTACAAAATGCCACGCCCTATGTTCTTGGATCCACAGTGCTAAAATGGATTGAAAATGATAGACAATTATTATATAAGCAACAAACACGATAAATAATAGAAATGATGGGACTCATTGCCATCTTGATTGACAAATTTTCTTTTTAGAGATGTAGTTTCATTATGTCGTACAGGTTGGTGTCAAACTCCTGGCCTCAGTGATAATCCTGAACCATTTATCTATCCATCACATCTATCTATTTCTCTCTATTTATCTATCTATCCATTTTATCTATCAATCAATCAATCTATCTATCTATTATATACCTCTATTATCTACTTATTATCTATCTTGATCATCATCTGTTTAACTATCCATATATCTATCATCTCTCTACCTACCTATCCATCCATCATCTATCTGTTATCTGTCTATCTCAACATCTATTATATATCTATCATCTACTACCTATCTGTCTCAATAGCTACCATGTCTATCTTTCATCTATCATCTATTTCTATATGTATCCATCATCTATCTATCTATCATCTATCAATCATCTATTATCTATCATCTATTTATCTAGCATATCAATTTATCTATCATATCTATCATCTAACTATCGTATCTATCATATCTATTATCTATCATCTCTCATCTCTACATATCTATCATATATATCATCTATCAATCTATCATATCTATCTCTTTATCATATCATTCATCTATCAATCATATCTATCTATTATCTATCTATCTATCTATCTATCTATCTATCTATCTATCTACCTAGTATCTGTCTATCTATCTACCTTCCTGTCTTTCTATCCTATCTATCCTATTCAGCCTTGGTTTCTTATTTGAAAGAAAGACAAGTAGGCACTCTTCCCTTCATCTATTAGCCTGTTCAAACCTCCAATTATTTAACTGTTCTTTAATTTCTGTGGAACCTGTTCTAGGCAAGAGAACTGAAAGCATCCAATAGACTATTTAGCTCCTCAGGGCACTAACAGTCCAGTTTACAAATGAGAAAGACTCAATGAAACTGAGACAAAATGTCCTGCAGTGCACTGAGTGCTTTTTATCACTTCGCCAGTTGTCTGGAAATTTTCTATGGTAAGGAGAAGCCAAGTGAGTAAAATAGCATTGAGGAGAAAGAGGAATAAGAGAAGAAAAAGCATGAGAAGCAAGATAAGAAAGAAAGGTAAAGACAAAGATGAGGAAAAGAATAATACTGACAAACTAGCACTGCTGGAGTCTCTGATATAGCCCAGATGTTGGGCTTAACATTGGTTTCATCCACATCACCACAATAGTCACTGACAGGGCTGTGTGAGGAATCTATTACTTCCAGCTCACTGATGAGGAAACTGAGGGTGAGAGAGACTCACTAAGTTGTTCAATGTCTTGCTAAGTAGAAGAACCTGAACTGCGGTTTGAATGCTGTGCTGTGAGCTTTTAAGAAAAAAAACTATCGGCATTGGATAAACAGGACAAGCTTGGTATTGGAGAAACAGGATTCATGCCCCTGGATTGATCATGTAAGCTTCCACAGAAGGCAGTTGTGGTTTGCTTGGCCGGACCCTGAAATCAGTCTGTGTAACAGAGATGGCTAGAGTGAGTCCCTGTGTCTTATAAGGTGTGCTTTTCTTTCTTAAGTCACAGTACTTGAGAGGTGTGGAAATTTAGCATCAATTAAAAAGTAAATTCTGAAGATTCATGTCTTCAAAAGCATCAAGGTCTTTACTTTTTTTAATTTAAGAAAGGATAGACAATTCAACCTTTTTTTGTTTGCTTGTTTTTAAGACACAATCTCACTCCGTCGCCCAGGCTGGAGTGCAGTGGAGCTCACTGCAGCCTCAAACTTCTGAGATCAAGTGATTCTCCTACCTCAACCTCCTTAGTAGATGAGACTAGAGGTGCATGCTACCACATCTGTAATTTTTTTTGTTTTTTATAGAGACAATGTCTCATTATGTTGTCCAGGCTGGTCTCAAACTCCTGACTTCAAGTGATGCTCCCACCTCAACTTCCCAAAACTCTGGGATCACAGCCATGCGCCACCACACCTGGCCCCATTTTTAAAAATAATTATTTTACTTAACTTTAGCACTAGGGCTCCCAGGAGGAGACGGTTAGTAATTTATAAAACAAGAGTCTCCCAAGATACAATAACTTGCTTATTACTGAAATGATGAGATAAAATACATATAGTGTGAGTGATCATATTTATTTTCATTTCACTAATAAAAATAATGGCTGAATGAGTAATTATGTACAATATCCTTTACAGACCAACTTTATTATTCTTTAAGATGCAAAAACATCATCTTATTTGTATGTGTGTTTGTTATTTCCTTACATGATCTTGTTAAAATTGGAAATGAGTCAAAGAATATGAATATTCTTTGCATCTTCATATTCTTTGCATAAAGCATATGAAGATTGTTAAGAGATTGCACATGCATTCCTTCAACAAATACACATGGTTAACTGTATTAGGAGCTATGAATCGGTACAAATTACTGAATAATACCAATGAAGAAACAGAGTCCCTGCTGTCATAGAGACTATGGATCAGTAGAAGAGGAGAGAAAACATACAAAATTATTATATATATTATATACCTATATCTTGTGCTAAGTGCTCTAAAGGTAACATACAGGGTGAGAGAATACAGGAATAATGGAAACTTATCTGCAGAAGTTATATGAATCTGAGACATCAGAGGGAGACACCACCAAGGGAACCCCAAGAAAGAAGTGAAGGGCTCTAGACCAACATCCTAAGGAGGGAACAAACTTGGCTTTGCCCAGAAATTTAAAGACTGATATGTCTGAATTCAAGAAAGTCTAGGGAAGCAAGGAAGAGGAGGAGGGAGCTGCCATGGGAGCCAGGTTAGATGGGACATTGTCAGTCATATTCACCGTCTTTAGAACTTCAAATACAATGAGACGTGGGGAATGGCAAGGCCAAGTTTTTGATGTAAAGAGCATTATTGGTTGCTCTCTAGAGGAAAAATTAAAAGAAGACAAAATGAAATTGTGCAAGTCTAGTCTATGACCCTAGCATACTTTCACATGATGACTTCTTATGGCAGAAAGAAAAACAAAATCACTCCGATTTTTGTGATTTCCCCACAGATACAGTTAGAAAAGCTCCTAGGATGGTGCTACTCAGATAGATAGATAGATAGATAATAGGTAGATAGATAGATAAATGATAGGTAGGTAGATGGATGGATAAATAGATGATAGATAGATAGATAGATAGATAGATAGATAGATAGATAGATAGATGATAGATATAGATTAATACATGATAGATAGATAGATAGATAGATAGATAGATAGATAGATAGATAGACAGACAGACAGATAGATAGATGGATGATAAGGAGATGATAGATAACAGATAAATGGATGATAGATAGATAGATAGATAGATAATAGGTAGATAGATAAATATGGATAGATTGAGAGATGATAGATGAATATATAATAGATGGATGATAGGTAGATAGATGACAGATGATAGATAATAGATAGATGAATGATAGGTAGTAGACAGATGATAGGTAGATGGATGGATAGATAGATGATAGATAGATATAGATGGATAGATATATTGATCGATTGATAGATGATAAATAGACAATAGATTGGTGATAGGTAGATCGATAGAGATAGAATAGATAGATGATAGCTAGATAGCTAGATGATAGATAAAATAGAGATAAATAGATATATTATAGATAGGTAGATAGATGATAGGTAGATAGACAGATGATAGATAGATACAAATATAGATACATGGATGATAGAATAGATAGATGGTTCCTAGCTAGCTATAATAGATGATAGATTAGATAGAGAGATGATATATAGATAGATGATAGATAGATTGATAGATAGATAGATAGATAGATAGATAGATAATAGGTAGGTAGATGACAGATAAATGATAGGGAGATAACTAGATGATAGGTAGGTAGGTAGAGAGATGACAGACAGAAGATAGGTAGATAGCTAGATAATAGATAGGTAGGTAGTTTAGCAGAAAGACAGACAGATAAATGATGGATAGATAGATGATAGATTAGTTAGATGGAGAGATAGATGGAATAGATGTATGGATGGATTGATAGCTACATTGAGAGACAAACTAGAAAATTTTGGCAGGAGGATTGAATGGATTTTTTTAAAAAGACATAATATGCTGTGTATCAGGACTAGTTTGATCTACACATAACAAAAACCCAAGAGTGAGCGGCTTGAGGAATTAATGAGATTATGTTTTTGCTGTGTTCTCTACACAATAAACAGCTCAGAGGCGTTATGGGTTGTGTGATCTCACCCCAAAATTCATGTGCACCTGGAATCTGGAAAGAAACGTCTATGTGGAGAATCAACACCCTCTGAATTATGATCTAAAATTCTCACTCCACCAATATATATTATTTCTGGAGATGCATTGTGTGTGTGTGTGTGTGTGTGTGTGTGTGTGTGTGTGTGTATACCCACACATTATATGTATTGTGTGTATATATATAATTATATATGTATTAATATATATAATTATATTGTAAATAAAAGACAGTTGGCCAACATCGTTGTTAGAGACATTGACCTCTTGTGCACTCAAAAATCCATGTACAACATTCAACTCCCCAAAACTTAACTATTAATGGACTACTGTTGACTCAAAGCCTTACTAATGACATATACAGCAGATTAACTCATATTTTGTATGTGATATGCATTATATACTATATATACTGTATTCTTACAATAAAGTAAGCTAGCAAAAATAAAACGTTAAAGAAAATTATAAGGAAGACAAAATATATTTACTATTTATTGAGTGGAAGTGGATCCTCATAAAGGTCTTCATCTCTGTTGTCTTCACGTTGAGGAGGCTGAGGAGGAGGAGGAAGAGGAGGCGTTAGTCTTGCTGTCTAAGGGGTGGCAGAGGCAGAAGGAAATCTATGCATAAGTGAGCCCATGCTCTTCAAATTCATGTTGTTCAACGGTCAACTATCTATCTACCTACATATCTATCTATCTATTGCATTATAATTGATGAGTTGTATTGTAAATTAATACTTCCCTAGAGTTCTTTCTGTATACCAGGTAAAAATGGAGAAGAGAGAAAAATGAAACAACAAAAATATACATGCCAAATGGTTCACACCTTTCATTCTATGTTGATGTAATTATAAGTGATTTGTGGTTTTTATAATCTCCTGTTTTCCTTTAAAAATGTTTAGGCAAGAAGTCAGTTCCGTTTGAAATATATAATGTTACTTACAAAAATAACAAATACATAAGTGTTAATTTTTTGGAAAAAAATATTAATTCTTAAGTAAAATTTTAATTGGCCCTCTTTGCACACGTCAAAACTTGTTTCAGTGAAAGAGCTTGACTTTCTTTTCTTGACACTAAGAAGGTAAGGAGAAATGATATTTTCTTAAAGACAGTGGAATGAAGTGAATAAGCTGAAATGATATATTTGCCTCCATAACATTCTTACAAAGAAACATTGGCCTTAGCACAAACTCTTTACAGTTGGAGGATAAAATAATGGAATTTGAAAGCCTATATAAATCAATATAATGTGAGACTCAAAAATAAGAAAAAGCTCTGAAAAGGAATGCTTGCTCCTAGGGCATAGAGGATATTGATTAAAGAAAAGTTTTGAGGGCTTACTGAAGTGGCATCATTACTTAAGTCTACTCCTCAAAAGAGAAATTGGTTACATATAAAAGACACAGGTGTATAATTCTGGTGCCTTAAAAGGAGTTCCCCAATTATGTGAGTCTCTTGTTATATCCAAGAGGTGTGAGGAATTCCTTAAAGAACTCAGTAGAGAGCTGATTTAAAAATGCAAATAACCTTGAATCTGTTTCTGATTTAAGCAAATTATTGAGTGCATGATCAATAAATCTATCCCAGGGCTCGTCTCAAGAGTAATGCAAAGATGAGTTCCCCTACAGACTTATTGTTGTTGACATTTTGGTGTCTTACAAAGCATCCTCCTCTCGTTTCTCCTTCCTAACAGAACCCCAATTTTATACATTGATTAAGCACAAGTGCTTCATATAAATGAAATCCATTCCTATCCCGAGGAAGGATGGAGGGGAAGAGAGATTAGGATTTGTCCAAGCCAATTATGGCGATGCTGCCATTGTTTGATTTAAAAATGGGATTGGGATTAAATTCTATCCAAAAATATGAGACAAAAGGGCTGCTGGAGTGATGCTATGAAATATATCCACACTCCTAAGGAAGAGACACCTTTATCATTTCTGTCTGGAGTATGACAGAGAAAGTTTGTGCTATTCCATTTGTGGCTACCATCTTGGTAAGACACATCTGGAAACCAACATCCAAGAGGTCAGAGAGAAAGGTTAGAAAGAACTGCCAACATTACAGGCATCGTTGAGCCTGAGCTGCTTCCATGCATGTGAGCATTCAGATTTTAAATTATTGATGGTAATTGGAATTGGAGTTTCTGAGCCTGGCAGCTGAAAGGGACTCAAGTCTTCCTCATGCCCATTGATATTTCAGTGATCTATGATTTTATTCACTCTCTCACATGCCTCGCTAAGAATAATAAATAAAAGATGATGAGAGAAAGTAGAGTAGTGCCTCAAACCCAGGTTTGTTGAAGAAATCATTAAAGAAATAAGTTTAAGGTTATTATCTTTAGAATGACTTGCTTCTGGGACTGACTCTAGGCTGGCATCTGGAATTTTAATGTTCAGAATAGTTACTAAATTACTAAGCGAAAAAGTTGTATTAGCCTGCCTAGACTGTTTCTACAAAAACGTGCTTTTTTAAGTGACCTCATCTTAACTTGAATACATCCATAAAGACTCTTTTTTCAAAAACTGTCACATTCGGAGGCACCAGGGGTTAAGACTTCAATATATCTATTTGCAGGACACAATTCAACTCAACACACACACACCCAAAGACACACACACACACACACACACACACTTCACAGTTGAAGAATGTAGTGTTCTGGGGAACAGTAGCAGGGAGAAGTTAGGAGTAGGTGGATTTGATCACAGCTTTGTGGAAGAATCAGTGTTGCTAATTATTTAAATTTAGGACGACGACATCACCTACAAGTTCCTATAAGTAAGCAGTTAACAGTCCTAGTTAGCATCTGTTAGAAATCTTTTGACAGTGGAGACACTTATGATTTCATGCCTGTATGTTCTCTAAGTGTTTCAAGGTCACTGAGGGTAGAGTTGAATAAATAAACCCTTTGACAGATAACTCACTGGTGTGATGTACTCTACTCTTTAGAAAAAAAATTAAATTGGTTTTACCACGATGACAATTTTGCTGTCTAATTATTTCCAAAATGTATTTGCTCTAGGATGTGCTCTTCTTCTTCATATGAAAAAAAAAATGCCAAATCCAAGGCAGTATCTAGCATAAAAGGAAACTCATGGTAGAAACTCAAGGGTGTGCAGTACCAATAGAAAGAAAACCGAGCTGATTGCCCTCTAAAGAAGAATTTATGCTGCCAGGAGGCAGGTAGCTCAGATGGCAGATCTTGAGAGAAACTGAGTAATGATCTGCTAACTTTGATGAAATGTAAATACGGAGAAAGCAAAATGCACCTGGAGAGAAGAAATCTGCTCAATGAGACAAAGGCCCTGGGTAGACAAAGGGAAGGAACAAAAGTAGACCAATGTTTAAATATTAAATGTGCACCCTGAATTCTGAGATGTGTGTGTTTTCCAAGTGGATTAGTTTGTTCTCACATTGCTATAAAGAAATACCTGAGACTGTGTAATTTATAAAGGAAAGAGGTTTAATTGACTCACAGATCTGCCTGGCTGGGGAGGCCTCAGGAAACTTACAATCATGGAGGAAGGTGAAGAAGAAGCAAGGACCTTCTTCGCATGGCAGAAGGAGAGAGATGTGCAAGCAGGAGAAATGCCAGATGCTTATAAAACCATCAGACCCCATGAGAACTCACTCACTATCACAAAAACAGCATGGGGAAAACCATCCCCACGATCCAATCACCTTCCTCCCTTGACACGTGGGTATCATAGGTCCCTTTTTCAACACGTGGGAATTACAATTCAAGAAGAGATTTGGGTGGGGACACAGAGCCAAACCACATCACCAAGTGAGGGACAGTTCTTCCTCCAGCTTTTCTCAGCCTCTGAAAGTCCAACTTCCCCAAGCAGGGCCCCTAGTGAGGCTATCTTCTCTACTACACATCTAAGAATCCCTGGAAGTACTGCTAAAATGTATTAGATAAATGCGTAACTTCCTTGGTGTTTGCAAGAACCTATTAAGAAAGTGTTGCAGCTTGAGTTGTGCAACTCCAACAGATATGTCCAAGTCCTAACCCACAATACCTGTGAATGTGAACTTACTTGGAAATAGGGTCTGTGCAGATATCTTTAGTTAAAGATGAGGTTCCATTGGAGTAGGGTGGCTCCCTGATCCAATATGACTGGTGTCCCTATAAGAATGTAAACACTTGCATGCACGCGGGAAAAACACCATAAGACGGAGGCAGAGATAGGCATAGTGTGTCTACCAGGTAAAGAACACCAACTGCCACCAACCACATAAAAATAGGATAGGGGCATGAAATGGATTCTCCTGGAGTTTACAGAAGAAGCCAACCATGCTAGCACTTTGATTTCAGACTTCTAGACCCCAGAATTATGAGAGAATGCATTTTTGTTATTCCTGACACCCAGTCTGTGGTACTTCATAATTCTGAAAAATGAATTCAAAAAGTTACGACCAACCCTTCACCAACATATCAAGAATTAACTTGAAAGCCATGGCTGATGTTCCTCTCCTCTCTCCCACAGTCTGTGCAAACCAGAGACGATTTCTACACACCTGCACCAGCAATTGATTTAATTTTCTCTTCCTACAAAGAACAAAAGGGCAACTGCTGAACTTGAGTGGGGTGGAATGGAAAAGGCAACTCCCAGATTCCCACTCTCTGACAAAATAGGAGCAAGTATGAAAATAAAGCGCTCTTAGAGCCAGCATCCTCTAGAGAAGTTTGCATGTGGAGAGCAAATCATCTTTGGTTCTGATATTTGTTGGGTCATTTAAGACAAGGGCCAGGACTGGAAAGCACTGGAGAGGGTAACCTGTAAGTTAGTGAAAGGCTGGCTGTATTTATCTTCACTCACACAAAATTTTAATGCAGAGGGCTCTCAAAAGACAGCTTTCTCCATACGGATTTGTTGACTCAGGGGATTCTTCTGCCTCTTAAATGGGTGTTCCTACTATTTGATCAGCTGGATGAGTTCTCTTCACCATATTATTAAAATGTGGCAATGGTCTTCAAGTCAGTTATGCTCTGTCGAATTCTCCACACTAACACTGAAATGAACATTGACAAAATGCAGAAGGGGTACTCTCAAGGCAAACTTCTCAGGATAGAGCATTGTCAATCTCTGTCTCTCTTTTCTCTCTCTCTCTCTATATATATATGTGTGTGTGTGTGTGTGTGTGTGCACGCGCGCGCACGTGTGTGTATGCAAACATATTTGTAAGTATAAATAGATGACTATTTCTCTGTCTCTCTCTGTCTCTGTGTGTATAAACACATTTGTAAGTATAAATCTAGATCTCTCTCCCTCTCCATCTCTCTCCCTGTGTAAACATATTTGTCAGTATAAATAGATGAGAATCTCTCTTTTTCTCTCTCTCTGTGTAAACATATCTGTAAGCATGAATATATGAAAATCTCTCTGTCTCTTTCTCTCTGTGTGTAAACATATCTGTAAGTATAAATAGATGAAAATCTCTCTGTCTCTCTCTTTCTATGTAAACATATTTGTGAGTATAAATAGATAATAATCTCTCTCTGTCTCTCTGTGTAAACATCTGTAAGTATAAATAGATGAAAATCTCTCTCTGTGTGTCTTTCTGTGTGTGTAAACATTTTTAAGTATAAATAGATGAAGATCTCTCTCTCTGTCTCTGTGTGTGTGGGGGGGGGTAAACATATTTGTAAGTATGAATACATGAAAATGTCTCTGCCTCATTTTCTCTGTGTGTAACATATCTGTAAGTATAAATAGATTAAAATAGTTCTCTCTCTGTCTCTCTCTGTGTTTGTAAACATATTTGTGAGTATAAATAAATGATGATCTCCCTATCTCTCTCTCTCTGTGTCTCTCTCTGTGTGTAAACATATCTGTAAGTATCAATAGATATAAATCTCTGTGTGTGTATGTGTAAACACTTGTAAGTATAAATAGATGAAGATCTCTCTTTTTCTCTGTCTCTCTGTTTGTGTAAATATATTTGTAGCTATAAATAGATGAAGATCTCTCTCTGTCTCTGTGTGTGTGTGTTAAAATATTTGTTAACTATGAATAGGTTAAAAAGTCTGTCTCTCTCTGTGTGTATATGTAAACGTATTTGTATGTATAAATAAAGACCGGATGGGTGTGTGTGTGTGTGTGTGTGTGTGTGTGAGATTATATTTCACCTTTCAAGTTGCTGAGTATCTCAGTGTGAAAGAAGCAATATTATAACGAGGAATCAGAAGCATACACGAATAGCCACAATGAAACACCTCCATTAGAAAACGCAGCCTGTTGAAAAGCTAATAGAATATTTTTACCTCCAAGCAAAGAAGTGACCAAGGAATGCAAGCAATCACAATTTTTGTTTGCTTTAAAAGTAGTCAGGAAATGCCAACCTTAAGAAAAAGCAGAGGTAATTCAGTCTTAGTCTGTTCAGGATGCTATAAGAAAATATCATAGACTGGTAGGCTTATGAACAAGAGAAATTTATTGCTTACAGTCTTAGAGGCTGGGAGTCTAAGATCAAGACATGGCAGATTCAGTGTCTAGTGGGGACCCGCTTCCTGATTCATAGACAGCACCTTCGTACTGTGTCCTCACATGGAGGAAGGGGCAAGGGAGCTCTCTGGGGTCCCTTTTATAAGAGAACTATAAAAGGCTTTACCTTCATGGCCTCTCCACCTCCAAAAAGCCCCACCTCTGAACACAGTCACCTTTGGGGTTAGGATTTCAACTTAGGAATTTTAAGGGATTTAAACATTGAGGCCATAGCAAGCACCATGCCATTCATTCGCAGATCGTGCTAGCACAGTTGATGTTGATCAAGGTCAAATGTTGAGATGATCACAGCTACAGCAGGTTGTGTTTTAGAAATGGGCCACACATTCTCTTCTGTCCTATAATGTCTTCTCCAATGTGACTTCGCCAACCCCATCACAGGGTGGCGTATAATTCTCCTCTGCTGGAATCTGGACTGGCATGTAGCAGATCCAGCCAAGGGAAGATGGTGGAAGTGAGTAGAATTGTGTTTGTGTCTTCCAAATAGGTGTGTCCATGTGCTAACATCTACAAAGAACCTGTAAATGTGTGCTTATTTGGAAATAGGGTCTTTGCAGATGTAACTAAGAATCTCAAGATGAAATTATCCTGGATTATCTGTGAGAACCCTACATTCAATGACAGATGTCCTTCTAAGAGACAAAAGAGAAGAAGACACAGACACAGAGGCCACGAGGAGATGGAAGCAGAGACTGGAGAGATGCGGCCACAAGCCCAGGGATTCCTGGACCCCGCAGGAGCTGGGAGAGACAGAAAGATCCTCCCCTAGAGCCCATGGAAGGAGTGTGGCCTTGAAACCTCTTGATTTCAGACTTCTTGCCACCAGAACTCTGAGAAAATAAAATTCTGTTGTTAAAAGTCATTCAATGGGTGGCAATTTATTACAGCAGTCCTAAGAAATGAATATAGTGATGCTCTCCTTGCCCCTGGAATATTTGTACCTGGAGCCCTGAGCCACCACATGAAACATCCTAAGTCCATTCTGCTGGGAAGCATCCATCCCTCGAGAGACCTTGTGTAAGCTCTCTGATGAGTTGTCCAAATCACAAGTCATCTCAACACAAGGGTTAGAAATAGAAGTAAATGAAACTCTCTGATCGCACTACTCCTACTTGTAAAGTCAACCTCAGTCTTTGAGTTTTCCTAGCTGAGAACTGACAGCCTCAGACTTCGTGGAGCAGAGACATGCCATCCTCCCCATACTCTGTCCAGATTCCCACCCCACAGAATTTGTGTGCATAACCAAATGGTTATTTTAAACCACCAAGGATGGGGGATTTTGTTACACAGCAATAGTTACTGCTACAAAGAAAGAAGTTGAATAAATCCACAGTAGTAGATATCAGAGGAGAGGTTAATGTGTGACAGGCATCAGAATAGACATTATTATTACCATATTGGGCATGGATCATTGAACAAAAATGGGTGGTTAAGAGGGAGCATTATAGAGTCGTTAAAATGCCCATGTTTTGATCCAAGTGCTGGCTATATGAGCAAGTTTTTTGTCCTCTGGAGTTCTATACACTCTAATCCATGTTGGTTATTCTTCAGTTTAGCAAACTCAAATGCTCTAGTGCTCTGAGGAGGATGTTCTTCTAAAGCTCATTGCAATCATAGCTGGTGTTTTCCTCCCATTGATATGGAGAGAAATAATTGTGTATGTTGAGTTTATTAAAATGTCTGAGAGGGAGGCAAACCAGCATGGGCTAAACCTATCACAAAACAGAAGCAAGAGACACAATGGGGTTCTCTCCCTACCTTCCCCAGGGCCTATGGAGCTTTGAGTCATTTACACAACATGCATCCTTTAAATTTTCAAATGTACCCCTGCAGGAAGTCCCCATATATAGTGGTATCACAAAGACTTATGTGCAACACACTCATTTATTCCTACATTCAATTTGATATGGTGTGAGTGCAAATTTTAGACAAGCAATCAATATTAGCTTACTCAAATTAAAATGTTTTTATACCTAGACACCTTAAACTTCAAGAAAGGCTTTTATATTTGGTAAATGCAAAATAGAAGATTGACCAATGAATTCTAATACTTTTGGAGCAAAATATCCCATGATTATGACTGCTATTGCTGAAGATTCCAATCTGTTTCATCTACCAATCATCAGGGCAAATAAATTTTTAAGTTTCACTTTGGTCATCTATGACAATGGTGTCCAATACCAAGGCCATCAGCCAATGTGGCTATTTAAATTTAAATTGCAATGAACAATTCAGTTCCTTCTGAGAATATAAAATGGTGCAGCTGCTATGGAAAATAGTAAAATAGAAAAAAATAACTTTTTCCTCAAAAAATTAAACATAGAATTAGTGTATGATCCAGCAATTTCACTTCTGGAATATATACCCAAAAGAATTGAAAGCAGGGATTCAAACATGTTCATGGCAACATTGTTCATAATAGTCAAAGTGTAGAAACAACCATTGACAGATGAATGGATAAACAAAATGTGGTATATCCATTCAATGGAATATTATTCAGCCTTAAAAAGAAAAAAGAAATTCTAACACATGCTACAACATGGATTAACCTTGAAAACATTGTGCTCATCCTGGCATGATGGCTCATGCCTATAATCCTAGCAATTTGGAAGGCTAAGGCAGGAGGATTGCTTGAGCTCAAGAGTTCTAGACCAGCCTGGGCAACATGGCAAAACTCTGTCTCTATAAGAAATACAAAAATTAGCCGGGCATGTGGGTGCATGTCTGTGGTCTCAGCTACTTGGGAGGCTGAGGCAAAAGGATTAATTGAGCCCAGGAGATTAAGGCTGCAGTGGCCCATGATGGCACCACTGCACTCCAGCATGCGTAGCAGAGTGAGACCCTGTCTCAAAGAAAAGAAAAAAAGAAAAGAAAAGAAAGAAAAGAAAACATTGTGCTCAAGAAACCAGTCACAATGAAAGAAAAACACCACTTTGCACCACAAAAATATATTTCAGTCAATGACAGATTGCATATACAATGGTGGTCTCATAAGATTATGTCATACTTTTACTGTACCTTTTCTATGCTTAGGTATGTGTTGATACATAATCACTTTACCATTGTGTTACAATTGCCTACTGTATCCAGTATAGTAAGATTCCACACAGGTTTGTAGCCCAGGAGCAACAGGCTCTACCATATAATGTAGGTGTGTAGCAGGCTGTACCACCTAGGTTTGTGTAAGTGCACTCTCTGATGTTCCCGCAAAGACAAAATTGCCTAATGGTACATTTCTCAGGAAGTATTCTTATTGTTAAATGGATGACTGTACCATATGATTTCACTTATATGAGGCACATAAAGCAGTCAAATTCATAGAGATAGAAAGTAGAAAGGTGGTTGCCAGGGGCAGAAGAAAGAGGAGTCTGGGGAGTTAGTGTTTAATGGGGACAGAGTTTCAGTTTGAGAAGACAAAAAAAGTTCTGGAGATGAAGGGTGGTGATAGTTGCATAACAATGTGAATGTACTTAATGGTTGCAGTTTTACGTGCATCACAGCTCTATTCACAGTAGCAAAGACCTAAGTGTCCATCAGTGGATGACTGGATGAAGAAACTGTGGTACATGTACACCATGGAATACTATGCAACCATAAAAAAGAATGAAATCATGTCTTTTGCAGCAACATGGATGGAACTGGAGGCCATTATCTTAAGGAAAATAACTCAGAAACAGAAAGTCATATACTAATACTGCATGTTCACCCACATAAGTGGGAGCTAAATAATGTATCCATGTGGACACGGAGAGTGGAATAGTAGACATTGGAGACTTGGAAGGCTGGGAGGGTGGAGAAGGGTGAGGGATGAGAAGTTAGCTATTGGGTACAAGGTAAACTATTCAGGTGATGAATTCACTCAAAGTCCCAACTTTACCCCATGCAATATATCCATGTAAAAAAGCTGCACTTGTACTGACATGGTTTGGCTCTGTCCCCACCCAAATCTCATGAACTGTAGCTCCAATAATCCCCATGAGTCATGGGAGGGACCTCATTGTGGGGGCGGGTTTTCCCATGCTGTTCTCATGTTAATGAGTAAGTCTCACTAGACCTGATGGTTTTATAAAGGGGAGTTCCCCTGCACAAGCTCTCTTGCCTGCCGCCATGCCTATGTTCCTCCTTTGCTTTCCACCATGATTGTGAGGCCTCCCCTGCAATGTGGAACTGTGAGTCCATTAAACCTCTTTTTCTTTATAAATTTCCTAGTCTTCAGGTATTTCTTCACAGCAGTATGAAAATGGACTAATACATGTACCTTTTAAATTTATGCAAAATTTTTAAAATGGTTAAGAGGGTATATTTTGTTATGAATATTTAGTCACTATTAAATGATTAAATTAAAACCCACACATCTGCAGTAGTCACACTTAAATGCTTAATAACCACAGACATCTAGCAATGCCATATTTGATGGCACAGGTGAAAAGCATCCACACTGTGGTGGAAGGGTCCCCTGGACAGAATTGCTCTGCAAGGCCATAGATCAAAATGAGAAAAAAAAAAAAAAAAAGAATATCAAATCATACCATCTTCCTTTTAAGAACAGATGTGCTGGTTAGATCCACATGATTCAGATGACCAGGTTGGTGTCTGTTTGGGGACGATACACGTCTTTCCAATTTGTAAGGAAGTTTGATCATAATTAAAATCACTTTCCCCTTTTAGGGGGACAGTGGTGTCAGAGTGTGACTAGCAACACCTAAGAGGAAAGTGATTAGTAACATGAAGTCAACCTGTAGGATCAAATATTAGATGGGGAGAAAATCACCATCACTATAGTAAACTTTATTTCAAAGCACATGGTTCCTAGATTTCTAACATTTAATACTTAATAAAAATAGATCCTTATAATTTCTCAAAGCAAGAAGCTGGGATATAAGGTTAGCAAAGATATTAACAGTAGCTTCCCAGTTTTCAAAACAGTCGAGGTTAAACTGCATTTTCTTGATGCAAAAGGGTTGATTTGGCATCTGCATTCCAAGTGTGTTCACAGACATATGAAAAGGTAGGCGGGGCGTGTTGGCTTGCACCTGTAATCCCAGCACTTTGGGAGACTGAGGCAGGCAGATCACTTGAGTTCAGGAATTCAAAAACAGCCTGGCCAACACAGTGAAACCCTGCCTCTACTGAAAATACAAAATTTAGTTGGGTGTGGTGGCAGGCGCCTGTAATCCCAGCTACTCAGAAGGTTGAGGCAGGAGAATCACTTGAAGTTGGGAGGCGGAGGCTGCAGACAGGCAAGATCACACCACTGCACTCCAGCCTGGGTGACAGAGCAAGACTCCATGTCAAAAAAAAAAAACCAAACAAACAAACAAACAAAATGAAGAAAAAGGTAACAATTCACATTCAGTATACAAGCTACCTGAAAGAGACAGACCTTGCCAGAAACATCTTTCTCCAAAATAAAATTCTTCTATATTCATGTTCCGTATGATTACATGAAATGACATGTTTGAGAACTACTAGTTTCTCACTTACTGACTATGCTGAAGTTGACTGAAAATGACTACAGATAATCTCACTATAAAAATAAAAGGCAGCCACAACCTTTAGCAAAACGAAACAAAGGGTTTAAAAATCTATTTTCTTTTTGCTCTTTTGGGCCGTAAAGGGAATTAGTGTAATTGGAGAATGAAAAGTAGCTTATAAGAAAATTCCTCAAGCCACGCAGACAAGAAAGAGAGAAGTTAAAAACTAAGTCAGATAGCAGCTGTAATCACTTATTCCTTGTTGCATAGGTAGATGCATGATAGAGTATACATAACATATATATAATCAATATACTACATACCCATTTCTATTAACATATTGTGATATATTATTTATATGTACATATATGAATGCACGTCTACATGTGTGCATATAAAATATAATAGATATACAGTTGACCTTTGAACATGTAGGCTAGGGACACCAACCCCTCATGTAGTCAAAAATCTGAATATAACTTTTTTTTGAGACCGGGTCTTGCTCTGTTGCCCAGGCTGGAGTACAGTGGCGCAATCTTGGCTCACCGCAAAGTCCACCTCCCGGGTTCATGCAATTCTCCTGCCTCAGCCTCCCAAGTAGCTGGGATTATAGGTATGTGCCACCATACCTGGCTAATTTTGTATTTTTAGTAGAGACAGGGATTCACCATGTTGGCCAGGCTGGTCCTGACCTCCTGACCTCAGGTTATCCACCTGCCTTGGCCTCCCAAAGTGCTGGGATTACAAGTGTGAGCTACTGTGCCAGGCCCTGAATATAACTTTTAACTTCCCCAAAACTTAAATACTGATAGTCTTTTGTTGACTGGAAGCCTTACCAGTAACATAAACAGTGGATTCACACATATTTTATGTGTTACATGTACAGTCTACTGTGTTCTTACACCAAAGTAAGCTAGAGAAAAGAAAATGTCATTAAGAAAATCATGAGGAAGAGAAAATATCTTTACTGTTCATTAAGAGGAACTGGATTATCGTAAAGGTCTTCCTCTTCATCATCTCCAAATTGAGAAGGAAGAAGAGGAGGGGTTTGTTTTGCTGTCTTCAGGGGTGGCAGAGGCTGAAGACAACCCATCAGCCTAAGTTGATGTACACAGTTCTAACCCATGTTGTGTTCAAGGATCAACTGTAATACATATATTTCTTATAATATATTGTGATATATATGCACACATATATGTGCATATATGTATATGTTTATATCTTTACCCTCTATAATCTTTACCACCTATATCTTCACCATGATCACAGTGAGCAGGCTCATTCATATTTGAAAGTCAGAGTAGCAAGTTCAATGGTCAGAGACATAGGGACAATTGTCAGACATGGGGACGACTGCTGCCCAATGAAGCAAGCACTGGCTGCCTTCCATGGACCATCTGCTCTGCAGATGAGATCCTTCCAGTGTACAGTGAAAAGGCTCTAGCATGGAATCTCATGACTCCATGTGTGGTCGTCAGACAAGTCAATATCAGCAGCCCAAAAACCTTGTAAGAAACTCACAACCTCTGCTGAGTCGGAATGTGCATTTTAACAAAACCACTATGTGAGCTTTGTGCACATTCAAGTGAAAGACTCTGTGGACTGAATGAACTCCAATTTTCTTAGGCTGTAAACTCAGGTGGTTCTCTGTAAATGCTGTAAAATTAAGTGGAGACTCCCAGCTTGGTAAGGACAATGTCTATGCAATATCTGCTGTGTTTTGGCAGTTGCCAATAAGTCAAGGACATCCCAGGGATGGTGGTCCCGCCAGTGTCGGCTGCTATCAGCCATTCTAAATGCTGTCCCAAGTAATAAAAACTGTTGTGTTCTCATCTCACTTGATACTAGAAGTCTCCTTTTGGCTAATTAATTTGCAATTTGTCCACAGTAGCAGAAAGTCTTTAACTAAGTTCTTTTTAAGTCGAGTTTTACAGATAGAGGAGAAAAAACGAAGACCAGATGATCATTTTCAACACTTCTCCAGGTTGAGAAGGGCAATTCCATACAATCCAAAAGAAAACCACAAAAAAGCACTAAGAATTCCTTTATTTGAAGGGATGATCAATACCCTCCCTGGTGTGATGAAAAATCCCTGCTTGTTGATCTCTATGTGGCCACTTAATGTTTACAAAAATTTAAGTGAGTAGAATAAATTTAAGATACATTTATTTCCTAATCTAAAATTCTCACATTTTATGACTTATTTCACAAAATGCTTACAATAAAGTAATATGCCATGCAGAGTGTTATATGAATGTTCATTATTATGATTTTTTTAAAAAAAGAAATGAGATCGTGAATGCTTTGATATTCTACCGGAAGATTTTAAAATCCCATAGAGGGGCAGTGAGTTTTGAAAAAGCAGTCAGCATTTTTCAAAGACGCAAGGTAAGCAATCCATTGTGTATTAACAAACAACAGGCGACACGACCATACTCATGCTCACATCTTACTCCTTAAAAGACATACCTTGAAATATTAATGCACCTAAATTGAATCTTCTGGGAGGCATTGTGTCTGGACTTCTTTTCTTTTTTCTTTTTTTAACTTTGAAGTACCTGTGATGGTAATGAGAACTTTGTATCAAGGGGCTTTCAACCCCTTCACTGTGCAATTTTTAGATTTACTTGAATTCTCTATTCTCTTTATCCCTTATCCTTATCCTCTGTTGATAAAGAAAAAGAGAGAGAGAGAGAAAGAAAGAAAGGAAGGAGGAAAAAAGGAGGAAGGAAGGAAAAATGAGGAAAGGAAGGAAGGAGAAGGGAGGGAGGAAGGTAGGAAGGAAGGAAAGAAAGAAGGAAAGAAAGAGAAAGAAAGAAAGAAAGAAAGAAAGAAAGAAAGAAAGAAAGAAAGAAAGAAAGAAAGAAAGAAAGAAGGAAGGAAGGAAGGAAGGAAGGAAGGAAGGAAGGAAGATCCTCTTTCAATACAATGGTCATGATTTATTTGTTTAAACCTGATCATTACTTTAGTCTAAAACAAGAAGGCTAAGATTTTAAATACAAAACAAAAGGCAATTGTGTTAATGTTCTATTTCTTTCTTTGATGGATATCTTGTTAACCTTTTCCTGAGACTAGGAAAAGAAACAGGCAGACCTTTGCCCTGTATGATTCTAAAATACTATCTTGACAACGTCACCTCCCAGCTCAAAGCCTCGGATAATTTATTCTTACCAACTTTCTCTGTCTCTCTCCCTTTCATAGCTCTCAGCCAAGGCCAAGTAGCCATCTCCCTCACATGTTGGCGCCAGTCAATCTTCCTGGTCTTATGCCCTCTAGTGTTCTAGCTGGAGAAGGCAAAACGTGTAACTACATCTACACATCAGAACTCTAAATGCCTTGTAGCAATTACAGATCTAAATAAAAATAGCAATTGAATTGCTTGTATTTTAAAAGGGATGATTAAACAATTTTAAGTAGTTATTCTAAGAATCTGCTGACATCCCTATATAAACTGTGACAGAAGAAGACTGCCAAACTGGTTGGAATAAAATGGGAATTAGACATGGAACTGCAAGAAAAACAAAGTAGTGTCTTTTTCTCTCTCTTTTTTTAAACTTTTAAATTTCTAAAATTGACATATAAAAATTGGATGTGTTTATGGGGTAATAGTGATGTTTTGATACCTATGTTGTACAGTGATCATATCAGGTAATTGGCATATCCATCATCTCATTTATCATTTCTTTGTATTGGGAAAATTCCTTCTAGTTATTTCAAACTATATAACATATTATTGTTAACCATAGTCATCCCACAGTGGTATAGAACAGCAGTTCACAACCTTTTTGGCACAGGGACTGGTTTCATGGAAGACAATTTTTCCACAGACCAGGGTGTTGAGGGGTTGGGGTGGACAGTGGGGATGGGAGAGAGAGTTTGGGGATTGATAGTTTGGGGATTCAAGCACATTACATTTGCTGTGCACTTTATTTTTATTATTATATTGTAATGTATAATAAAATAATTGTACAACTCACCATCATGTGGAATCAGTGGGAGCCCTGAGCTTGTTTTCCTGCAACTAGATGGTCCCATCTGGAGGGTGATGGGAGACAGTGACAGATCATCAGGCATTAGATTCTCATAAGGAGTGTGCAAACTAGATCCCTTGCATGTGCAGTTCACAATATGGTTCGCACTCCTATGAGACTCTAATGTGGTTACTGATCTGACAGGAGGCGGATCTCAGGCAGTAATGTGAGCAATGGGGAGTGGCCGTAAAGACAGATAAAGTTTTACTGGCTGCTGTGTGGCCTGTTCCTGACTCCTGGTATAGAACACCAGAACTTATTCATTCTATCTAACTGTAGTTTTGTATCCTTTATCCAATCTCTCCCTATATTTCTTTAGGTAGCTGCTTGGGCAAACATCACTGATGCCCATTTTCTTTAAAACCTCAAGCAGAATGTCTCCTGCCAGCCTGAGCATCAACAACAAGACATTCTTGAGGGTTTTTTTTGTTTTTTGTTTTTATTTGTTGTTGTTGTTTTACCAAATTAAACCCAAACTGTGGACAGTGCGTCTAGGAATTGATGGCTTTCTTAAGCTGTGTGCACCATTTACATTATTCTCATTCTATTGTGCTTTGATTTAAGTTTTTAAACTGTTATGTGTTGAACAATAATACAAGGAAAGCAATCTATTTTTTTTTTTTTTTTTGAGACAAGATCTCACTTTGTCACCCAGGCTGGAGTGCAGTGGTGTGTTCATGTCTCACTGCAGCCTTGACCTCCTAGGTTCAGGTGATTCTCCCACCTCAGCTTCCTGAGTATCTGGGATCACAGGTGTACACCACCATGCCAAGCTTCAAGGAGGGCAATTTCTAGAAGGGCAGGCTTTGCCAAATGGTTTTACCTCTGGCACTCAGACTCTGGAAAGGAATTGTCTTTGAGAAAGTCCACAGTCTTAGAGAGAGGAACAGGGAATGAACAGAGCTGCCTCCACCCCAGATAGAGCTTAGCAAAGAATCCAGGAGATTCATTGGCCCCAGATCCTGTGTGGTCAAGTCTTCATAGCAGATTCACCACCTTCTAAGTCTCTGTCCTCTCTGAAAACTATAACTATGGAGGGGTAAGACTTATTTCAGCTGGGACCATGGTACAGAGGTTGTGTTATATACAGAGCTATTCATTAGAAATAACACTGATGGGAAAAGGGAACACTTTTACACTGCAAGTGGGAATGTAAACTGTTACAACCGCTATGGAAAATAGGATGAACATTCCTTAAAGAACTAAAAGTAGATCTACCATTAGATCCATCAATCCCACTCCTGGGTATTTACCCAGTGGAAAATAAGTCATTATATGAAAAAGACACTTGAACACACGTGTTTATAGCAGCAAAATTTGCAATAGGGAACCAACCTAAGTGCCCATCAACCAATGAGTGGGTAGACAAAATGTGGTACATATACACCATGGAATACTACTCAGCCATAAAAAGGGATGAAATAATGTCTTTTGCAGCAATTTGGATGGAGCTAGAGGCCGTTATTCTAAGTAAAGTAGCTCAGGAATAGGAAAACCAAACATTGATATGTTCTCACTTATAAGTGGGAGCTAAGCTATGATGATATAAGGGCATAAGAACGATACAATGAACTTCAGGGACTCGGGGGAAGAGTGGGAGGGGGCGAGGGATAAAAGACTACATATTGGGTACAGTGTACACTGCTCAGGTGACAGGTGCACCAAAAATCTCAGAAATTACCACCAAAGAAGGTATCCATGTAACCAAACACCACCTGTACTCCAACAAAAATTGAAATTTAAAAAAAAGAGAAAAAAAAGCTATACTGACATATTAGCAGATGAACCGTTTACAGATGAAATGATGTTATGCCTGGGCTTTGTTTCAAATACTACAATGCCGGAAATTGTCAGAAGTGAGAGAGTCTGGGGTAAAAATAATGATAATAATAAGATGTCCAAGAAAAGGTTAATCACTAAAACTGAGTGATTCATGGGATCTCATCATATTATTATCTCTAATTTCATGTATATTCAATAGTCTATAATTTAAAAATAAAAAGAATTTAAATTATCTCTTTCTTGCAGAAAAACACTCTAGCCAACCTGGCCAGAAACTCAGAATAAAGTTGGAAAAAAATCACATTCAGTAATGATGGATCACAGTTCTCTCACTCATATTATTTTCAATGTGGGTTTTTATTATTATTATTTTAATCAGCAATAAATATATTTGTGAATAATGAAATTTATTTTGCATTCTGTATGCTTCCTTTAGGCTATATTTCATAGCACTTTTTACAGCAATTAATGCTTATTCCTTGCCATACCATTTTTTTCAAAAATAATAATAGCATTTTACCCCTCCTACCAGCAATGATTGGAATGTCTCACTTTACTCCCCAGCTCATAGAGAGCAAGTTTTGTTTTCGTTTTTGCGATCACTGTAGAGTTGCAGTGTTTCCAGTTTTAAATTAATTTTATTTCCTTTACTGTAAAATAATTTTTTCTCCCTTGTCACATTGAGCTTTTTTTTTTTTTTTTTTTGAGACAGAGTTTCACTCTTGTCACCCAGGCTGGAGTGTGGTGGCGTGATCTCGGCTCACTGCAACCTCCACCTCCCAGGTTCAAACGATTCTTCTGCCTTAGCCTCCTGAGTAGCTGGGATTACAGGCGCCCACCACCATGCCCGGCAAATTTTTGTATTCTTTAGTAGAGATGGGGTTTCACCATGTTGGTCAGGCTGGTCTCGAACTCCTGACCTCAGGTGATCCGCCTGCCTCGGCCTCCCAAAGTGCTGAGATTACAGGCATGAGTCACCACACCTGGCCCACATTGCACTTTTGTTTGTGTTTTTTCCAGGTGATCTTCCTGTAAAAGGTATTATCCATATGTACCAGTCACATTTTTTCCAACAGCCTTTCCAAACCAATTTCCTCTTGAATTTTATTTTCTTTGTATATTTTAGATATATTATGGCCATAATTACCTAACAAGCTTAAGAAATCTGTTCTCTTTCACCAATTAAATTAGATCAGGGCTTATTACATCCATAAAGGAAGATATTTAGAATCAGTATCTTCAAACAAAAACCAATCAGCCACACTTCATAGTTAATTCTGTTTCCTTAGGATTTTAATGACTGAAAAGAGAAACATCCAAAAATTCCACATTCCTGGCTTGCCTTAGCAAGGTGCATGCCCAGGCTTACAGAGATCCAAGAAATGTCCAAAAGAGCTTACCTCTGTTCTACATTGGACTATATCATAGTAAAGTCATGCACTCTGAATTGGCTTTGCTTTCAAACCAGACATAGGAAACCTGCCAAGGTGTATGACCATCACCCAAGATTATATTTATTCATTTCTTAGTCAGACTGTCTTGCTTTTCTTTCCTTCTCAATCCTTTTTATTTTCCCCTTGTTGATTGTGTGTGTGTGTGTGTGTGTGTGTGTGTGTGTGTAAAAAGGTAAAGTTCTCTGTAAACAATCATCTGATCCAATTCTGCTTTGTTTTTATTTTTAAAAGTACAGCTTACTGTAATTTTGTTGTTCATCTTGAACACAGAATTTTTTTTAAATACTGTTACTTATGCATGTATCTGGTAGTAATCAATAGCACTATTTAGCAGGTTTTAAAGTAAATATAACTGGTATAATTTTGTTGTGCCACCCTGCACTTGGATTACTTCCAATCGTTTACTATTACAGACAGCGCTACACTGACTTTCCTTTTATATAGCACTTTATGTAAACATTCAAAAGGCTTAAGGCATAGGCATAGAAAATTCACTAGACATTGCTCAATTATTCCCCAATGGGTCATACGAATTTTTGCTTCTCTCAGCAGTGTAAGAGAGAGAATTTTCTTCAAATCTTAACCAGCATTTTATAGTTCACGCAACACAGAGGTTTTTTCATCCTTCAGTTGGATATTTTCTAGGTGGCATTTCTGTGTGTGCTCCTCCTGTGTGCAACATATTTCTGAAGAATTTGAATTCAACTTGTCAATCTTTACTTTCGAATAGGTGAATATAATACATATGAACACACACATACATGCAAACACACACCACATGCAAACACACAGACACACACATACAGCCATGTGCTAATTATTCATTACTTTGAATAATTTCTAACGATTATTTTTATTTTGTGTTTTTTACTCTCTTTTTGCTTCTCCTTTTCTTCCTACTACTCTTCTTTCTTTTGGATTAATTTTTTGTTGTTGCTTTTTTTCTTTCCTGCTTCTTTGGAATCTATATGTTTTATTTTTATTCTTTTGGCAGGTACCATTACATTTTATTGTAAATATTGAAATGGATATGATTTTAATATCATGTAAATAAGTTATTTCTAGAATACTCTTGACTATTATGGATCTCTTACGATAACTAACGAATGATGGAACTCTCCATTGTTCTTACAACTCAAAAGGTGGCCCATTCTGTATTTGAAACTTTATTAAATTCTAAGATATATTTTATAAACTTATAGACATGTCATTGTTTCTCATATTCTTCTCTCCATATGGAGAATTCCACAATTATATGAAATTACAGAAATTTATCTTTTCTATAAGTTATATATTCAAATAATTTAGTCTTTTATTAAAGATCATGTTAAATTCCTATATATACATATATATAACATATATACATATATTATATATATATACATAAATGAGTCTTTATTTTGTCTTAATCTACAGTTTCACCACATAATCTCTACATGTGAATTTACCTATTTGAAAACTGCTGAATACTTTTAAAAATTGACATATAATAATTGTACATGTTTCTGGGGCACACAGTGATGTTTTGATACATACAACGTCTAGTGATTAGTCTAGGATAATTAGCAAATCCATCATCTCAAAATTTATTGATTATTCTTTGTGTTGAAAACATCCTTGTAACTATTTGGAACTACATAATATATGATTGTTAACTATAGTCACCCTGCTGTGGTATAGAACACTAGAACTTATTCCTCCTATCTGGATGTAGTTTTGTATTCTTCAACAAATCTCTCCCAATTCCCTTCGTCCCCCTACCCTCCTGGCCTCACTATCATCTCTTCTACTTTCCACTTCTATGAGAGCAACTTTTTTTAGCTTCCACATATGAGTGCGAACATGCAGCGTTTAAACTTTGTTCCTGACTCATTTCACTTTTAATCTGAATTTTGGACCTTTCTTCAATTCTAGAAGATTATTAGTAATTATATTTCTAAACATTGCCTTGTCACATTCATTTCATCATTTTGGAAATTTCAAATATTTATATAGATCATGGAAACTCAATTTCCTCACCATTTCTTGAATTCACTGTTTCATATTTTAACTTCTGTGTCTTTTTTGTGGTATCCCTTGAGTCTCTTTCTTAGGAATATCTTCTAATTCACTAGTTTTTGCTTCAGTTATATCTGATGTAGAATTTGTTTTGAATATATATATGGTTTTATATAAATGACTGCATTTTTACTTCACAAGAATTTCCATAACCATCAGTTCTGCTTAATTTAATCAAGTTTTGATTTCATATATATCTTTTTAGTGGATAACATTTCTCTATTATTATTATTATTATTATTATTATTTTGTTTTTATTTTTTTGAGATGGAGTCTCGCTGTGTCACCCAGGCTGGAGTGCAGTGGTGTAATCTCGGCTCACTGCAACCTCCACCTCCCAGGTTCAAGCAATTCTCATGCCTCAACCTCCCGAGTACCTGGGATTGCAGGCATCTGCCACCACACCCAACTAATTTTTGTACTTTTAGTAGAGACGGGGTTTCACCGTGTTGGCCAGGCTGGCCTCGAACTCCTGACCTCAGGTGATCTGCTCCCCTCCACCTCCCAAAGTGCTGGTCTTTATTATTTTGACTATTATAAATATACTTAAGGACTTCTTCAATATTTTTAATAAGAAGATCTCTTTGCCTTGAGTTATTTTAGGTCTCAACACTGATTTTTGATGCTGTCATTCCTAGAATTATATTTATTTATAGACTTTGCATTTCTTATTCACTGTTTTGTGTTGATGGGGAGTATTAAAACAGCTAAATGAGAGGTTATTAAACTGAAATGGTTCTGATGCACTAGGTTCTATGGAAGCAAACCAAAAGCTTTCATCCTTCATTTGGAAATTTTCTAGGTCAGACGTGGATTTAGACATTTCTTTTCATAATTTGTCAGATGTAGATTTATATATTTGTTGTAATTGTTCATTTCCTCTAAGTGGCTAATTTATAGGAAAACAAAACTTTAGCTCAGCCAGTCATAAATGGCCAGCTGAGCACTGGTTATATTGTCTCAAACTTTCTACAGAGATAGTCCAAATAAGGTCAATGCTTCAGCTTTAACCAATCACATTTTTTTTAATGCTCCGCTCCTGCCTTCATCCTATAAAAGCCTCTTTCATGTTCCTTCAGCTGAGCCCCAAACCACTTCCCATGTGAAGTTGCCAGACTAGTTGAGGAGAGGAAGAAGGGTAAGAATTTCTTAGATAGGTAAATTGAGTGTCACAGGGGCTTGATGTACAGATTATTTCATGACCCAGGTAATAAGTATAGTACTCAATAGGCATTTTTTTATTCTTACCCTTCTTCCTCCCTCCACCCTCAACTAGTCCCCAGCATCTGTTGTTCCCCTCTTTTTTTCCATATGTACTCAATGTTTAGCTCCCACTTATAAGTGAGAACATGGACAGCTCAATTTGTATTCCCCATCTCCATGCTTGCCTAATGTGGTTGCCCCTGCCCACCCACTCCAGGTCGAAAACCAGGTCTTTTTTTGTAATTTTATTTCAGTTTCAGGGGTCTAAGAAACCTGCACATGGAGACGCACCCTGGCCTCCAGCTCCATCCATGGTGCTGCAAAGGACAGGATAGCAAAGACATGGAATCAACCTAGATGCCCATCAAAGGCGGATTGGATAAAGAAAATGTGGTGCACATACACCATGGAATACTACACAGCCATAAAAAAGAGCAAAAACCACGTCTTGTAATGACATCGCAGTTGCAGTGTCTCACTTTCAGCCTTCCACACAGCACACTTTTCTTTGAGTCCTCATTGTGAAGCTGGTTTTTGATTTTCCTCTCTCTGTAGCATCACGTCATGCTTAAAATCGTAGCACCTGTGCAGCTCAAAAAAGATGTGTTTGCCTCCTTTTTCAAAATTATTTTTGAGGTGAAACTCACTGTCATAAAATTAAATATTTTAAAGTGTATAGTTCAGTGACATTTAGAACATTTACAATGTTGCACAATCACCTCTGTCTAGTTCCAAAATATTTTTATCACCCCAAAAGAAAACCCTGAGCCCATTAAGTAGCCACTTCCCAATAACCTCTCCCTCAGCCCCTGTATACTATATTATAATAATATGATATAATATAAATTTGACTATATTGTTTAATGCTGATATTTTGACAGGCAATTATCCAGGCAACCACCAAACCTCTTCCTGACTGTATGAATTTACCTATTCTGGAGAGTTTTTATAAAAGGAATCATGTAATATCTGACCTTTTCTGTCTGGCTTCTTTCACTTAGAATGAAACAATGTTTTCATGCTATTTTCAAATCAAACTCTATTTTGATTTTTTGCCCCCTTTCTCAGGGTTGTGAGAACCGTTTTCATCACAGATATTGGTTTTACACTGCATCCTGGCTTTTTTCCCTATTTGTCCTGAAAGACATTTAGAACTTAGCCACGACATCAACAGACCTCCAGCACCCTCTACCTGTCTTCTGATCCAAAGTCAAGAAAGCCCAGGGCATCCAACCAACTCTCTAAAATGCCTTTCTTCCTTTCTTTCTTTCTTTTTGGAGTGTATTTTTTCTGGAATGGAATCTTCTGCATTTTATTAGTCTTGCTTTGTGTCTTGTGTGGTGGTGGGGAGTAAGTCAGTGCTTATACTGCTGTGCCATCTTGTCCGGAATGCTCTCTTGTATATCATTATTAGCATTAAAAGCAGCCAGAGGGCTGGGCGCAGTGGCTTATGCTTGCAATCCCAGCACTTTGGGAAGCAGAGGCTAGAGAATTGCTTGAAGCCAGAAGTTCGAGACCAGCCTGGACTACAAAGTGAGCTCCCATCTCTACAAAAAAAAATATATATATATCTATATATATAAAAAATTAACTGGGCATGGTTGTGTGCATCTATAGTCCCAGCTACTTGGGAGGCTGAAGTGGGAGGATTGCTTGAGCCTGGAAGTTTGAGGGTACAGTGAGCTATCATGACACTGCACTCTAGCCTGAGCAACAGAGCAAGACCCTGACTCAAAAAAAAAAAAGTAGCAGGATGTCTCCTAATAGAACAGCTAAAATACACTGTGCATCTGTAAAAGCCAAAAGTATAGATGTCCGTTCATCTCTGCATTTCTTGTATATAGTGCAGATCTAGTACATGCAAACATCAACAAGAACTGCTCACAAACAAACGCGTTTCAAGCAAACAATTCAAAAAATCTCCTAGAGACATAAAGAATTGCAGAGGACATTATTTCATATTACAAAATTCTATGCTCTTCTGCACTCAAAATCCTTTTATCCTTCTTTGCTTTTTCTCTTTTGTGCATTTATCACTTTCTAGCATATGGCAGTCAATCATTTAATATATCTACTTTTATTGTTTCTTATGAAATCCAGAAGTTAATGTTGAGTGATGAGATTTTTGTCTTCTTACTTTATTCTTTTATCTTTAGTGCCTGTATAATTGCCTGTCAAAATATCAGCATTTAACAATATAGCCAAATTTATACTATATTATACTATATTATTATAATATACTATATATTATGCTATATTATTATAATATACTATATATTATACTATATTATTATAATATACTATATATTATACTATATTATTATAATATACTATATATTATACTATATTATTATAATATACTATATATTATACTATATTATTATAATATACTATATATTATACTATATTATTATAATATACTATATATTATACTATATTATTATAATATACTATATATTATACTATATTATTATAATATACTATATATTATACTATATTATTATAAGCCTATATATTATACTATATTATTATAATATAGTATACATAGCATATACTAAATAATAATATATTATTTATAAATTTATATATTATATATACTATTATGTTATATATTATATATAATATATAATATATTATATATCATATATGCTATTATATTATATATACTATATACTATATAATATATAATATATATATAATATAATGTATATCTATCTCTAGCCTCTGCCTCCCAAAGTGCTGGGATTACAAAGGTGATCATATTATTGCTAAATATTATGTAGTATATGCTATGTACACTGTATGGCATATATAGCATAATATATAATATATAATATATATTACAATATAGTATATAGTTTTTGTAAAGACAGGGTTTTGCCATAGTATAGTATATATAGTATAGTATATATAGCATATACTATAATAATATGGTAGAGTATATGCTATATATACTATATATTATGCTACATTATACTATATATTATTATATTATTTATATATATTATATAATAATAATATATAATTATATAATATTATATAAAATATGTACTATATACTGTATTATAATAATATAGTATGTTGTATGTATTATACTAATGATAGTATATAGTATGTATTATACTAATGATGTGCGATGAGATTTTTGTCTTTCTAGTTTATTCTTTTACCTTTAGTACCTAGATAATTGCCTGCCAAGATATCAGCTTTTAACAATATAGTTGAATTTACATTATATTATATTATACTATATTATTATATATGGTATTATGTTATACTATTTTGCAGTATTACATTTGACTATAATATACTTATATTATTACAATCTCTTATATTTTACTCAAACCTACCTGCCCTCATCACTCTGCCCTCATCACCTACATTTAAGGATTCAGATACATATCTGCATTTCCCACTTTTGTCCATCTTCCTTCTCATAAAGTTTTCAAGAACCTCTTAGTTTTTAACTTACAAAGTCATTTGTGACACATTTATTGCTTAATTTTATTATAATGTTTTCAAATAAAAGACTAATTAAGTTTCCGGCTGTGTACCAGAAAGTAAAACTCAAAGTCTCTTAAGTGGTTATCGAAGACAAGTGATGCTGATTATAGTTAACTTCCCCCATAACCTCCTGACGTGGCCAGGCCGTAACAACTAGGTAAGAGCCACAGTTCACAAGTGACCTGTCAGCCTTGCTGATCAGAGAAGCTAAATAAGAAGAAAGTGTGTCTGACCTTCCTCCAGTCTTGAGTCAAGCAGGTCACTGGGTTCAGATTTTAAGTCATTATTCCTGTCCATAAAATGTTTTCCTTCCACCTGCGATATGACGACTGGGCTTCCACCATGAAAAGTAGGAGCTCGGGAAGTCCGATAAATTCAATAAAATGAACAGAGTGGCCTTATGCTCAAATGCCTGCAGCCTCAGTTTATAAACAGCACGTAGTAAGAAGTCTCCCAGCCAGTTTAGTCTTCTTCATGTTGGGGATTTTCATAAATCAGAATGGCAAGAAGAGATGTGGCTTCTCAGATGGACAAGTGAAAACTCTTACTTCTCATCATAGGCCAAAGCGCAGAAATTTGAATTGTGAGACCACGGGGGCAGGAAGTAATTCATCAACGAATGTTTCAGTGTAGAGAAAATGAATCAATTTGGGGAAAAGGGATGCCTGCCTAAAAAAAAAAAAAAAGCGTGCTCAAAGAAGAGAAAATTAATATCCCAATATTATGACAATGAAGCAAGTATTATTTGTGGTTGGAATAGTTACGTCCAAGACCATTCTTCCCAGAGCTAACTGTTGGCCCTTGGTTAATCACAGCTATTTGCTCTCCTTATCATGGTCTGATAAACATCATCTCCAGAAAAAGTCTTCTCACTCCTCAGATTTGTAGGTAGAAGTGGATAGAAATCAGATTAAATTCTAGAAGTCTGTTTACAAATCATGTGCTTTTAAATCCAAAATGAATAAGAGAGGTTTAACCGTACAGTGTTCTGATATATATCTACCATCTACCCAAGTGGAGTATAAATCAATCTCTTAAAAGTTACAGACCATATTTTTCTCTTTATTGTGGATGCATGTTTTTTAAGCAGGCATCCCTTTTCCCCAAATCGACCCATTTTGCCTATACTGAAAAATTAGTTGATGAATTACTTCCTGCCCCATGGTCTCCCTGGTCACTTCATCACTGGGGGCACGAATTCACTTTCTTTCCATATATTCAAACATGCTGAACCTCAGAAAACAGCTAAAGCAGTGATTCTCATTCGTATTGGAGATTACACCACAGGGAAACAGGGCAGTGTGTAGAGACACTTTTGGTTGTTACAACTTGGAGGCTGCTACTGGCATCTAGTGGATAAGTGCCAGAGATGCTGAAAAACACACTTCACAGGACAGCCCCTACAGCGATGCAGTATGCCACCCAAAATTCAATAGTGCCAAGGTTGAGAAAACCTGATTTAAATGTTCCCGGGTAGCATTTCACTAGCTTTGCATATAAGATATCAAAGGAACAACTTCATTTTCTCCATAATTAATTAATGATAGGTTTATAGCCATCTCATGTTGATATCCACCCTCTATTTTATATTCCTAATGCTTAATTCTACTTTCCTTCATATTATTTTGATTGTTTTGGATTGCATACAGCTACCACTTTGTATTTTTCCTGTATCATCCTTGATCATTCTTCTTATATTTGTAGGTTTGAGGCTCATCAAATCCATATTTGTAACACCTTTCATGGTCTTCACATTTCATGTAAAGAAATTTCCTCACTTTTACTTTCCAACATCATTGTGTTTTTTTGCGGACTGCCCCAGTTCAAATTCCCACGACTTGGCTACGGGTCCCACACAACAGAGTTTATAAAGAAATCTATTTCTGGAATATAGATACTCATATTTCTTGAATCACCAAACTGGAATAAATATGCAGGTATGAAGCAGACAAGATCAAAGGAAGACAAGAATTGCTGCTTGAAGGCTGTCATTGTTCCTCCTTTCACCACTGGTGGTGTTCCCGCCAAGTTTAAATTCACCAGAGCCCAAGAACTAAATAATAAACTCACATGCTGGAAGCCAATTTTCACCCGCAGTCTACAAATACACTCTGAAATATGGGATGAAGGGTAATGTGCCCACCTCTGTGGTTCATCTTTTGATAAGCAGCTATTTTGAATTAAGGCCTTATTATGTTGACACAGGACAGACATGTCCTGAAATACATAGAAGGAATTCATAACTGAGCTACTGGGAAAATCTACCCCCATCTTGGCTCAGACGAGATCAGTAGCAAACTTCCTTTACAGACTGGGCTCAAAAATCCAGGATGATATACAGAACCGTAGGCAGAAGGATCGTCAGTTTTGTTCTAACTAACCCATCATATCAAAGCAGATGTATTCTCTCCTGAAAATGCAGATTGCAACACAGGCAGCATGTGGCCACCTCCAATCAGCAGGGGGTACTTCAAGCACAGGCAGGGATCCCTATTGTCTGTTGCAGACATATTTTTACACTTGATTATACTCCACGGAAAACCAATTTATACATCCCGGCCTCACTATTCATGGGTTTCATTGTAAATTCATAGAATGTTTTGCTTAGGAAAGCCCTCAGAATCATAATATACATAGAAGAGTATTCTGGGTTAAAGAACCTGCCCGCGATCCCTCCCCAGGTAATAACAGCGTCTGGATGTGAAACTTTCTGACTTCTATTGGAACACAATGCTGTTTCTTCTCCATTCCTCTCTCCCAAGATGTAAACTCCTTGATAGCACAGTTCAGAACATAAATGTAGGTGTGTTTCATTGTAGTTATCACAGCATTAGGTATTTGTCAGCTGCACAATAAATACTTGTCAGAGTACAATTAAGGGTAAGAGTCAGCTTCAGACATTCTGCAGTTCTGCAGAGGGGCAATGTATTCACTCTCATGCTGATTGCATCATGCACAGATTCAAGACCAGGATTCTTTACACAGATCTATGACCAGATGCTTTGAGGAAGCAACTAAAGGCAACCCAATGTCTAGGCGGCACTCCTGCTGAAGAAGCCAGGTTGAGCCTGGACTCATCACTCATAGAACAGAACAGAAGCAGGAAGAGATATTAGCATCTTCCCCATTTGAGAATTTTCCCACCAAGAATGTCTTAGTCCATTCAAGCTGCTATCACAAAATAGCACAGATTGAATTGCTTCTAAACAACAGACATTTATTGCTTGCAGTTCTGGAAGCTGGAGTTCAAGATCAAGCCGTGGCAGATTCAGCGTCTGGGGAGGATTTGCTTCTTGATTTAGATGACGTTTTCCGGCTGTGTCCGCACATGCTGAAAAAAAAAGAACTGTGTTCTCTTTTCCTCCTCAAGGGGCACTGTGCTATCATGTATATGATAAGTTTTTGTTGATGGTTCTTGACTCAGCTCCCATAGCCTATGTTATAATGTTGGGGCGCTTTAAGTCTCGGAGGACAGAATCTCTCTCCCTGACTTTCTCCTGCCTTACTTTCCCCAACCCAAGGCAGGAAACTATTTTCTCCTTGGGTTTCTTTTCTTTACTTTTCTTTTTTTTTTTTTTTTCCTTTTGAGACACAGTCTCACTCTGTAGCCCAGGCTGGAGTACATTGGCGCAATCATGGCTCACTGCAGCCTCCACCTCCTGGGCTCAAGCAATCCTCCCACCTCAGCCTCCCAAGTAGTTGGGGCTACAGGCATACACCACCATTCGCAGCTAATTTTTGTAATTTTTGTAGAGACAGGGTTTTGCCATCTTGCTCAGGCTGATCTCAAACTCCAGGCTGAAGTGATCTGCTCACCTCGGTCTCCCAAAATGCTGGGATTAAGGGCATGAGCCACAGCACCAGGCCTTTCCTCGGATTTGTGATTGTGGGGCATAAGACCCTCATTTCAGAAGGGGTCCTGCCCCATACCCAAGAGGAGGGAATGCTGTAGAGACACAGCAAGAAGAATTTGAACAGACAGACGTCGCTGGGTTCCCCTACTCAGTCTATTAGTGTTAAATCACAACCCTTTTGTCCAATCACATTTCTACATGGTAGTCAATCATGCCTAACTAATGAAGTCCCCATAAAAACCCAAAAGGACTGAGTTTGGAGAGCTTCTGGATAGCTGAACACATGGAGTTTCCAGGAGGGTGGTGCAACCCAGGAGAGCATGGAAGCTCCGTGCCCCTTCCCCCATATCTTCCTCTATGCATCTCTTCACCTGTGTCCCTGGTAATATCCTTGATAATAAACTGGTATACTTGTGTTTTAGAGGTCTATGAGATACTCCAGCAAATCAAACCAATCTACATAGGGAGTCATGAGAATCCAACTTGAAGCTGGCCAATCAGAAGTTCTGAAGGCCCAGACTTGCAACTCGTGGGAAGAGGGAGCAGTCTTGTGGGACTGAGCCCTCAGTCTGTGGGATCTGATGCTGTCTCCATGTAGAGAGTGTCAGAACTGAATTGGAAGACAGCCAGCTGGTGTGTGCTGCACAATGGCTTGCTTGCTTGCTTGGTGTGTGGGGAGAAGCCCCCACACATTTGGTCACTGACATCTTCTGTGTTGATTGTTGTGGTGTGAGAGCAGAGGAAAAACAATTTGTGTTTGTGTGGTGGGGCGGGGGCGGTTTCCACTCACAGGAACTAATCTCATTCATGAGGGCTCCACCCTCATGACCCAATCACCTCCCAAAGGCCCCACCTCCTAATACTAATACATCGGGGATTAGGTATCACATATGCATCTTGGGGGAAAAGAAAAGTTCAGGCCATAGCAGAGTTTTCACTGCACTTCAAAAACATGGCTGTGGTCCTTTATAAATAAAACCGCATGTGAATGAAAAGAGAAAGCAAATACGCAAACTTTCCAGGGAGCAATGAATCACTAAGCCAAGGGTATTTTACTGCATTTCCTGCAACAGAGAGAAGAGTGGCTTATATGAGTGGTTGTTAAAATATGGTTAAAGACTAAGAATTTTGTAGAATTTAGGGAAGTACGGAACCCTTATAAAATATTTCTTTCTTTTAAGAAATATGCAACAAACCTGCATAAGTACCCGTGAATCTAAAATAAAAGTTAACAAAAAAGAAATCTGGGCTGGGTGCGGTGGCTCATGCCTGTAATCCCAGTACTTTGGGAGGCCGAGGTGGGCAGATCACCTGAGGTCGGGAGTTCGAGACCAGCCTGACCAACATGGAGAAACCCCGTCTCTACTAAAAATACAAAATTAGCCAGGCGTGGTGGCACATGCCTGTAATCCTAGCTACTTGGGAGGCTGAGGCAGGAGAATTGCTTGGACCTGGGAGGCGGAGGTTGTGGTGAGCCGAGATGAAGCCATTGCACTCCAGCCAGGGCAACAAGAGTGAAACTCCGTCTCAAAAAAGAAATCTGAATTTGATATCAAAGAACAAACAAACAGGAGAAGATTAGAAATTAACTGGATATTAAGTTATATGGGCTTTTCTGAGAACAGAGTAGTAAATATGGGCTTCAGTATTTGGGAATGCCAGAATAGTCATATTGGAGTTCACACCTTCAAAGTTAATAAAGATTGTGTCAGATTGTTTTATATAGAGAATGTTATGTGTCAAATTATTTTCCCAAAAATGATATGTTGAAGTCCTATCCCCCAGAACCTCAGAAAGTGACCTCCTTTGGAAATAGGGTCTTTGCAGATGTAATTAGTTAAGATTTGGTCATACTGGAGTCAGGTGGGCCCCTAATTCACTATTCCTGATGTCCTTATAAGAAGAGACACAGGGGAAGACCATATAAAGATGGAGGCAGAGATGGGACTGAGGCAGCCACAAGCCAAGCAATGTCAAAGACTAATGACCACCAACATCTGCTCAGAAGAGGCAAGAAAGGATTCTCTGCAAAGTTTTGGACAGAGAGGATATGCCTGGTTAACATGCTGGTTTCAGATGTCTACTGTCCAGAAGTGTGGGACAGACTGGGTATCTTATAATAAATTATTGTCATAAATATATTATAATAAATAAACAATAATAATTATTATTATAAGACACCCCATTAATAGAAGTGTCCATTATTAACAGGCACTGATACAATGAACTATCTAATTTATTATATAACAATTTATTATTGCATAACCAGAACTTAACATAAATATAATACATTTATAATACGTATAATAATTTATCAAATTAATATATTATTATAGGCCTAATAATAAATATTATAAGACAGCAGGCACTGATGGAATGAACTAATTTATTATATAATAATCTATTATTAAATAATAATTTATTATTAAATAATAATTTATTTTAAGACAAATATAGTAAATATAATATTGATTATAATAATTTATTACATTAATAAGCTATTATAGACAGATAATACTAAGTAAATTATTATTATGAGAAAGCAAGCATTGATGCAATGAACTGATTTATTATGTAATGTATTATAAATGTATATCTTTATATGATAGTTTATTATTATATATTAATAATTTATTTAAAGACAAATATAATAAATGTCATATTTATAATAAATTATTATTATAGACATATAATAAATAAATAAATAATAATTATTATTATAGGACAGCAGGCATTGATGCAATGAACTATTAATATCTAATTTATTATATAATAACTTATGATATAATAATAATTTATTTTAAGACACTTATATTAAAATATTTATTATTATATTAATTTATTATATTAATAGTAAGTGACTATTATGGACAGATATTACTAAGTAAATTATTATTATAAGAAGCAGCCATTGATGCAATGAACTAATTTATTATATAATAATTTACTATTATAAATATATTATATGAATTTATTATATAACTTATTATCTAAGTTTTTATGACAAATGTTATAATAAATGTTATATTCATAATAAATTATTATTATAGACATATAATAAATAAATTATTATTATAAGAGCAAGCATTAATGCAATGAACTCTCTTATTTATTATTATATAATAATTTATTTTAAGACACATATATTAAATGTAATAATACTTATTATACACATACAATAAATGTAATGTTTATTATAACATTTATTATATTATAATAAATTATTATAAACAGATAATAAATTATTATAAGACAGCAGATATTGATGCAATCAATGGTCTAATTTATTATACAATAATAATTTTTTATAGACACCCAGTCTGTGGTACTGTGTTATAGCAGCTGTGGAAAGCTAAGACAGAGGGTGAACATGAAAAGGATATTGTGTCAACAGATTCAGTTGACTGCAAATTTGAATTTCAGAAGCCTAAGATGTTATCTGCTCCCTATTTGGCCACCCAGACTTTCTGCATCCTGTAGTCTAGGAATAACATCTTTCTTCTTGGTCAAGCCTAGAGTTGCTTCGCTGAATAGATCTTACATGTCCAGCAAGGTGTCATTTTCCCACTTGCATTCCCCTAAATAAGTCAGGAACTCTGATAAGCAGCCATAGATTCCTTAGCATTTCATTGATGCTGATAAAAATGCCACTTCTCCATGACTTTTCTCTTTAGCATCTCAATCAGACTCTAGAGAGCCTGCAATTACTGTTGTAAAAGTTATTCCCTGCATCTTAGCCCACAGTTCAATGTGGCATCTTTGATTAAAGCGTCCCATCACCATCTAAAGCTATCAAATGGTACTTCAGAACAGTTACTTGAATTTTATATCTGTTTCAACTGAATCCATCCTCTTTCAAATTGTAATCAGGCATAGACTTGGCTGGGGGAAAAGTCATCTTAATGCCCACAATTATGTTGCTGAATGGAAAGCCCAATAATACCTGTGTCTCTGGAGGACATGGCCAGATATTTACTTCGTGGCATAAGCATAGGCATGAAATGCTTTTAGCTTTCATGTAGAGAAGGAGAGCTGATGGGAGAAGCTGAATATTTGCTTCACCTTGTTCCAATTCCTTGAATTCCACAATCATCACAAATGTATGCTTACTCTCCAATTTAAATACACTTTTTTTTCCCCATATGCTAAGCAATGGGTGTTGGACTCGTTTCCTAGGGTGAAAGCATAGGGCCAAATGAAGCTGTATATTCCCCAGGAGTAGTCAGGAAAGAAAAGACTCAGAAATGTTGTTAGGGGTTGAACTGGGTTTCCCAGAAATCTATTTTCCAGTCCTAATGTCACGGGATCTTTGGGGTGTTGCTTCACCAGCCGGAAACCTCTGTGGCCATTGATGCCTTCTACCTGAGTATTGCTCACACCCACTGGCCTCATTCTGCCCACTTGGCCCAGCAGGGTGTGCTCAGTTGGCACTACCAGCCTGGATCCCACACCTGCAAAGGACGAGCCACTAGCACAGTGGCAAGGGGTGTGTGGGAGAGCAAGCACGAGTTCCAGCCACTGCACACAGCTAGCCATGCCAGGGTGGGAAGTTCCAGGCGCTGGCACAGGTGCTGGCTCCATGTGAGGCTGCAGCTACAGCAGATGTACTGTATGAGGCTTCCACTGTAAGCACCCACATCTAGATGAGGATAAGGGGAACTTGGTGGTTCCCAGAAGCTTGGAGGTGCCAGGAACCACAGAGCCCCAAAGAAAGTGTCACAGCCCTGGATCAGGGAACCCCTAGGTCTGGGCTCCCTGAAGAGCTGCAGTTCTTCTCTCTTTCTCGTCACCCACAATGTGGCAAGCAGTGGGGCGTGCTTCAATTCTGTTTGTGTTACAGCTCTTTCAGTCCCACCATTTGGCACATCCTGAGTTCCTGTCCTGCGTCCAGGAAGAATGAGGGACATGAACATGAGCAAAGCAGAGAGGAGCCTCATTGAGTGACAGAACAGATCTCAGGTGACCCAAAGTGATAGCTCCTTTCCACAGGCAAGTTGTCCTGATGAGTGTCCAGCTCTCAGTGGAGAGGAGACTCACAGTGGGCAGCTCCTTCCCACAGCTGGTAGTCTCGGTGTCTCTTCAAGTCTGGCTGAGTCTGGGGTTTTTATGCGCTCAGAAGGGAGAAAGTGCATGCTGATTGGTCCATGGGTGGCCATGGGTGGGCCCAGAAACAGCACTCCACCTGGAACTCCGGTCTACAGACTCCACCTGGAACTGACAGCCTGGACCCCATGCTTCAGGCTGTCTCTGGCTTGAAGGTGGGGCTTCACTGAGGACCCACCCCTTTCCACCCAGGAGCCTGTCTGTGTCCAGCCACTATCAGTCATGTTGTCCCTGGTGCCCAGGCAGTTCATGCCGAAGGGCACATGCAGGCCCACCCTGAGCCACCCTCAGCCCCTTCCTTGGCCTCCCTCTCATGCTCATCGGTGCCCAAAGTTCAGAAGTGGCTGAAGCAGCAAGAGGCTGGCATGTCAGCACTGCCCTGAGCATGCACACACCTGGCCGGTTTGTGACAGTGCCCAGGCTTGGCCTCAACTTTGCTCCAAAATCAGAGTGGATTCCAGGAGTGGGGAGAGGCCAAGCAGTGGGAGCAGGCACTTCTGAGCCTGCAGGGCTACAGGAGACTTCCTGGGCCCCTGAGAGTGCAAGGATGATCAGGTCCACAGCTGCAACTAGGCGGCTGCAGCTGCTCCCAGGAGGGTGGCTCTCCCACCCCACCAACTCGGAGGGAGGAAGGGCTCCCACTTGTTCCTGGCTTCTGCCAGCTCAGTGGAGCATACAGCCCTGGCGGTGCCACCACTGCTGCAGTCAGCATCTTTATAGCGGCCTCTCCAGATGGGCTGCCGCTGCCATCACTAACATGCAATAATTCAGAAAATGACCTTATTTGAAATTAGAGTGGTATGGTTTCACTCTGTGTCCCTGCCCATATCTCATGTTGAATTGTAACCCCCACTGTTGGAAATAGGGCCTGGTGGGAGGTGATTGGATCATGGGGGCAGATTTCTCATAAATGGCTTAGCACCAATCCCCCCCACACCAGTACTGTATAGTGAGTGAGTTCTCATGAGACCTGGTTATTTAGAAGCGTGTGGCACCTCCCTCATCTCTCTCTCTTTGTCCTGCTCGTGCCATGTGAGACGCCTGCTCTCACTTTTGCCTTCCTCCATAAATAAAAGCTCCCTGAGGCCTCCCCAGAAGGAGATGATGTCATGCTTCCTGTACAGCCTGCAGAACCCTGAGACACTTAAACCTCTTTTCTGCTTAAATTACCCAGTCTCAGGTATTTCTTTATAGCAATGTGAAAACGGATTAATACATAGGGGCTTTGCAGATGTAGTCAAGTTAAAGTGAGTTCATACTGGATTAAAGTGGCCAGGCATTGAATGACTGGTGTCTTTATGAGAAAAGGAAAAATTGGATATACAGACACTCAGTAAGTACACCATGCAATGAGGGAGGCAGATACAGGAGAGATCCGGCCACAAGCCAAGGAATGCCAAGAACCACTAGCCATCACCATAAATTGAGAAGGAGGCACAGAACAGTTTCTCCCTTCAAGCTTTCAAAAGGAACCAATCATGCTGTGACACTGATCTTGAATTTCTGGCCTACAGAACTGTGAGAGAGAAAGAAAGAATCTTGTTTAAACCACACTGTTTGAGGTCATTTGTTATGGCAGTTTCAGGAAACTAATAGAGCAGGGATTAGCTTTTCAAAATAGTACCCATTGTCCAAATGTGACTATTGATCCCTTGAAATACAGATAGTGTGACTGAGAAACTAGAGTTTTAAATTTGATTTAATTTTATTTCATGGTAGAATAGTCACTTGTGACTATCGGATGCCATATAGGACAGTCTAGTTCTAAAACAATTATTCAAGTTGGCTGGTAGTATGTTCTCCCAAAGTCAGTGAATCATCTAGTGTTTGTAAATGCCCTTCACATCCATGGATGGTGAGCTGGAAATGCTGTAAACAAACATTTAATAATGTAGATTTATGTGACTGAAAATAAAGTGCTCTTATTTCAGAATCATTGTTCACAGAAAACAAAACAAAGAAACAAAACAATGATGTATGTATGTGTGTTTAAAAGATGAAACATTCTAAAGAGAAAATCATGGAAGCCTTTTTTCTCAGGTGCAGAGTATAGCAATGAAATGGATTGAAATGTCTCGCAGGTAAGAAGTCATAAATATGGGCTCCATAGATGCAGTAACAAACAGCCTAACATTCCTGCCTAACCTGAGTGTTATTAAGAATAAACAGAAAACACAAACATAAATGCCAGGTCTTGTTTTAGAACATTCTGAGGATTGCGATATATATGACCTTGCGTATGTCCCTCCCTGCAATTACCACTCTAGACTTCTGCTGTTTAAATTTCTTCCTTTCATAACTTCTCCCCTCCAAAATCCTCAAAAGTTAGCTAGCCTACTAGCCCTTTTGGAATTATTTCAATTATTTCTAGAAGCAGTTTATAAAAGGCCCTTTCAAGTCTTTAAAATTAGCATGAGAAAATTTAAAGATCTTTGTAAGGCTTAAGTAAGTAATTTAAAAGATGCTTTCATTATGTGTCTAATAGTAAATGTTAACATGAGAACACCTTTGGATTTCTGATGTTTGGATTCATTGTAATGCAGAGTTCACACCAAAACAGATCTGAAAAGTAACCAACACAGCAGGCTTTGATGCAATGAACTATCTAACATAAACAAAATGGAATGTACAATTCTGGTTAAAAAAAAAATAAGACTTCTTTTTTGTAGTTTCATTTATTCTGATTAGGTGTCTAAATCTTTTAACTTAATGGTAAAATGGGTCTACTTCTCTTGATCGAGGGTCAGATCTCCTTGGGGAAGCCATGTCGAACCTCATCTAAGTGTCCATTATTCTTTCAGCTGCTCAGTTTGCAAATGGCTAATGAAATACTGTAGGAAAGGAGGGTTCGACTTTTCAAAATGGTTCAGATACGAGAAAGAAAAACGTTTAATTGATACGTATATAATAAAGGGGGAAAATGAAGAATCAGACACATTTGGGAAGGCAAAAATGTAGGTTCCTTCGGAAGAGACTCACACACACACACACACACACATGCCTTAAGAGAATTTATTTTTTATTTATTTTTATTTTTAATAGGAGAAAAGGCATGCAAATTTATTCAACGTGTATATATGGGAGTTCTCAGAAAAGGAGAATTTATTTACTTATTTATTGTGATAAATGGTTGGTTTCTTGAATAGAAAAAGATTTATAGTGGGCTTGTAGAGAGACCTGAATTAGTACTACAGCAATTTATTCTATCATCGAACCTTTATGAATAATGTATAAAGGGACTCATGGGCAACCTGGAGACTTGTCTTCATTGTCCTAACACAGCTAAAGAAGACAAACCCTAGGAAACTCAAGACACATTAGATTCCACAGCCAGCATCAGATGGGCTTCAACTGCAAGAACTGGAAAACTCTCTCATCTGCATGGGGAGAAAAGGCATTTGAAGACATATGTTGGGACAGTCATCAATATTCTTGAAACTAGTCTGTGTGTGTTAAGTCACGTATCACACTTTAAATGTTATTCTCAGTCCACCCCCATTAAAATGTGTGTTTCCTACCTCAAATCCAATCATCAAAGATAGATGAATGAGAAAAAATGAGAAGGGGGCCGCCACATTTTTACAGTAATAACAGTGGTGATGACAGCCCTTTGAACTTCACATTTATGGACTGAATGCTTTAAAGTTAAAAAATGTTTTTAAAAAACTTCTTGTAAAAAAAAGTTTTTAAAAAATTGTTAAATGTTTTTCTTAAAAAAGCATCTCCATTGAAAGTTTATTGTGAGTTCTACTAAAAAGGGGTGAAATTATTGTCTTTAATTTTTCTCAGAAAGATATGTATATGTGTGTATGTGTGATTTTATAATATATTGATAGCATGGTAATTTTCTTTGTAGACAAGCCTATTTTAAATAAATATATGTATGTATAAACACACACATATACAGCTATATGTAAACAAACCCAAAGATATATAAATTAAATATATAGAAATAGTCTGAATATTTCGTTTCTCCCCTGTTAAGGACACACTTCCTCTGTCTCCCCTGTTAAGAACACATTTCCTCTGTCTCCCCTGAACCCTCAGGGGAACACAATTTTTGTTCCTCCTATGTGCAGGACACACTTCGGGTTTCTCCCTTTTTAAGGACACACTTCTTGTTTCTCCCCTAGGCAGAACACACTGCCTTTGTAGCCCCTGTGGGTAACACACTTGCAGTTTCTCCCCTATGCAACACACATTTTCTCTTCCTCCCCTGTGCTGGACACACTTCCTGTTTATCCCCTGTGCAGGACACACTTCTTGTGTCTCTGTAGTGCAGGAAACACTTCCTCTTTCTTCCTTGAAGAGGCCACACTTCCTGTTCTTCCACTGTTATGGACATACTTTCTGTTTCTCGCATGTGCCTGACACACTTCCTGTTTCTCCCCTCTGCAGGACACACCCTAGGCTTATTCAATAAAGATCAGTTAAGTGGTTTCTCTAACAACGCTAATGTGTTCATTCACTAGTAAATTAAGGACTATTCTTTTGTCTTCCTTCTACTGAATTTGTTGTCAAGGAGTTAAATGGCTATCTCTATTTAGATATCTGAAATCCATTTATAAAGTATATTACTGACTCCACTAGAGAAAGCTGCATAGAGTGACTGAGTTTAGTAAACAAGGGTTTGAAAACTAATCATGTTTCTGTTGAAGGCCAACACAAGGGTAATAAACTTTCAAGCAGAAGGTCTATAACAGATTATCATGGAACCAATGAGCCATCATTTCGCCAGCCTTGGAGGTGAAGGCAATGTTTTCACCACTTATTTAAGCATCGGTTGGTCACTGATAGAAACCAGAAGCCAATTAGAATGACTCAGAGATGAAGTACATCAAAGCTATACTGCTTTCTTGACTGATTCTTCATTTTTATCATGTCCTTGAGTGAGTTCCACAAGGTATGAATTTCCCTTGGCTTCATAAGCAAACTCCAAATTCAAACAGAATTTAGAACAATAGCACTACATGATATATGAAACCAACTAAACCACTTTGGTTAAAGTATAATATCTCCATAACAGCACTTAACTACATTCACTCGGTAAACTCACCATGAAATACTGAACAATAAAGTCCAAAAGTAATCATTGCTTCTGTATTTTATTATAGACAAGCCAGTAATTCTATAAGATAAATTGATTGCAGGATAGGTAAGAGAAAAATTAAAGATAGCAAATATTCTTATCTTTCTTAGTCCAAATGCAACATATCAAACCTAAGGACTTCATGTTCCCGCTGGATTAGACTTATAATCTTGGGCCACTTGCATTGATAGAAGTGGTGATCAGGATTGCATTGTGCCATCAGAACTTCATTTTGGAAACTAAGAAGCTGAGTGGTTTAGAAAAATTATACAACACACCAAAGTTCACTCAACAACTACAGGTAAGAAGAACAATACAAATATGCTTAACCGTATGGTACCATAGTCCATGGAAACTATTATTGTAAAATGCATCTAAACAGGATGACCCTTAAAATCTAGTAAGTACAGCCTTTATTTTGTTCTTCTTAAGGAAAAAAACACACCAAAGAAATCTATATTATTGATCCCTTAGAATAAACTGAAAGCAAATATTTATTTTATTTATTTATTTTGAGATGGAATCTTGCTCTGTTGCCCAGGCTGGAGTACAATGGCATGATCTTGGCTCACTGCAGTCTCCACCTCCTGGGTTCAAGCAATTCTCTGCCTCAGCCTTCCGAGTAGCTGGAATTACAGACACCCACCACCATGCCTGGCTAATTTTTTTGTATTCATAGAGAGTGGGTCGGTTGCAAATGTTGTAAGAAGCACAAAAATTGACCATCACACCAGGCACATAGCAAAATGACACAGTTGACTTAAATAAGCCTTTGAGATACAGATATTTACATAATGTGAGGGAAAACATGCAGAAATCATTTGGATAAATTATATCCAAAAGTAGTTAAAGCTTCAAGGAGCAACACAGCTGTAACCTTTGAGGTCATTTTATTTTCCTACCTGTCACTAACCATTTGCAACTTATTAGACTTCTACAAGTTAATGCGTGACTTCTCATAGTCTAAGCCTTAATTCATAATTAGTGAGTCAAAGAAAATTACCTTCATTTCAATAACTAAAAACAAAATTGGTGGCCCCATTAAATCAATGTTCCTATATATCGCTGAAGAGATATGCAGTCATTCTTTGGACCTGTTTCCATGTAGGAATTTTTTTTTCTATATACCTACATCTTTATGATATTGATTCACAAGAGGATGAAAGTAAATTTCAGCATAGCTTAAAAGTCAGGATCCTTATAGATTTATCTTTATTGTCAGAGTATTGAGAACCTCATAGTTTTTTGATACTCTTTATTAGAGGAAAACAGACCAGCCACATATGAGTAAATAATTTAGGGGGTTTTTGCATGGATATTCGGAATATTCTTGACTGAATGGTTGCAATGAAACTATACGCAAGTGAACAATGTGAATTTAACACCCCCAAAATCTAAATACATTGTAAAGTACAACTTAAGTATCCACTTACTTCATTTTAGGGAAGATGTCCTTTTTTGAAATCTATGATCTACTACTGGCAGCTAAACCTGTTAGATTGCTATCACTTCTTTACATACCCTTTTAACATTCAGTTCAGAGTCAGTTTCATACATTCATAAGTTGAATTATGAAAGTCATCATTTTGTTTGTGACTCCAGGCTGCACCTGGAAATGACCTATGTACTTTATGTCCCAATATGTAGAAAATAATCATTAGATATAATCCTTTTGTTTCACACTTTTCAAAAAACCTGTTGAAAAAAAACCACATCAAGCATTAAAGCTTACAGAAAATAATATTTCTTGAAAGAGCTGTGTTTGGAAGATGGAGCAATCGTGCTGATAATAGAAACAGCTGATTAAAAATGTGGCCAATCATGAAATGGTTTTATCATTATTCATTGAATTTTTATTCACTATTGAAAAGAGAGACATCAGCCTAAGCAACATAGTGAGACCCCTTCTTTACACACACAAAAACTATCCGGGTGTGGTGCCATGCACCTGCAGTGAGCTATGATTGCACCACTGCACTCCAGCCTGGACAACAGAGAAAGACACTGTCTCTTTCAAAATAAAAAGAAAAAAAAGGAAAAAGAGGGACATCAATTTATTATAGTTTATAATATAAATTATTAATTTAATTCTTCATTAAAATTTTAATGTGTATAATTTATAAGTATTAAGATTATTAATATTCTATACATAATATATTTGTTATCACATAATAAATAAATATATCACATAAAATGGACTTACATTATTTTGGAACTATGGTGGCCTCAGAATTCATTCAAAGTTTTATTGATGTATATCAGCCCTATGAAATTAAGAGACCATTTTTATGTTTTTGTGGTTTGTTAATTACAGCCATGAAAATTACATACTAATTTCTTCACTCTACCCCTCAATATCAGGTTGTAGAACTGGGATTACATTGGTTAATATCCATGGTAGGCCATGGTGTTGAGCAATTTTCCAGAATCATTCCAGTGAATCCTCAGTTAATAAATCAATTGGCATACCCTCCCCATTTTACAGATGAAAGACTGAGGCATAAAAGATTAAGTAACGGCTCAGAGCCACATGGACAGTTCATGGTGGGAGAGATACATCTAGGCAGTCTGACTCCAAAAAATGACAAATAACTAAACAAAACGAGACTCAAGGAGCTTTGAGGCTGATGGAGCAGATAGGGATTTGAAATGGAGCAAGCAGATGGAATTAAAAGAAAATTGGCGAGAGGCATCTGAAATGCAAGATGCTGTGGATGAAGAAGAGGGAGTGGGCAAACAGAGTGAATTGGTCTAGGCTGGCTGAGCAGTCACCGAAAGGATGAATGGGAGCCACCGGGGGTAGCAAAGGCCTAGGGGATGTGCAAGGAATGTTAGATAACCCAAAAGACAGCAGGTGCAAAAGGAAAGTAGCTGCAGAGAAACAAAGATCCTTGTAGTTATCATGGGGCTTCTCGTGTTCTACTCAGGCTAGGGGGTCTCTTTCTTAGGATAGGGGGTCTCTTTCTTAGGATAGGGTTTAAGCTGGAAGAAGTCGGTGGCAATTTACATTTGAATAAGTCCCTTCTGGTCCAAAAGCGGAATTTGCTTTACAGATGGCGACAAGCGTGCAAAGATTGTTTCAGAAAACAACGCCCAGCTGTAGGAGACATACCATGAAGCAAACCCCAGGAATAAGCCAATGGACATTGTTTTCAATGATTAAATCCTGCCCCTTTTAAACCTCAGGCATTGAGACTATATTGCTCCTGGACTTGATTTAAACTCTAAAAGCAGGTGGAAGGAAACGAAAAACTGGCAAGATATTTTTAAAATGATAGACCTTCCTTGTGGAAACATGTGTCTACCAAGCGGTAGTAAATATCTTGCTTTGTCATGTCAAAGGGTGAGTTGTCTGTGGAGTGTCTGTTGCTCATAAAGCTGTTTGTGCCTCAGGACTGGCCAGAGGCAAGACTCAAGTTTCTGTGACAGGTGTCTATGGGGTGTACGTTGATGTTGCCAGGGTAGCATTACAGGAGAGGAAACTTTCTATGGAACAGAGCACCCACATGTGAGCACGCACTTTGATCACCTGCAAAGACGCAAAACTCGAGTAAGCAAAGAAAGGTTGTGAGGCTATACAAGGAATTCTCAAACACCTTTATGTTGATTTTTGAGGTAAATAAAACATTACAAAGTACCATCTTTCATATTCCAGACTCTTCTAGATATAAGAAAAAGGTTGACGCTTTCCCTGAGGCTGTTTCTTTTTTTCTTCTTGTAAACATATAATAGCTATGCCAAATATTTTGTTCTCATAGTCTTTGTCTCTTGCTCCGTGTAAACATCTGTTCTTCCTTCTTGCTGGTAATTGTTTGGGGAAACCACTTCTTTATAGTCCATTCTCAGCCACCTTTCAAAGTCAATCTACTCTAGATATAACACCTTCTGTAAGTCCTTGGCAATAGAGACATTAGCTTGAGCTTTAGTTCACTTTGTTTCCTTTTACCTTTGGAAATTTTCCCAAATTTCAACTTTCTTTTGACCTCCCACCCAGACCTGCTTATGATCAAGAAACAGACTCCTCTTCACCTCTAGAGATGTGGAGGCAGGCACGGGAGGTAAAGAGACTTTTTCTTCCTCTCCTTCCGTCTCAAAATGTCCTGCCCACTTATTACCTCAGCGCTCGCCTTCTATCAAAAAGAATGCCATTCAATGAGCTCTCTCTGAGGACCCCCTGAAAACAGGCTCAGAGACGTCTCTGCTCTGCAGGCCGTTTTAGCAGGTCCTGAATTTGTGCTCTCTAGACAGTAGATACAGAGAGAAACAACAATGCCGACAGATAAGCCATTTCATTCACAAAACCCAGCTGTCACTTGCCCTCCCAAGAGATGTCATGCCTTCCCAACATCACCTCCTTCATCTCAGTAAAAGAAAATCCAATCCAACTGTCTTCAGTTAAGAAACTTCTGTGTTTTCTTTTTCTTCTTCTTTTCTTAGGTATGTGGTCAGGCACGTTCATGAGTCCATGCATATTTTAAACCTTTACTAATCTGAATTGTCTACTTATTCCATGTAAGTGAAGTGTTGTACAGGCGGAAAAATCTAGTCACTATTGTATACCTAGGGGAAAATCTTAGGTGAAGTCCCTCAAGGAATCTGGAAATATCCATTTCATATAGTAACACATAAGGCTGCTTTTCAAAGGAAGTCAGTATGCCCAAATGGTATAAGCCCTTGAGTGTAACTGAAAATCTCTACCACTCTTAGGAAGAAAAAGTATCATTTTATTATAAAGTAAAACTAACTACATGACTTCACCATAAATTCATTATCAACAAAATTATATAATTAATTTTGTTGTTTCTGACTTGTTCTTATTTATTATTGATGTATTTTTTAATTTTAGATTCAGAGGATACCTGTGCAGGTGTGTTACAAGAGTATATTGCATAATGCTGAGATTTAGCCTTCTGTTGATCCCGTCACCCAAATAATGAACGTGGTACTGCATAGAAAATTTTTCAGTCCTTGCCCCCTTTCCAATAGGAAATTTTTCAGTTCCCAGTGTGTGTTATTTCTGTATTTATGTTCCCATGTACCCAATGTTCATCTCCCTCATAAGTGAGAACACCCAGTATTTGGTTTTCTCTTTCTGTGTTAATTACCTCCGCGTTTTCTTAATTTCTTTTCTCTTGAAAATATTTTAGCACCTAAAATTCAATGGTACTCACTGAGAGACTTTGCATGAAGTTGCTGAAGTAAGAGATTTGAAAATGCAAACAAATGAATTAGTTATTTTTTATTTACTTAGAAAAGGAAGCAGCCAGAGGGTATTAATAGAGCAGTTGTCATAAAAAGTAACCATTACTCTTATGCCACGTGTTGTTATGGCAAAGTTGAGATTCTAAGTGTGTTACTAAAGCAGATCAAAAACTTCCCATAATACTTAGATGTTTGTTTACATCATTATCCTTCAAGGCTTATTTACCTATAAATTGTTATAATATTTATAATAGAAAGCTTCATTTGTTAGAATGCTCACTCTAGAAAATGTTCACTCTGCATCTAAATTTGGAAACCATATGTTTCTTGAAGCTGGAAGTTGCTCACTTACCTTGTGATAATTCACTGTTGACTGTGACCTCATAGACCTGAAAATGATTGGTCAAAGAAGGATGAAAGGCTGGGCACAGTGGCTCACGCCTGTAATCCCAGCACTTTGGGAGGCCGAGGCAGGCAGATCACGAGGTCAAGAGATCGAGACCATCCTGGCCAACATGGTGAAACCTCCTCTCTACTAAAAATACAAAAATTAGCTGGGCGTGGTGGCATGCACCTGTAGTCCCAGCTACTCAGGAGGCCGAGGCAGGAGAATCGCTTGAACCTGGGAGGTGGAGGTTGCAGAGAGCCGAGATCGCGCCACTGCACTCCAGCCTGGGTGACAGAGTCAGACTCCATCTCAAAAAAAAAAAAAAAAAGAAGACGATGACGAAAAAAAAAGAAAAAAGAGAAGGATAGAAGTCTTTGTAAATTCTCTAGGAGTAAGGAAAATAAATACAATTTCAAGTAAAACAAGTCATTGATTCTGAGAGATTAAAGCATGCTGCACAGACTTGCACAGACTTGTTTTTTATATGACTGAAAGCTCATCAACCAGCATTATTTTAAAATTAGAGAAATTGATTCACAATAGTAAAAATATGTAATCAACCTAGGTGCCCATCAACAGTGGATTGGATAAAGAAAATGTGGCACATATACACCATGGAATACTATGCAGCCATAAAAAGGAATAAAATTATGTCCTTTGCAGCAACACAGATGGAGCTAGAGGCCATTATCCTAAGCAAATTAATGCAGAAACAGAAAATCAAATACCACGTGTTCTCACTTATAAGTGAGAGCTAAACATTAAGTACTTATGGACGTAAAGATGGAGACAATAGAAACTGCAGGGTGGGGGCCAAGGGCTGAAAAACTAACTATTGGCCACTCTGCTCAGTACAATTGTACCCAAAACCTCAGCATCATGTAACATATTTATGTGACAAACCTGGGGTAATTCATGTACCCCCTGAATCTAAAACAAAAGTTGAAAAAAAATGGAAAAACTGATGCAGAGAGTTTGATTATTAAAATGTTCTTCCATAAACGAGTTACTTATGCAGCCACCTGTCAAAATTGTATTATGCCTTCTCTTCAATTATATATCACCTTCTGTTTATTTGTATGGTAATTACATAACTAAAAACTCACCAAATATGTTGTTTAAAAGTATGTAGCTTTTGTTCCCTGTATCCATCTTCAATGTACAAATATACTGAGGTTTGGTCTCTGAGCACATTTATAACCTAATGTTTTGCCAAGATAAAAGCCAATCAGAAGGTTTAAATCTCTTTGATCTTTGTTTCCCCTTGAAATCCATATTGGTGGCCCATATGATTCCATTGCCAACAACATTGGAAAGTCAGCTACCCCTTCCACCTTCATGAGATTTCCCCAAAAGCCCCAGATGGTTGGATTTACAGGTCTCAAGTTCTGTCAGGAATCCTGGACTCCAGAAGCTTCAGACAACTTTCAGATGGAGTTTTCACTCAATGTGGGATGACACATGTTGAGGGTCAAACCAACTTAGCATTTTCCTGAATCACACAGGGAAGAAGATTTCTAAACTCTGATGAAAGCTTTCTCCATTCCTGCTTTCAGTTTCTCTTCTTAGATACTCGTAGTAAGTTTCCCATCTCCATTCAGGGTTCTTAGTTAATTAAAACCCAAACTCCATCCTGACATTCTTCTGAATGTTTGCATGGTCACTTAAGTTCAGCTTCAGGAATTACAACTGGGGTAACCTTGGCTGGGAGAAAGGAAGTGAGAATTCTGGAACATCAGCTAATTTTGAATTGAATTGTTAAACCAATGGTGTCTCTTTATAGTATCTAATTAAATATTTTATGATGAAATATTTTTATTTATGATAACACAAATTCTCTAATGAAAAAAGGATAATGTATCCGAATTACTGTCCCAAACAGTAATTATGTTTGTCGAGTTGGGTATAAATGTCTTTTTTCCAAGCACCTTCTAAGTAATCATGCAGAACCTACTATATTTTTCAGTTATATCACTGAGGCACAATCAACTGGATGGGTGTTTAAAGTCTGCACTTCAATACATTTTGACACTTCACCACTATCAATAAAATAAACATATCCATTAATTCCCCAAATTTTCTTATGTTCCCTTGAAATTTTTCCCTCTCCCTTTTCCGTCTTCAAACACAGGCAACACTGATGTGCTTCCTGTCACTACAGATTTTACTTTCTAGAATTTTACATAAATGCCATGATGTGTTATACATTCTTTTTTATTTTCTTGCGTTAGTCAATAAAATTATTTCAAGGTTCATTGGTGTTGTTTTATGTATCAATAGTTTATTCTTTTTAATTTCTGGACTGTATTTCACTGTATGTACTCATGAAAATTTGTTTATCCATTCAACTCTTGATGGAGGTTCAGTTTGTCTCCAGATTTTTGCTAATAAAAATAAAGCTGTTATTTACATTTGTATACGTGCCTTTGTTTGGGTAAGTGCTTCTATATATTTTGGATAAATACCCATGATTAAAATGTCTGAGTTATAAATCAGGTATATCATTAACTTTTAAAGTAACAGTCCCCAATCTTTTTGGCACCAGGGACTGGTTTTGTGGAAGACAATTTTTCCATGGACAAGGGTAGGGAGAGGAGGGGGATGGTTTCAGGAGGATTCAAGCACATTACATTGATTGTGTACTTTAGTTCTATGATTACTACATTGTAATATAGAATGAAATAATTCTACAACTCACTATAATGTAGAATCAGTGGGAGCCCTGAGCTTGTTTTCCTGCAACTAGATGGTTCCATCTCTGGGTGATGGGAGACAGTCACAGATCATCAGGAATTAGATTCTCATAAGGAGCACACAACCTAGATCCTTCACAGGTGCAGTTCACAATAGGGCTCATGCTCCTTTGAGAATCTAATGCTGCTGCTGATCTGACAGGAGGTGGAGCTCAGGAAGTAATGTGAGCAATGGGGAGTGGCTGTAAATATAGATGAAGCTCTGCTCATTCACCAGTCGCTCACCTGCTGTGTGGCTGAGTTCCTAACAGGCCAAGGACTGGTACTGGCTGGGGGATGGAGGACCCCTGTTTTAAAGAAGCTAAAATTGTTTTCCAAAGTTGTTTCACTGCTTTACATTCTTATCAAGGATGCGTGAGTGTTCAAGTTCCTCCATATCTTCACAAACTTGCTATAATCAGACTTTTTTCTTAAAAAGTAAAATATATGTATAGTGGTATTTCATGTGGTTTCAACAGAATTTCCCTAATGACTATGATGTTCAGAATCTTTTCTTGTGCTTATTTTCCATTAGCATAACTTTCCTGTGTCTGCTCAAATGCTTTAACCAACTTTTTAATTGGGTTGCTTATTTTCTTATTATTTTTCTAGAGTTATTTATATATTCTGTATAAAAATCTTTCATCACATGTGATTTTCCTATATTTTCTCTCAACCTGTAGCATGTGCTTTCATTGTCTTAACAGTGTCTTACAAAAAAAGTAGACGTTTTTCACTTTGTTAAAATCTAATGATCAATTTTGCTAGATGGAATGTTCTACAAATGTCTACTTGCAAGTGAGTTTCTTGGAGGCAGCATAGAGTTGAGTCATGTATATTTTATTCAACATGACCATCTCTGAATTTCAATTTGGGCATTTGGTTCATTTACATTTAATGTGACTATTGATATGGTTGTGTTTCAAACTGCCATCTTGTTATTTATTTTTTATTTGTCCCATCTGTTCATGGTTTATTTTCTCTCTCTTTTTCTGCCTTCCTTTGGATTCGGTGTTTTTATGATTCCATTCTGGTTAATTGTGTTGGTTTATTGGTTTTAATTATTTTCTGTATTACTATTGTGACTGCTTTAGAGTTTACGGGTACACTTTTTTTTTTCTTATCACAGTCTAGTTTCAAATGATATCATACTACTTCACTTTTAGTATCAGAAGCTCAAAACTTCTGATACTAAAACAAAAACTGTTTTTCAGTTATTCCCTTCTGGTCTTTGTGCAACTGTTGCCATCCTATCTGTTTAGTTATGTAGTTATACCTTGAGGTGGTGGTGGTGGTGGAATAAATTCATCTCATTACTCCTTCATGGAAAAAGTGAAAGTCCACATCCAAATTTTTATTTTATATTTGTTTTCTGCTGTTTGAGGAACGGCACCAGAAGCTATTAAGATATTATCTTTCCATGGTCTCCTACTCATAGTATCTGGAAAGGTATGGAAATAAAGAGTATCAGATGTAATAATAAACTAGAGATTTTCTTGGACAAGCTATTTGGAATTTTTATTTTGCATCTTAATGTATGTAAAATAAAGTTCCACATAAACTAGTGATAACCTTTATTCACCAAACATCTATAAATATGCAAGAAAATGGGAAATATATATTATCTTATGTAAGCATTCTTTATCACCACCACTTTTAATGAATTTTGTTATTTATAATTTTCTTTTATTTGGGATACAAATTTTGCCTGTAACTGATATACATAGATAGGGAGATAGATAGATGATAGATAAATAGATAGATAGATAGATACATAGATAGATAGACAGATAGGCAGACAGATAGATGATAGATAGATGACAGACAGGTAAGATAGATGATTGATTGATATATTTTTTTCTAAGAAATAGATACAAGAATTAATACTAAGGGTTAGAAATTATTATTTTTTTATTTTCTTTTCCCCTCTGCCTCAACCAAGCACATGCAAAAACTCAAAGCAAGACTATATAAAAGAAAATAAGATAAGAGTGGTACAGATATAGCGAACTTGAGTAGTGTTTTCGAAGGTTCAGTGGTCTACAAGATATTGAGAAAGAAATCCACAAAATTCAGAGGCATACAAATTAAGATAGCCACATTTAGCAGGATTTGTCAAACATCCTAATGGTAGAAGTGTTTTTTTTTTGCTTCCCAACATCTTGTAGTAATTTCTGGAAACCCATCTGAGCCACCATGCATGGTCTTACATAGACTATTAAAAACAGACAGCCAGAGTAACTAAAAAAGTGATAAAGAACAGTGTTGGTAGTGAGAAACAGCACAAGAGATACACCCTCCAGTGGATAAAGCAGAGAGCAAGAAGGCATGGGTGGGGAGAAGAGAGAAGATGGAAAATGAAGTTGCCTTTAGGAAAATGGGTCTGACTCGGCTGACTCAGGAACCTTCTTCTTGCCTTTGAGGAACCCCCTCTCAATGGTCTTAGATGACCATGGATGCCAGGGCAATGTCCTCACCAAGTCCAACGTAGAACAGGGAGGGAAAGACACATAGTGAGGTGATAGGGCTCAGAATGAGTGGTATTTGAAAGCTTAACTAAAATGTTGGGCACCAAGTGCATGCCTTAGCAATGGGGATGTTTCTGCCAGTTCTGGTTATAGCACAGATTGGACTTGTACCCAACAATCAGATGGTCATGTGATCCCTGAAAATCTGAGACAGGTCTCAGTTAATTTAGAAAGCTTATTTTGCCACAGTTGAGGAAGCGTGCCTGTGACACAGCCTCAGGAAGTCCTGACAACATGTGCCCAAGGTGGTCAGGGCACAGCTTGGTTTTATACATTTTAGGGAGACAGGAGATATCAATCAATGCATGTAAGAAGTACATTAGTTCTGTCCAGAAAGGTGGGGACAACTCAAAGCAGAAGGGGGCTTCCAGGTCACAGGTAGGTGAGAGACAAATGGTTGCATTCTTTTGACAATTCCTGGGTCTCTCCTATGCATGACAAACTTCCTGTTTCTTCCCTGAGCAGGACGCACTTCCTGTTTCTCCTCTGTGTATGACACACTTCCTGTTTTTCCCTGTGTAAGACACACTTCCTGTACCTCCCTGTGAATGACACCTTTCCTGTTTCTTCTTAGTGTAGCACTCACCCGTTTCTCCTCTGTGCATGACACACTTCCTGTCTCTACACTGTGCAGAACACACTTCCTGTTTCTTTCCTGTGAAGGACACACCTCCTGCTTTTCCTGCGCAAGACACACATTCCGTTCCTTTTCTGAGCAAGACACACTTCCTGTTTCTCCTCTGTGCATGACACACTTCCTGTTTCTTTCCTGGACAAAACACACTTCCTGTGCCTCCCCTGTGAATTACACCCTTCGTGTTTCTCCTCTGTTTAGTACACACTTTCTCTTCCTCCTCTGTGCATGACACACTTCCTGTTTCACTTCTGTGCATGACACACTTCCTGGTTCTTCTCTGTGCAAGACAGACTTCTTGTGCCTCCCCTGTGAAAGATACCCTTCCTGTTTCTTCTCAGTGTAGCACACACTTTTTGTTACTCCTCTGTGCATGACACACTTCCTGTGTATCTCCTGTGCATGACACATTTCCAGTTTCTTCCGTGTGGGGGACTGACTTTTTCTTTCTTTTCTGTGTAGCACATACTTTCCATTCCTCTTCTGTACATGACACATTTTCTGTTTACTCCGATGTGCATGACACACTTCCTGTTTTTTCCATGTGGAGGACATACTTCCTGTTTCTTCCCTGTGCAGTACACACTTTCTGTTCTTCCGGTATGCAGGACACACTTCCTGTTTCTCCCCTGTGCAGAACACACTTCCTGTTTTTTTTCCAGTGCAGGACACACTTTCTGTTCCTCCTCTGTGCGTGACACACTTCCTGTTTCTCCGCTGTGAAGGACACACTTCCTTTGTCTCTCCTGTGCATGACATCCTTCCTGTTTCTCCCCTGTGTAGCACATGCTTTCCATTCCTCCTCTGTGCATGACACATTTTCTGTTTCTCCCCTGTGCAAGACACACTTCCTGTGCCTCCTCTGTGAATGACACTCCTTCTGTTGTTTCTCAGTGTAGCACACACTTTCTGTTTCTCCTCTGTTCATGACACACTTCCTGCTTCTCTACTGTGCAGGACACACTTTCTGTGTCTCTTCTGTTCATGACACACTTCCTGTTCTTCCCTGTAGATGACACACTTCCTGCTTCTTTCTTGTGTAGCACACACTTTCCACTCCTCTTCTGTGCATGACACACTTTCTGTTACTGCCATGTGCATGACACACTCTGTTTCTTCCCTATGCAGGAAACACTTCTTGTTACCCTCCTGAGACAGACACACTTTCTGTTCCTCTTCTGTGCAGCATACACTTCCTGTGTCTCCCCTGTGCAGGACACACTTTCTGCTCCTGCTCTTGTGTAGGCCACACTTTCTGTTCCTCCTCTTTGCAGGACACGCTTCCTTTGTTGCCCCTCTTCTTGACACACTTCCTTTGTTGCCCCTCTTCTTGACACACTTCCTGTGTCTTCCTTGTGCAGGACACTCTTCCTGTTATTCTCCTGAGACAAAGATACTTCCTGTTTCTCCTCTGTGCAGGACACACTTTCCATTCCTCCCCTGTACATGACACACTTCCTGTTTCTCCCCTGTGCAGCACACACATTCTGTTCCTCCGTTGTGTGCAACACACCTCCTGTCTTCCCTGTGCAGGACACACTTCCTGTTTCTCTCCTGTGCAGAACCAAATTTGTAGTTTTTTAATCCCTCACCCCCTCCCACTCTTTCCGTCAAGCCCCCAAAGTTCATTCTATCATTCTTATGCCTTTGCCTCCTCATAGCTTAGCTCCTACTTGTGAGTGAGAACATATGATGTTTGGTTTTCCATTACTGAGTTACTTAGAATAATAGTCTCCAGTTCCATCCAGGTTGCTGAAAATACCATTAACTCATTGGTTTTTATGGCTGAGTAGTATTTCATTGTATAAATATACAACACAGTTGCTTTATCCACTCATTGATTGGTGGGCATTTGGGCTGGTTCCATATTTTTTTTTTTTTTGCAAAAAAACCGCAATTACTTTTGCACCAACAATAATACTATTCTATAGGTGGAGCACACTCCTAAGCATTTGAGATACTACACCATGCAGAACAAATAAAGCTCATCTTTTATGAAATTCACGTTCTAGTAGGGGAAGAATGGTAATGAACAAATGAATATGTCTTTATTCAGGTAACCGTAATAATTGGAAAGAAAATCCACAATATTGAGAGTGGCAAGTCACAGAGAACTTTTGTAGAAAGTAGTTTGGGAATACCTCTCTGAAAATGTTATATTTTGAAGGAAGTGAGAAAGCACACGATGTTGATAGCTGCTGGGAAGAGCATGCAAGAACAAAGGAACAGAAATGGCAAAGACAAAACTCCTAATATAGCAGTGGGATTGTGACGTTTGAGGAAATGTGGGCAGAAGTGTGGTTGGAACACAGAAAATGGAGTTGACAAAAAGAAATGAGAGAGAATGGGAAGAGAGATGGATGAGGATCTTGTAGGCCTTCTAAGGACTTGTTTCTACCCTGGTGAGATAGGAATCCTTGGAGGGTTTTGAGAAAAGTAGAGGTGTTCCCTTATTCAGTTTTTAAAAAGATCACTCCAACTACAGACTGAAGGAGGACAAGGATAACAGAAAGAAGACTGATATGAGGCTATCATAACTGGCAGTGGAAAAGGCGATGGGGTATGAAAAAGACAGTATTATGGCACTGGAAAGTATTTGTTCTGGATATATTTTAAAAGGCGAGCAGATAGCGTTAAGTTGATAGATTTGAGTGTGGGTTATTCATAAAAGGGCAGAAGAAAGATTTTTAGTCTGTGCAACTGTTAGAGTAATAGTATAACTTTTTTGTTTAGGTGGGAAATATTTTGGGACCAAATTCAGGAGGGAGGTAGGACTCAAGAGTGTATTTTTAACAAGTTCATCCAGAGATGTTCAATCAGGATCAGTGTCATGCAGCTACACCTCCTACTCCAGCAAAACAGCTCAGCCCATTGCACACCTGCTGATATTAACAGAGTCAGGAACAAATAGCAAAATGAATTTTATAAGGGGATGCTTCCAATATCTTAAAAACACCATGTACCTAGGAACTAATATAATGACAGATGTGAAGGATCTTCTCCACAAAACTATATCGTTTAGAGAAATTTTAAATGACCTTGAGATAATAAGCACAAAAATACAGTTAGGAGCCAGGTGAGGTGGTTTGTGCCTATAGACCCAGCACTTTAGGAGGCTGAAACAGGGCGATTGCTTGAGGTCAAGAGTTTGAGATCAGACTAAGCAACACAGCAAGACTCTGTCTCCACACACACACACAAAATTAAGTTTGGCTGAGCATGGTGTTGTCTCAGCTACTTTGAAGGATGAATGAGGTGGGAGGATCGCTTGAGCCCTGGAGTCTGAGGCTGCAGTGAGCTACAATCACACCACTGCACTCCAGCCTGGACAACAGGGAAAACCCCTTCTCTAAAAAAATAAAAAATAAGAATACAATTTGCTAGAAAAAATAAGAAGTTCTAGTGTTCAGTAGCACAGTAGGGGGACAATAGTTATAAAGAATTTATGGTATATTTCAAAATAGCTCATTCAATCCAGGGCTACATAATGTCCCAGACCATGACCTTGAAGGTCTGAATATGCTTTTCCAAACAATTTCCTGAGACAAGACCGCAAGGAGGAGAATTGGATCCATAGTTAGTGATCTATTTAATGCGACAGATGATGTTTTAACTAAGTGCAATTGATTTTTGGAGGACCTCTCCCTCAGATGCAATGGTAGATGAATTTTATTTTGCTGGGCTTTGTTTGTAGTCATTAAAAGTTAAACACAATTAAAACCAAAATGTATCTGAAGCTGGAAGCTAAATCCAGACACAGTGAAGTTCAGACATTAAGTAGATGCTCCCTGACACCCACTCTGCTCCTTGGAGGGAAGAGATCAACAGAATAAAGCACTCATAATCCTGAAACATTATTTATTGGAAAGGGTAATATCAGTTCACTAAGATCAGGAGACCAAGCAAAGAGGACATTTTATGACTGCTGGTCTTTTATGAATTTTATAAATGCTGGTCATTTAAATGAAAATTTTTTTCAACTGATTTATTCAAGGCTTGTGTGCCATGGCCGGTCTAATATTTGCAGGATTAAGGTCTTAAAAAATAAAATAAGTCATCAGTTTTGATTGTACTTTTTCAGCTGGTTGGCAAGAGATTAAACAAAGTTAATTGTGGAGGCCTTTGTTTTAAAGCTAGCTAGCAGACAGGACTGATATTCCACTAAAATAAGCTTGCCTTGGGTTACTGCATCTTAGGTGATTGTGCTTTATAGAGGTTAAAGGGCAGAACCACAAACTCAGATGGCTTCCTTGGTCAGGAAAACAACTCAAATATACGAATCTGTTCAGGATGGAACAACCAGGAGCTTTGGGAACCAAAAGGAAGCCAGTTCAGAAGATGCTAAAAATTGAAGTGCTTATCACCAATGAATACAGGAAGAGGGAACATAAAACTGATCTTCAAATCACACCTCTAAACCAGGTGTGGCATTCTCTTGTGGGATAAATTATTCCTCTGCTATTGGAGTAGAACTCGTGGTGGTTATAAGGCAAACCTTTATTCATATCTCATCATTCTCACCGGTAGAGAAGTTTGAATAAATTAGATAACAACTCTGACCTTCAATTCCTGATCAAGAAAATGAGCTCAATCATACTCTGGTCAAAATAAAAAAATAACAGATGTTGGCATGGAAGTGGTGAAAAGGAGACACTTGTTCACTGCTGGCAGGAATGTAAACTAGTACAACCACTGTGGAAAACAGTATGGAGATTCCTTGAAAAACTAAAAGAACTACTGTATTAGCCAGGGTTTCCTAGAGGGACAGGACTAATAGGCTAGATGTAATATGAAAGGGAGTTTAGGAGCAAGGAAGCCAGTCCGAGTCCCAAAAGCTCAAAAATAGGGAAGCCAACAGTGCAGCCTTCAGTCTGTGGCTGATGGCCTGAAAGCCTCTGGCAAACCACTGGTGTTAAGTCCAAAAGTCCAAAAGTTGTAGGCCAGTGTTCGAGGGCACGAAGCATCCAGCACAGGAGAAAGATGGAGGCCAGAAAACTCAGCCAGTCTAGTTCTTCCACGTTCCTCTGCCTGCTTCTATCCTAGCTGCACTGACAGTTGACTAGATGGTGCCCACCCAGAATAACGCGGGTCTGCCTCTCCCATTCCACCAACTCAAATGTTAATCTCCTTTGGCAACACCCTCATAGACACACCCAGGAACAATACCTTGCATTCTTCAATCCAATCAAGTTGAATTCAATATTAACCTTCACAATTGCCATTTTATTCACCAATCCCACTACAGTGTATCTACCCAGAGGAAAATAAGTCCGTGTATATATAAAAAAGACACTTGGACATGCATGTTTACAGCAGCAAAATTTGCAATTGCAAAAATATGGAACCAGCCTAAATGCCCATCAACCAACAAGTGGATAAAGAAAAAGTTATATATATACACACACACACATATATACATATATACACATACACACACACACACACACATATATATATATAATGGAATACTACTCAGTCATAAGAAGGAACAAAATAATGGTATTCGCACACATATATATATATAATGGAATACTACTCAGTCATAAGAAGGAACAAAATAATGGTATTCGCAGCAACCTGGATGGGGTTGGAGACCATTATTTTAAGTAAAGTAACTCAGGAATGGAAAACCTAATATTATATGTTCTCACTTATAAATGGGAGCTAAGCTATGAGGATGCAAAGGCATAAGAATGATATACTAAACTTTGGGGACTTGGGGAGAAGGATGGAAGCGGGGTGAGGGTAAAAGACCACATATTGGGTACAGTGTACACTGCTCTGTTGATGGGTGTAGCAAAATCTCAGAAATCACTGCTAAAGAACTTTTCCAAGCAACAAAACACCACCTTTTCCCTCAAAACTATTGAAATTAAAAAAAAAAAATTAAGGGATTAGTAGAGAAGTCAATTCACTGTGTTACCTAATAATATATTGTTATTGCCTGTTATCCCCAATCTAGAATAAAGTAGGATAATTGAAAAAATTAATAATATAATCTGTAAACCCCCCAAAATCCCTGATAATTACTAGTATCCATCAATAAAGGATTGTCTTCCCCTCCAGACATATAGAGACTGCATGTCTCAGGCTCCTGGCTATTGAGTGAGATCATTCACCTATTTCTCACTAATTCCTTTCCTGTATACACTAAGGAGGCCACCTGTTTCAGATTGTTGAGCTACAAATTAGGAACACTGCCATCTGCATGGGAAATAGCTTCTCTGAACAGTTGTCAAGAGTTAGAAATAAACCCTTGCTAGCTTAAGGGACTGCAAATTAGTATATGATTTTCATTACTGCAGCATCGCCTAGTCTATCTTGTATAATAATATACCAATCTGTCACTGTAATTTTTTTCTTTTTTTCAAGTGCGGTTTCCTTCCAGAGGGTAAAGGGAGTCATAGGTGAAGGCAAGCAAGGAGTAGCATGATGGTACTTGTCATTGAAGATAGGTAAGAGTGGCCATAAGAACAGGAACAGGGCAAAAGATAGCAATGCAGTGCTAAAAATCAAACAAAAAACAGTAAGTTTCAGTCTTAGCAGAGCTGAAGACTGTCAGTGTGAGGAACACAAATGAAAAAGTGATAAATGGTAATTAGAGGATGTTAATCATTAAAACTGGTGTCAGAGTGATGAGTGATGAGAAGGTGGAGAGTATGGGCATGCATGCCAGAGTCAGGAACAAGGAAAAACATGCAAGAGAAGACATAAAGAAATGGAAATACAAAGGCATTGGAAAGATTGTCTATGTTTTTGGTTGTGAGTAATGAGAAGGTCGAGAATATAGGAATGCACGTCAGAGTTAGGAACAAGGAAATCTATGCAAGAGATAAATAAATGGAAATGCCAAGGTATTGAAAAGACCATTTATGTGTGTAGTTTTCAATCCTGGCTATGCATCATGTTCAGTTGGGAAACTTCTGAAAGCAGAGCCCAAGTCACAGAATCTGAATCTCTCTGGGGACAGAGAGCAGGCTTTATTATTTTGTAAAGCTCCTCCAAGATGTCAATATGTACCTGAGGTTGAAACCCCATGAATTTTAAAATCTTCAGTTACTAAAACAGAAGTAGTGTTTGTGAATCCCATGCTAAAATTTTCAACAAACAATGGATTCCTTGAATGGCTGTCCCTTGGAGGGAGAGGGAAATTGACATGGCCTCATGGCCAATGTCATGAGCTCCAAAGCTGGCCTTTTTAAAAGAGGAGATTCTGGAGAAGGGTGTCAGCAGGCAAAAAGACACCATGCCACCTCTAGCACTAGGGATGAGAAAATTGAAAACGAGACTGTCTCTATTGAAGGATGCTGCCAACAAATTTTTACCCCGCCAAGGAAGGGCCAAGCTTTCAATGAGAAAAAGAAAGTAAAGGAAACATTCAAAAAGTGTTTATGGTAAGAAGAATTTTGTTAAAAAATTTATGAGTGCCACAAGGCAAGTGGAAGCTTCCAGAAATTGAGAACTTTGGGAGATAAAGAATTTGTGTCAGATAAGGGGATCTATAGACCTCATGGGATGAGATGGTCTTGAATTTCTTTAATAACATGTGTGACAACATGATTTGTCATGGGATCTACAGAAGACATCCCAGATGGAAATTCAAGAGAAAGTCATCTGTAATTGCACATGAAACATAGCAACCCAGATAGTCCCTTCATGCATTGGACAGAGCTTCTCTGACAGAAGGTTCCACTCAAATTACAACAATAAATGTAACATGTAGCAGCTCCTAACCAATTACCACTGGGAAACATTCCATCCTGTATCTACAAATTCTTAGGACTCAGGAAGGTGAAGTCTGTGACTCTTATAGAACAAATCGATGAGAGAAAATAAATGATTGAATCAATATAGCAGAAGAGTTTGATTCTACAGACATTTACTGAACCATGAATAAGAAGAAAAACATCAAGGATCTCTAAGGATTTTTGCTTGTTTTTGGTAAAGCTATGTAAGACATTGGAATGTAGAGGTGAGACAAAGAGCAAGAGTGAGAGAATCCCAAGGGCAGGTCACGATATTGGATCTGAACATAGAGGTACCAGTAGACTGCAGAGGTGGATATACAAAAAGATACAAGGAAAAGAGGAGTAGAACTAAATAGCAAAGACATGTAATTATCCTTTTTGTCTTTTTGCTCAGATTTTTTTTCATGTTTTTCCTGATTGTAATATCTTTTGAGCAAGATGGAATTCATGTGATTAATTTGCTCCTGGTCATCCTTTTTCTTTTTTTGAAATGGAGTTTCACTCTTGTTGCCCAGGCTGGAGTACGATGGCGACATCTCTGATCACTGCAAATTCTTCCTCCCAGGTTCAGGTGAATCTCCTCCCTCAGCCTCCCGAGTAGCTGAGATTACAGGTGCCTGCCACTGCGCCCAGCTAATTTTTGTATTTTTAGTAGAGATGGGGTTTCACCATGTTGGCCAGGCTGGTCTCGAACTCCTGACCTTAGGTGATCCACTCGCCTCAGCCTCCCAAAGCGTTGGGATTACAGGTGTGAGCCACCACGCCCAGGCCCTGGTCATCTTTAGAGATGTCTTTATCAACCCTTTAAATTCTCATCTAAAAGTCCACTCAAAATTATATCTCAACCAGTGGGAAATCCAAAGCTTAGACTAAATTACCAAATAGGCAGTTGATATGGTGCTCTTCACTGTCTTACAAACTAGCCCCTCAACCTACTGTAGAGGTCACTAATGAATTGTTAAGTCAAAGCTCTAAAACCAGAAGGGCCCATTTAGCTAAAATGGTTTTTGCACTTCTGTACATAAAGATGAAGAATGGACTAAAGTCCAATCCACCTTCTATCATGCAAAAAATGGAGGGTGGCTACTAACAGAGTAAACCCAATGAATCAAAGATTGGTTATCACGGCGACAATTTCATATATTGTAGGATTTACAGATTCTTTAAATAGAGGCAACATTACTAATGCAAACATTATGAAAGAGAATAATCTTCTATTTCTATTTTCTTTTGAACGTCTACCAATGGCAAACATCAACCAATTCATAAAATATCAAATAATTCAGTAGCAGAAGAAATGAAAGCAAAACAAAGCTAATAAAAAATCACATTTTTTATTATTGCTTAAAAATGGCTTATTGCTCACTTTAATATTATTTTCACCAACAAATGACACATTAGTTTCATTTGTAATCAATAATAAAAAATTGCCGGGGGGATGTTTTATTATTTATTGTTGATATTATTATTATTTATTGGAACAGGTTGCTAAGCAATTTTTATTAATAATTCAAAGATGTTGATTTTCCCTTTAATGACAGCTTTAGATCTCTTTTAGAAAACTTTATTATTCTAATTGCTTGAAAAACTAATGTTAGCACAATTAAATCCTAGATATTAAATATCACTATTCTAATAATGTTAAAATTGACTACAAACTTCTTTTCTGACATGATAAAGTATACTTTACAGACTTAGAAGGCTTAAAGCTAACTAAGTAGAGAGAGAGAAAGAGAGAGTGTGTTGTGTTGAGATAGTGCCTGTACATGTTAATAACAGTAAAAATCTTAGGTTTCTTCACTGGGAAGCCAACAATTAAAGTAATAGGTTTTCTACCCATCCATTTCCTTTAGTGTGGGGGTTAACACAAGAGATTCAGGCTCATTTCATTCTAATTATACTCCTAGCAGACCTCATAGTGAGGCAACCAAGTGGTTCTGGCTAGCAAGACAATCCTTATCTATGGAATGGTTTAGCACGACGTACCTAGTTCTTTAGGTTTGTTTTATGGCAAGGAAACATGACATCTATGGATCTATGTGACATAGCTCCCTGGAAACCTTCACCTAAGCTGTGCAACTGAGGAAAAAAAAAGATATTCCATGACCCCAAATATTTCTTTTTCATGGTAAAATGGTCATGGGTTTTTGTTAGAAACCTCATCCATCAACCTGGTCTAGAAACATGCAATGAGAGAAGAGGAAACTTGAGGAGTCTTGATGGAGGAAAACAAATATCTCTAGTTTACTATACTGCAAAATTACTCATGCCTCTAATATCCTCAGTAAAGCCTGACCTGGCTGACTCCAGAGGATGTGATTTGATAACTCAATGCTTTGTGTCATGTCTTTTACTAAATTGGTGGTGTATTTAAATAAGGTACTGAATCTCTTTTTTCAAATCAATGTGTGAAGCATGGTGTAAGTGAGTATGCGTTTTACAAAGGGCATCAGGGAAACTGTTAAGTTGTTTATCATCAGAGCCCTATAATGTTGACTGGTGCCCAGCAGGGGCAGCCAAGACTAGGCACAAATGGCTGAACAATGGGCAGATGCAAGGACCCAGAGAGTGGGGGATTCAGGCCAACAGCAGTGGCTAAGGTTCCCTGCAATCATCACTGCCCAAGCCAGTTGTACGCTTTACCAGAAGTATGAATGACAGGATGTGAGTGTTGCCACAGAGGAATTAATACAAAAATAAAACAGAACTACATCTTAACCTGGCAATATAATAACAGGGGCTAGGATGTGGTTTCCAAAACTCACTTTTTTTGGGATCCAGATTTCCCATAGGTAGATAGATAGGTAGTAAGGATGTAGGTAGCTAGCTAGTTTGATATAGGTAGGTGGGTAAGTAGGTAGGTAGGTAGGTTAGTAGGTAAAAACATATATAGATAGGTTCTTAGGCCATATTTAGTTGGTAGTAAACATGGTACTTAGACTGGTAGGCAAATAGGTAGATGGATTGTTAGGTAAGTAAGTAGGTAAATAGGTAGGTGGGTAGGTAGCTAGGTAGGTTAGTAGGTAGAAAGGTAAACAGATAGGTACTTAGGTCATATTTACTAGGTAGTAAACAAGTAGGTAGATAGGTAGGTAGGGTAGATAAGTGGATAGGTAAGTATATTCATAAGTAGTAGATAGTTAAGAAGATAAGTATGTAGGTATATGTTGGTATGTAGGTAGCTAACTAGCTAGGTAGATAGGTAGCTTAATAGGTATAAAGGTATATACATAGGTACTTAGGTCATATTTAGTAGGTAGATAGGTAGGTAGGTAGATAGGTGGATAGGTAGGTAGGTAGGTAGATAGGTGGATAGGTAGGTAAGTTTATAATTAGTAGATATCATATAGGTATAGGTTGGTAGGTAGGTAGCTAACTAGCTAGGTAAGTAGGTAGCTTAGTAGGTAGAAAGGTATATAGATAGGTACTTAGGTAATATTTAGTAGGTAGTACACAGGTCAGTGGATAGATAGGTAGGTAGGGGAGATAGGTGGATAGTTAGGTAGGTATGTTTATTTATAAGTAGGTAGGTAGGTATATACATAAGTAGATAAGTATGTAGGTAGAGGTTGGTATGTAGCTAGCTAACTAGCTACATAGGTAGGTAGCTTAGTAGATAGGAAGGCATATAGATAGGTACTTAGGTCATATTTAGTAAGTAGTAAACAGGCAGGTAGGTATATAGGTAGGTGAGAATATATTTAGCTCAGTTAGTAGGTAAGTGGTTAGGTAGGTAGCTAAGTAGGTACGTAGATATGTAGATAAGTAGATACTAGGTATGTTACTAGGTAGGAAGATCTATAATATATATAATAGATAGGTACTACGTCATATTTAGTAAGTAGTAGACAGACACATAAATAGAGAGGTAGAGAGGTAGGTAGGTGGGTAGGTAGCTAAATAGATAGGCAGATATATAGGTAGGTAGGTAGGTTAGCGGGTAGAAAGGAATATAGATAGGTACTTAGGCCGTATTCAGTAGATAGTAGACAAACAAGTAGGTGGATAGGTAGGTAGATAAGTAAGTAGATAACTCTGTAGGTAGCTAGCTAGCAAATTAGCTAGATAGGTAGGTAGAGACTGTGCTACATGCTTAATTTACAACCTGACAAATAAGAGATGAGTCTCTTCTTACATGAGGCAATATAAAAAGTCATACAAGTCAAAGGATTTTTATTGTGACTTTGTTCTCCTGTACAAGACAATGGACAGCATTTGGATCTCACCCCAATTGTGTTTACCTCTCTGACAAAGGATAGAGTCAGTCAAGCTCTGTGGTGGCTATGACAGTCATAGGCCAGTTTGCATATGACAGAGTGAGTTTCTGGATGTAGGACTTTCAGAGGTAGAACAAGAAAGTTCCTGAGCAAACTTGGATGAGTTGGTCAGCCTCAGAATATCTCAACAAGCGTAGGCCCTTCAGAAAGCCTCATTCACACAGAGAGAAGAGGAAAACAAAAGAATGGGCTAAGACCCCACAGCCAAGCTCCATGAGACCAGCCAGGAAAATGCTTCAAACAAGAAATGTCCTCGTTTCTTTTAATCCGTTCCCCATGCAAAAAAAGATGGTGGATGCCCAGAAAGGCCCCTTTGCTTTATATAATTGGAGCTGGTTTAATAATGGCATGTAATTGAACATGGGTTCAATGTGTCCATCTTAGTGGAAGTACTAAATTATACACCACTTTCTAGCCTCCCTATACTTTAACAAGCAAGCTAATTCTTCAGGAAAGTAATTTTCCTAGGAATTCTATCATTATCTTGTTTTGTCCTTTAGAACGACACTTATAATTTTGGGGGGAAATATTTGGAAATTTGGTTTCAGGGTGAGTTAGAAAATAGACATGCTGTGTTCACTCTATGTTGCTTATCTGGTGGTGTTTGAATCCTTAGATAGGATCTGACCAAGGGTTTCCAACAACCACATGTTACACAGATTCATTTAATTTTTACATGAATCTGTTGAAATGAGAGTTGCTGGTGCTAATGCTTTTATGAATAAGAAAAATGAAGTTTGGATCAGAAACTTTCCCAATATCAGACAGTGATCAAGCCGAGGTTTAGAATCTAGTCTTGGAATCTAAGTTATCCCACCTATGCGTAGGACTCTGACCCACACAAATTATCCCAATGTCAGTCAAGTTAAAATAAGATCATACCGCATTAGGGTTGGCTCTAAATCCAACGGCTGCTGTCCTTATAAGAAAAAAGGAAACATGGAGATACAGGCAAACAATAAAGAAAAAGTCCATGTGAAGATGCAGCCAGCAATTGGAGTTATTCAGCTGCAAACCCAGGAACACCAGAAACTACTGGCAATCATTAAAAGCTAGGAAAGAAGAGAAAAGAAAAGAAAAGAAAAAAGAAAGAGAGAGAGAGAGAAAGAAAGAAAGAAAGAAAAAGAGAGAAAGAAAGAAAGAAAGAAAGAAAGAAAGAAAGAAAGAAAGAAAGAAAGAAAGAAAGAAAAGAAAAGAAAAGAAAAGGAAAGAAAGAAGGGGAGAAGGGGAGAAGGGAAGGAGAAAGTAAGGAAGGAAGGAGGAAGAAAGGAAAGAAGGAAGGAAGGAAAAACTAAAAGAAAAAAGAAACAATACCATGAACAATACCTATGACATAATTATATAATCATGCTCTTACATACAATTTTTTCCATAAATTATTGTGGTACAGGTGGTATTTGGTTACATGAATAAGTTCTTTAGTGGTGATTTGTGAGATTTTGGTGCATCCATTACCTGAGCAGTATACATTGCACCATATATGTAGTATTTTATCCTTCACCCCCCTCCCTCTCTTCCCCCCAAGTCCCCAAAGTCCATTGTATCATTCTCCTGCCTTTGCATCCTCATAGCTTAGCTCCAGCATATCAGTGAGAACATACAATGTTTGGTTTTCCATTCCTGAGTTACTTCACTTAGAATAACAGTCTCCAGTCTCATCCAGGTCACTGCAAATGCTGTTAATTCACTCCTTTTTATGGCTGCATAGTATCCCATCATATATATACATATATACGATCCCATCGTATATATACATATATATATATATGTATACATATATATATATATGTATACATATATATATATGTATACATATATATATATATGTATACATATATATATATGTATACATATATATATATATATATGTATACATATATATATATGTATACATATATATACCACAGTTTCTTTATCCACTCATTGATTGATGGGCATCTGGGTTGGTTCCATGATTTTGCTATTGTGAATTCTGCCACTATAAACATGTGTGTGCAAGTATCTTTTTCGAATAATGACTTGTTTTCCTCTGGGTAGATACCAAGTAGCTGGATTGCTGGATGAAATGGTAGCCCACTCTCACCACTGCTCTTCAACATAGTACTGGAAGTCCTAGCCAAAGCAATTAGACAAGAGAAAGAAAGGGCATCCAAATCGGTAAAGAGGAAGTCAAACTGCCACTGTTTGCTGAGTATATGATCATTTACCTTGAAAATCCTTAGGACTCCTCCAGAAAGCTCCTAGAACTGACAAAAGAATTCAGCAGAGCTTCCGGATACAAGATTAATGTACACAAATCAGTACCTCTTCTTTATACACCAACAGTGATGAAGCAGAGAATCAAATCAAGAACTCACCCCTTTTACAGTAGCTGTAAAAAAAAAATACTTAGGAATATACCTAACCAAGGATTCAAAAGACCTCTAGAAGAAAAACTACAAATCACCACTGAAAGAAATCATAGATGACACAAACAAATGGAAACACATCCCATGCTCATGGACGGGTAGAATCAATATTGTGAAAATGACCATACTGCCAAAAGCAATCTACAAATTCAACGCAATCCCCATTAAAATACCACATACAATTTAAAGAAGATAAATCTCAAACAAGTAGTTATGACATTTGCTTATAGGGTTCAGCATATGTCCCATTCTCAAATCTCCAAGAGAAAAAAAAATTGCATTAAATCAGGAAAAGAATAAAGGATTAAAATGGTGAAAAATTTAAATCAGAGGTAGAAAAAAGTTTATTCCTTGTAAATGAATTGCCTTCCAACTTTACCAAAGTTTTTGCTTTGGTTTGGAACATCCATATGGTTTACAACAGAAAGAGACAAAGTCTTAAAATATTTTCTCTCTCTTTGGTGTTTTAGTTCCTTATGGGAGTTTCCTTCTATTTTTATTCTGCATATTGTCCTATTTAATGATTGTGTTTATTCACTTGTGGCTTTGAATAAGGCTTTATTCATTTTTATTTCTTTTTTTCCCTGATTCTAGAAATATTAGTGCTGCATATATAGAAGAAGACAATTAAATGAGACCTAGGGGAGGGGGCGATGATAAGGGATTTGCATAATTGTACGCACATGGTTCTCAATTGTTGCTCTTGCTCCGACCCGCTGTGCTATAACTCAAGCTGTCATACTGTGTGGAAAGCAGTAAAATTTCCTATTATGAGAAAATGAAGGCTTAAATCAACATACACTTATTCTGTGAGCAATCTATTATTTAAATCAAAACGTATTGAACATTACTCTTAAACTATCTCATTCAACTCATTTTAAACAAGTTTTATAATCAGTTTCTTTTCCATGCAAAGAAATTAAACTTCAGGGATATTACAGTTGAGTGATTTCTACAAGAGAGATTCTTCTCCATATGTTTTTGTTTGTTTTGGGGTTTTCTTGAAATTCCATTAAAATTGGTAAGTTCTAAAGTGATTTTTTTTTTGTTCACAATTTATTTTCCAAATTGGGTTTGCATAGATGTCATTTAGAAATTTTGAAAGAAATTTGAGATAGAAGTTTATGATTTATTTTGTAAGATTTTTCCAGTCTTACTCAAATTCCAGGAGAATGTTAGCAACATAATATTTATAGATATTTTTATAGCTCAGAGTACTCTGAGTTATGTGAAGTATGCAAAACTTATGAGGCCCAGGGAAACAAGTGTATGTGAGACTTCAGCCACACTCACTCACCCTCGTACCCATGCCTGGGGGCAATTGTTTGAAAGCATTTTATTTCTGACTCGCTGCCTCACTTAGTAGCTTCATGTCCCTGGAATTTGTGATACAAAGAACAATGTACAGCCAATCAATATTTTATGTTACTTTCATGTAAATTCTTGATAAACAATTTAGGAACTGCCTCTTCTTTTCCTTTAAAAACTCACTTGTTCCTGCTGTTAATCAGAGCACACATTCAGGGCAACTTGAACCTATGGTCCTGGGTTACAATCTTCAAACTTGGACTAAATAAACTCTCTACTTATAATACGTGTGTCTCATGTTTTCCCCCCCGATTAGGCTAACATATATGCACAGCTAACATCTGTCTAGAGGATGAGAAAAGCTAGGACACATACACACAGACACACACACACACACACACAAAACAGGAGTCACACATTTAAAAGAGTTTGGGTAGTATATTCAAAATAACCCTAACTGCTCATACTTGTAACAACCACACAATTCACTGGGGTTCTCTGGGATGCAGGATTAGCAATTAACAGGAGTTGCAGTGCTATTTCCATAGCGTTTGAAAGCTTTCCTCCTTCCCTTGCAGGACCTCATCAAAAGAATCCAGGCCAGGTGCGGTGGCTCACGCCTGTAATCCCAACACTATGGGAGGCCGAGGTAGGTGGATCACTTGAGGCCAGGAGTTCAAGACCAGCCTGGCCAACATGGCGAAACCCCGTCTCTACTAAAAATACAGAAATTAGCTGGGCATGGTGGCGCATGCCTGTAGTCCCAGCTGCTCGGGAAACTGAGGCATGAGAATCGTTTGAACCTGGGAAGTGGAGGTTGCAGTGAGCTGAGATCACACTGCTGCACTCCAGCCTGGGTGACTAAGCAAGACCCTGTCTCAGAAAAACAAAAACAAAAATCCCGAAGATGGAGCACATGTCAGTGTAAAATAACTTTGATGCTGAAGGAAGCCACAGCTCTTGAAAAATTCACACACATTTCTTTTACAAAGGTACTATTCTGACTCCAATGGTGGACTGTAAGTCTTGTTAAATTAAATGAGGTGGTCATGCTTCCATACTTGGAGTCTCTACATAACAAACAGAGATTTAATGTAATATGTAGGAAAGAAAAACTTAGGGTTTCACCTCATTACAAACAGTTGAGCTTCAGTTAATCGCAGCTATACAACCAATCAGATTGTTCTCAAATAAGGTGAATGTCTCATCACATTATGCCCAAATAAAGAAGATGGCCAGCTGTGGCCGATCAGATGATTTTTCTACTTTGCTTCTGTATTTGGTCTATAAAACCTCTCTTGTCACACTGCTTGGCACAGCTTTCTGAACCTCCTCTGCTCCCAAGTGCTGCCCAACTCGTGAATCACTCTTTGCTCAAATAAACTCTGCTAAATTCTTCTAAAGTTTTTTTTTATTATTTTAATAGTATAAAAATTCACATAATCAAAATATTGATTTTTTGCATCATGGCTGATAAAGGCTTGTTTATGTGGAGGAGAGACAATACAGTGTCTGTTTAGATGTGATGCATTTCAGAAACCACCTTGAGAAAGATTGTACTGCCCATATATGTTCCTGTGAGTTACAACAAAACATTCCATCTAGGAAGAAAAACAACACACTTTGCTTCTTAACTGGAGCTCCTCATGATTTCGTTTAAAAAAGTAATTCCAACAGGAAAACAAAATTGCCAGGTGGATAAAGTAATGTTTTGGGTCATAAAAAAAGTATCTTTGCTGTTTTGCATTGTTTCAGGCAAGGTAAGAGAGGAGGTATTCTGCTAGCAAAGAGGCAAAGATGGGTAGGTCATAGAGATTCTTTTATTCTACTAAGATGCATGACCATACTGTGGAATTCCACTTTTCTTTTCCTGGTTGACTCAAACCTGGGTTCTTAATGTTAAATTATCCATGCGTTCATATATTATTAATTTAATTGGTAACAAATTATTAATTTTATGTATAACAAATGTATTGTAAAAGTTAACAAGTATTCATTAATGATCTGTTGTTATTAATACTTGTATTTTTGTGTTCTGTGGCTTTCTAAGGCCACTCCAGGGACATTGAGAACAATGTCTTTGCCTGCACTAAATAAATGAGCAGAACAATGGTTAATGGAGTTCTCTTTACAGGGCTCTTCTTTAATCAGCGATGTCTTTTTATTTTGGAAGGATAAAATAGCCTCTCTTTGTTATTAAGTTTAGTATCCCTATTTTTGCCCTAAATTATATTGGTCTTTGAGATTTCAATATGGACCATAATTATATGTATTTGTTGGTATTCAATATGCTTCACATATTCAATTTGCTTCACATTTTAAATGCAATTTCTTACTAAGACATTCTACAGGAGATTCATTTTTCAGCCCCTCTATGTAAATATTCAAAAAGACACTCTTGATCCTAATCCATAGAATCATAAAATCATGCCTTGTAGATTCATACTTCAGGATAATGAAGATAGTGAGTGATCTGAAATAAATCACACCTGGGACTATAGACAAGCACCACCACACTTGCATTTAGGCCAAGGTGGGAAGATCACTTGAGGCCAAGAGTTCAAGTCCAACCTGGGAAACATAGTGAAACTCTATCCCTTAAAAATAAAAATAGATGGACAGGTGCGGTGGCTCACGCCTGTAATCCCAGCACTTTAGGAGGCTGAGGTGGGTGGATCATCTGAGGTCAGGGGTTCAAGACCAGCCTGGCCAACATGGTGAAACCCCATCTCTACAAAAATATAAAAATTAGCCAGGCATGATGGTGGGTGCCTGTATCGGGAGGCTGAGGCGGGAGAATTGCTTGAACCCAGGAGGCGGAGCTTGCAGTGAGCCAAGTTCGCGCCATTGCACTCCAGCCTGGGTGACAGAGTGAGACTCTGTCTCAAAAAACAAATGAATAAATATTTAAAAAATAGGTTAAAATAAATAGATTTTAAAAATTTAAATGTATTTACCATTTGACAAAAATGTATATATTAGTTGTGTACAGCATGATGTTTTGATATTTGTATACATTGTGGGGTGACTAAATAAAGCTAATTAACTTATTTATGACCTCATATGCTGTGTGTTTTTGTGTAGTGTGAATAATAGATTTTGAGCAATTGATGGGGCAACTGGGCATTTTTTCATCCGTGCTGGCTCCTGGTCAGTCATGTTATATTTCCAGAGCACTAATAATGCTGTATCAGGGCCCTCAAGCTCCACAATGGAAGGCTGGGATTTTTAGGATGGTGAGTAAGGCTGTAATTTACCTTCAGTCACTTCCTTCAACCTTATGTCCAGCTCATACACAGATGACAGTAGTCATCCACCAAGACCTCAATCCCTGAATTTACAAGAGAAGAATGACAATGTCTATGGAAAAAGTTATTCAATTGCTTTTAATCCCCAACTGAGCATGGGGAATGGGGTTCTTTATGTTGGATGTATGCACAACAAAGGAAATTGTATTAGTTCGTTCTCACAGTGCTATAAAGAACTACCTGAGACGGGGTAATTTATAAACAAAAGAACTTTAATTGACTCACAGTTCCACAGGCTTAACAGAAAGCATGACTGGGGGCCTCAGGAAACTTACAATCATGGCAGAAAGCTAAGGGGAAGCAAGCACCCTCTTCACATGGCGGCAGGAGAGAGAGAGAGAGCAAAGGGGAAAGTGCTACATACTTTAAAACCATCAGGTTCCGTGAGAACTCACTCATTATCATGAGACCAGCAAAGGGAAAGTGCACCCCCGTGATCCAATCACCTCCCACCAGATCCCTCCCTCAACACTGGGAATTACAATTTGACATGAGATTCAGGTGGGGACACAGAGCCAAACCATATCAGGAATGAATTGAGGATCAAGTGGACATACTTATGGCAAAAACACCTGCAGAGCAGTAAGACAGTTCCCCGAGCAAGCCACCAGTCTTTGATTATATCTTCTTTGAACTCAAATGTTTTTGTCAGTGACTATCACAGTAGCTGAAAGATTGTTGAGTCAGAAAACAGATTAGTGGTTGTCAGGGCTGGAGGGAGAGTGTATGGGAAGTAACTACTTAATGGGTACTGGGTTTCTGTGTGATGATGAAAATATTCTGAAGTTAGATAGTGGTGATGGTTGTAAAACTCTGAACATAGAAAAAACCATCGAACTGTATACTTTGAAAGGTTGAACGTTATGGTCTATGAGTTATACTCTTAAAAAAGCCTCTAAACTTTTAAACATTTAAATCTGTTATTTCTAATGTATTAAATTGTTAAAATATATGATGCTGTTAAATTCTAGAAACCAACAATCTTACAAAATTAAATTAAAATTTAATGGTTTAGTCAACATTTTATTCTTTAAAAATTTTGATATCAAAGGAAGGTTTTTCAGGAATGGGAGTATTTGATCAAGGAATCATATTTGGAAGGCTGGACATTCTCCAGAGATGTTAATTTTGACACTAAATCTTCCCCTAAAAGGAAATCCAAATAGAAATTTGTAGTTGGCAAATCTTGAGCCTGCATCTAAGTATAAGAATATTCTCGGGCCAGGCATGGTGGCTTACGCTTGTAATCCCAGCACTTTGGGAGGCTGAGGCGGGCAGATCACAAGGTCAGGAGCTGGAGACCATCCTGGCTAACACAGTGAAACCCCGTCTCTACTAAAAACTACAAAAAATTAGCTGGGCATGGTGGCGGGCGCCTGTAGTCCCAGCTACTCGGGAGGCTGAGGCAGGAGAATGGCATGAACCCGGGAGGCGGACCTTGCAGTGAGCTGAGATTGTGCCACTGCACTCCAGCCTGGGTGACAGAGCAAGACTCCGTCTCAAAAAAAAAAAAAAAAAAAAAAAAAAGAAAAGAAAAGAATATTCTCCCTTAATAAAAAAATTGTATACATGCATTTTGAAAAACAGCTTCAGCTCACATGGCCAGAATATATTGCAGAAGCAAGTGCCATAAATTTACTTGTATGGTAAGCTCCTTAAGACTGAAAGAAATAAAATCATATGTTTTCTGTTGTTTAGAATGGTTGTATTTAGAATCATGCATAATACTCATAAAAACTCTAAATTCCAGTTAATTTTTTAAGTCCTACTTCATAGTATAGGTTGAATGGAAACTAAGGTGATTCAGCCGTTAATGTTCCAAAATACCACCATGAGTAAGATGCTATGAATTGGTCTTTTCCCCAAATTGATGTTTAGTGCCCATTACGCTTAATTTCACCTAGTTCTTTGTGTCACCTTGTCAACAAATATCCAAGACAATAGTAGTAGAGAAATAATTCTCCCTCCCTCCCTCTCTCTCTCTGTCTCTGACTCTTTTTTTCTCTCTTCTCTTATGGTATCTTACTTGGCAAACAACTTAGGATTTCATAACCATACACACTTATTCCTATACTAGGCAGTGAAGAGGAAGAATAGAGGAAGGTTAAAGCCCTTCAAAATCTCATATTATTTTAAAAGTGCAGGCCCAGTGAGCTGGCTCGCACCTGTAATCCCAGTACTTTGGGAACCCAAGGCAGGAGGACCACTTGAGCCCAGGAGCACAAGATCAGCTGGGGCAACATAGTAGACCCCTTCTCTGCAGAAAATAGAATAAATTAGCTGGGTGTGGTGGTGCCCTCCTGTACTTCCAGCAACTTGGGAGGCTCAGGTGGGAGGATCACTTGAGCTAGGAGATGGAGGCTGCAGTGATCTTTGATCGCACCACTGCCCTCTAGCCTGGGCGACAGAGCAAAATCGTATGTTCAATAAATAAGCAAAGAGGTCTTTCACACAGATAATCTCATCTGGTTCCCATTTTACAAATGAGAAAATTGAAATCCAGGGCAATTAAATGCCGTACTGTTGGTGGTTCTCAGCAGCTCTTCACACTTTTATTCCAGCCACAGGCTTTCTTTGTAACAGCAAAAAATACATCTAATCAAATTAAATTGCTAAAGAGCACATACCACATCTTCCTCTTCTGTTGATACTTTTCCTGTGTATGCAACACTTTTTTTTCCTGCACCATGAGAGCTTGGCAAATGCTGACTGATGGAGTGCCAGGAGCTGGGAGCCCCAGTACTCAGTGGTAGAGAATGATCAACTATGTTCACGGCAGGAACATAGCTCAGATTCTCTGGGCTGTCTATCACAGGGCGCTGTTGAGGGGAACTCCATAAGCACATTGGAAATAAGATGACTTGCTAGTCTGCCAGGCCCCGTGTCTCTGGGAAGAGGCTCTCCACCACTATATCTGTAATACAGGAAGTGCCACCTTCAGCCAGTACACACTGATGAAGGCCATGTGGATGCTGAGAATCCACGCCTCACAATGGCACCTGGACTTTGACAATGTTCCATAAATAATTCTTTTCATCAACATAAGGCTCCACATTACAGACCCATAATGAAAGAGAAATTATCTCTGTGAAACAATCATTAACAAAATATTAAAGGGTTCATCTGAAGTCTAGGACAGTCACCTGTAGAGATCTAAGAGGTCACCTGCCTACAGCTGTTGTTGTTGTTTTCTTGTTTTTTTTTTTTTTTTTTAAATAAACTTATTTTAGGTTGGTGTACAGATTATTTCATCACCCAGGTAATAAGCATAGTACCCGATAGGTAGTATTTTTATTTTGACCCTCATCCCACCCTCCACCCTCAAGTAGTCCCCAGTGACTATTGTTCCCCTCTTTGTGTCCATGTGTACTAAATGTTTAGCTCCCACCTATCGGTGAGAACACATAGTATTTGGTTTTCTATTCCTGTGTTAGTTCACTTAGGGCAATGGCCTCCAACTCCATCCACGTTGCTGCAAAGGACATGATCTCGTTCTATTTTATGGCTGTGCAGTATTCCATGTTGCCTACGTACCACATTTTCTTTATCTAGTCTACCACTAATGGGCACCTAGGTTGATTCCATGTCTTTGCTATTGTGAATAGTGCTGAGATAAACATATGCGTGCATGTGTCTTTATGGTAGAATGATTTATATTCCTTTGGGTATGTACCCAATAATGGGATTGCTGGGTCAAATGGTAGTTCTGTTTTAAGTTCTTTGGGAAATCACTTTATACTACAAAAAGAACAGCCCTGTGGCAGAGATCAACCCTAAGCTTCAGAACATATCTTTTCAAGCAGATTCCGTGTCCCCTTTTCATTTGTCCACAGGATGCTCCCAAGTGCTGTTAATATACCACACCAGAAAGAGAATCTTAATAAATTCATAAAAGCTAATGTGGTCCAGGCAGCATTTTATCACTAATTTATAGTTGGTGCATCAATTCAGAATGACATCAAAATAAAAAATGTATGAGACAAACAAATACAAGTAATAAGAAACTCTGTCTGGTATAAATATCGGATGTAAGAGGAAATCATAATTGTAATAAGCATTAATTAGAATATAGTACATTACTAAACTACTAGAAAACATGGCAATACTAAAGTTATGGGATGTAGCCAATGCCTTACTCAGAAGGCAAATTTATAATTTTAAATGTTAACTGTTTCCCCTATTAATAATAGAGAAGAAAAATAATTGGATGAAACAAAAACAAACAAAAAAACCTGTCTTTATCCAGTGTTAGACCCCTGAACTCACTACTTGAAAACCCAATTGCTCATTTGAAAAAAACAAAAAAAAAATGAAGTACCGACACACACTAATATGTGGATAAACTTTGAAGAAGTTATGCTGAGTGAAAGAAGGACACATGGTGTATGATTCTATTTACAAGAAATGTCCAGAAGAGGCAAATTCATGGAGTCAAAAAGTAGACTCATGGTTTTCAGGGACTTGGGTGGGTGAGAGAAAGAGGAGAGAATTTTTTTTTTTTTTTTTTTTTTTTTTTTGAGACAGAGACTTGCTCTATTACCCAGGCTGGAGTGCAGTGGCATGATCACACCTCACTGCAGCCTCCACCTCCCCGGGCTCAGGTGATCTTCCCACCTCAGCCTCCTGAGTAGCTGGACGACAGGTGTGCATCACCATGCACAGCTAACATATATATATATATATATATATATATTTTTTTTTTTTTTTTTTTTTTTGAGACAGAGTCTTCCTCTGTCGCCCAGGCTAGAGTGCAGTGGTACAATCTCGGCTCACTGCAAGCTCTGCCTCCCGTCTTCACGCCATTCTCCTGCCTCAGCCTCCCGAGTAGCTGGGACTACAGGCTCCCGCCACCATGCCCAGCTAATTTTTTTGTATTTTTGGTAGAGACGGGGTTTCACCGTGTTCGCCAGGATGGTCTTGATCTCCTGACCTCGTGATCTGCCCGCCTCAGCCTCCCAAAGTGCTGGGATTACAGGCGTGAGCCACCGCGTCCGGCCGTACTTTTTGTAGAGACAGTGTCTCACTGTGTTACCCAGGCTGGTCTCAAACTCCTGGAATCAAGCCATCCGCCCACCTTGGCCTCTCAAAGTGTCAGGATTATAGGCACGAGCCATCGCACCCAGTCCATATTACTAACTTTGAAGTTGTAACTTTTAATAGATATGAGGCTTCTTTGTGCTGTTATAAAAGTATTTTGCAATTGGATAGTGGTGACATTGCACAATTACGAATATACTAAAAGCCACGGAGTTGTGCTCTTTAAAAGGGTGACTATTATGGTATATAATTTTATTTCACACACACAAAGATAATTCCACATCAGGTGTGGTTGCCATTAGAATTTTCTACTATACGCAGCAACATGGATGGAGCTGAAGGACATTACCTTAAGTGAAACAGCTCAGAAACAGAAAGTCAAATACTGCATGTTCTTACTCATAAGTGGGAGGTAAATAATGTGTACACTTGGATATAGAGAGTGGAATAATAGACACTGGAGACTCAGAAGGGTGGGAGGGTCAGGGAGGGATAAGCGATGAGAAATTACTTATTGGGTATGATGTACATTATTCAGGTGATGGATACACTAAAAGCCAAGAGTTCACCACTAGGCAATATACAGATGTAATAAAAGTGCACTTGGACCCCTTAAATTTATACAAATACAAAAGAAAAACGAGTTTATATATCCAGCTTAAAAATAAGAAGAATATGCTGCCATGGTTAATATACCCAATAGTGGGGGAGATTAGTTCTATTTAGCAATATATAAGGGATTTTCTCTGAAAACCATCTTTTGTCATAGAGACATCATTGCAGACATTGGTTGAAAACTTCCTATGAACCTGGATATTCCTTCATACTGTGCTATAAAACAAAATAAAAAATAAAAAGCCTACTAAAAAGAGTTGAGCTAAGGACCTGAGCTCTATCCTGAGAAAGACTATCCTGAGAAAGTCATACTTATTAGGTTGGCCCAAGACTGCCATTTAAGAACTTGGACTTAGGGAACTTCCCGCTACCCTAACTGATAAGCATGGCTCATGATGTCTACACTACACCCCAAAAATGTAATTTGGGGAGAACACCTGCTTTCTTTCCAGATGGCTGAAATTTCGGTAGATGTCTTTGTGAAGATCCCCCCCATAAAAATCCTGGGTACTGAGTCTCCAAGGGCATTCCCTGGTAGAGAGCATTTCAAACGCTTTGTCAAAATTCATCACTGGAGGAATTAATCACATCCTCTGTGACTCCAGTGAGAGAGAATTTCCTTGGAAGCTTGCACCTGGTTTCCTGTGGCATTCACCTCATTTGCTATTTCCTTTTGCTAATTTTTCTTGCTATATTTTGCTTACATAAATCATAGCTTAGAGTATGATTATCTGCTCAGTCTTTTGAGTTATTCTAGTAGATCATCAAATCTGGAGGTGGATTTGGAGATATGTGAGCACACCAACCTTCCCATAAGTGGGGTTTGTAAAACTGTCTTAAAAAGCCTCGTGAAGTTTGTGAACACAGGAGATAGGAGATATCAAAAAACGGCGTATTTCTGATCTCATCTGTAGACTTCGTATGCTCTGTTCTTGGAGGATATGAGCTATCATTGCTAAAAACATTCTGCACGAAGAGCATTTTAGTAGAAAAAATAGAAATGTTGGCTGGGTGCTGTGGCTCATGCCCCTAATCCCAGGACTTTGGGAGGCTGAGGTGGGAGGATTGCTTGAGCCAAGGGGTTTGAGACTAGCCTGGGCAATAGAGCAAGACCCTGTCCCTACAAACAATTTTTTAAAATAGCTGGGCACAGTGGTGTGTGCCTGTGATTCCAAGAACTTGGGAGGCTGAGATGGAAAAATTACTTGAGCTCAGGAGTTTGAGACCAGCCTGGGCAACATAGAAAGAACCCATCTCTACAAATAATAATAATAATAAAATAGCCTGGTGTGGTGGCGTGTGCCTCTGGTTCCAACTACTCAGGAGGCTGAGGTGGGAAGATCAGTTGAGCCCAGGAAGTTGAGGCTGCAGAGAGCTATGATCACATCATTGCTCTCCAGCCTGGGTGACAAAGCAATACCCTGTATCAAGGAAAAAAAAAAATGGAAAGAAAAGAAAAAAGAAAAAGAACAGATATATTAAAAGAAAGTATAAAATTGATCTCTTATAAACAAAACAATGACAGAAAACTGTTTTGGTTTTTAATTTCATAGGCTTTCCTTGTTACTTCTTCATTAGTAAAAGCCACATTCCCTGGCCAGTCAACCAGTGTATATGCGTTCTTTCATCATTAAATAGTTGACTTATCTGCTATTTTCAAGATAAAGTTTCACATTTTCTGTGTGAAAACTTTCCACGAAATCTCACCAGGGCTATATTTATCAGAGGACACAAGTAAGTTGGGGTGAGGTTCATCTTTTTCTTGCTTCTTCCCAAGAAAGGTAAATGACAAGTCAGCCCAAACATATATGAAGAGCCAGGCTGATTTATAAGAGAACATGGACTCCCCAGACAGTTCTGTAGTGACAGTGATCCCAGCTGCGATAAACCTGCCTGGCATTTTATAATACATTCCTGGAAGTAAGATTTTTTTCCCTCAAATAAAAATTGGCCTTTACTAACTTTGAAGTTGCAATTATATAGGACACGGTCTCCCCTGATTGGTGACAATAGATTAATGATCTGTCCTTAGAAACTGTCTTCAATAACCAAAGTGGTGAACTTCTTGGTATGTATCCAAAGGAAGATAAATCATTATATCAAAAAGACAACTGCACTTGCATGTTTATTGCAGTACTATTCACAAATGCAAAGATATGGAATCAACCGAAGTGCCCATCAACAGAGGGCTGGATAAAGAAAACGTGGTACATACACACTGCAGAAAACTACTTGGCCATACAAGAGAATGAAATCATGTCTTTTGCAAAATAAATGGAACTAGAGGCCGTTCTTCTGGGTAAAATAACTCAGAAACAGAAAGTCAAATACCACATATTCTCACTTATATGTGGAGCTAAACAATGAGTCCACATGGACATAGAGAGTGGAATAACAGAAACTGGTGAATCCAAAGATGGGAAGAGTGGAAGGGGAGTGAGGGTTGAAACATTACCTAGTGGGTATAATATTCACTGTTTAGGAGATGGGTTCACTAACAGCCCAGACTTCACCAGTATGCAATGTATGCATGTCAGAAACCTGCACTTGTACCCATTAAATATGTAAAATAGTAATAATAATAGTTATTTTCAAAGGATGAAGGAAAACTGCTGAATGATTGGCAATCCCTTCATTCTGCATTTGTTTGGTAAATATTCACGGAGGGCCTACCATAAGCCATGGAGGGCCTACCATAAGCCAAGCACTGCATCCTGTACTAGGAAGCAAGGAAACGAAGCTGAGTGAGACCATGGAATACTACACAGCCATAAAAAAGAATGAGATCATGTCCTTTGCAGGGACATGGATGGAGCTGGAGGCCATTGTCTTTGCCGAACTAATGCAGTAACAGAAAACCAAATAAAACAAATACCGCATGTCCTCACTTATAAGTGGGGGCTAAATTATGAGAACACATGGACCCAAAGAAGTAAACAACAGACACTGGGACCCACAAAAGGGTGGAGGGTGGGAGGAGGGAGAGGAGCAGAAAATATATGAATTGGGTACTAGGGTTAATGCTTGGGTAATGAAATAATCTGTACAACGAATCTTGATGACATAATTTTACCTATGTAATAAATGTGTTGTATTAGTCTGCTTTCACATTGCTGTAAAGATACAACTCGAGACTTGGTCATTTATAAAGAAAAGATGTTTAATCGACTCACAGTTCTGCATGGCTGGGGAGGCCTCATAAAAGTCACAATCATGGCAGAAGGGGAAGAGGCATGTCTTACCTGGTGGCAGGTGAGAGAGTGTGAGGAACGAAGGGGGAAAAGCACCTTACAAAACCATCAGATCTCATGAGAACTCACTCACTGTCATGAGCACAGCATGGGGGAAACCACTCCCATGATCAAATCACCTCTACCTGGTCTCTCCCTTGATACATAGGGATTATGGGAATTTTAATTCAAGATGAGATTTGGGTGGGGACACAAAGCCTAACCATATCACCTGCACTTGTACTTTTGAATTTAATGTAAAAGTTAAAAGAAAAGTTGATCTCATAGAATTAAAAACTAGACCAGAGGATACTACAGCCTGGGAAGGGTGGTGGGAAGGAGGAGATAGGGAGAGATTAGTTAAAGGATACAAAATTACAGCCAGATAAGAGGAATACGTTCTGGTGGTCTATACCACTGTAGGATGTCTACAGTTAACAATATATATGTTTTTATTCAGCTAGAAGGAGAATATTGAATGTTTCCAACACCAAGAAATGATAAATATTCAGGATGATGGATATGCTAATTACCCCAATCTGATCACTTTACATTATATGTATTGCAACACCACTGTGTATCCCATAAATATGTTCAATTATTATGTCAATTAAAAAATAAAAGGAAAAAAAACAAAGATGAGTGAGAAATACTTCCTGCCTATAAAGATGTTACAACATTTTATATTTACTGGGGGGGATGGGCAAACATGAAAATCACTCCATTGCAGGTGAGTGCATGCAGAAAACTCTTGGCGTCTTGTTTCACAACACAGGATGTTGTGAAAAGCAAAAGTTGTGTTCAATTTGTGGAAAGTTATATTCAATTTGTGGAAAGCTGTGTTCAATTTGTGGAAAGTTGTATTTTATTTGTTTGGGGTGTGCCCAAGACCAACCCATGCTCAAAAATTTGTGAGAAGTAGTTAGAGTTAAGACTCATTACAGCAACACAGTAATGATACTCAGCCACATCATTAAGGGAAAAAGACACTGTCATAGTTTGAAGAAATCCAAGCACAGGCTTCTTAGGAGTAACAGTAACAAAAACAGTCATGCCCAAAGAGTGTTTCTACCCATCAGGGACTCCACAACCAAAGATTTTATTAGCGGCTGGTCACATAGGCACCCTCTGCTTACCACCTTCCTAAATACCAGACTCCTGGAAGGAAAGCAAATTTGCACCATAAATTACAAAAGAGCAGACATGAAAGTGTGGTAACCATTGTGCTCCAACTGACTTAACTGGTCACCATCTGTTGAGGGTTGAATGCTGCTTCCTACAACAAGGTTTTCCCCTCCTCTCAACAAGCCGTATTCTGTTTGGACGTCACCGGTGAACTTCTTCCCCCAGGTGACTCCTGCTAGAATTCGTAGGTCCTCTTAGCCTTTCCATCTCCCAGGAGGATATCTGTGACCCCGGTTTGAGTTAGGAGTGCCGCTGTGAATTCAATTGCATTGGAGCTCACTGTATCATAGAAAGGTGCATTGTGCGAGAAGAATTGCAGAACATCTCGCCTTTATAACAGTGGATTGCCTTTTCACAAACTAAAACAGTTGGAGAGGAAAGACTGTTTATTCTCACTCTTTCCTCAGTGGGCAGTTAGATGCCTGACCTAGAGAGCAGTCTCCAAATAATAGTCTGTATAATGATACTGAATGAGGGGAGAGAACCTTTGAGTCACGCAGAAACAGGGCTGTTTGCATCCATGGGGAAGACTCACTCACCAAGGCACCCGCATGTCTACGGTTAACAGATATTAAAGGTCCCTGGCTTCCATCTCATGCACCATTTGGTTTTCTGTGGGAAGGCAAATCTACATTTGACCCTCTGATTGTTGCAATTTAAGTATCCTTTGACCTAACCTGGAGATGATTCCCTCCTCCAGCCCTCTGGGTAAAGAATACTTAATTAGCAGTCTCCTAAAATAGCATAAGACCAATGAGAAGGGAACAATACCCCAATTTAAGTAGAGGAAAGATGTAATAGGGATGAAGATGTGGTGGGACAAACCGAGAAAGAGGAGAGATACTTCGTCATTGAGGTGGAGTCAACTTTATGATAGAAGATGCTGAGATCGTAGAGGGTGATCAAGGTCACGACCACAGCAGAGGGCTGGCCATCCTGATAGGGAAACTCTAGCATGTATTTGAGACATGACTGAAGCCCTCTGTGAGTGTTGTTGTAATGGAAGCAGCTCAGAGATATGGGGATACCAGAGACCCTGCTGGATGGATGTCCTCACTTGCAAAAGGTTAGTTATTGCTGGAATCGTTTTCACTTCTGTAAATCAGCATACCCAAAATATTGCGTATTGAGTTATGAGTCTAGCTTGCATCTAAGGTGATCATTTTAAAAAATTAAGTATATCAAGCAGCATTTTAAAATGTATAGGAAGAATCTAGTTTAAAAAAATATGGTAGTGCATTCTTCTGTCAATGAAACAATCTTTTTTTGTACAAATTTATGAGGTAGAGGTGCCTTTTGTTACATGCATAGATTGCACAGTGGTCAAAACAGGACTTTTAGGTTATCTATCATCTAATCAACATACATTGTACCCATTAACTAATGTCTCATCATTCACTCCTCCCTCCCACCCACTCACCCATTCGCATCTCTATTGTTTGTCATTCTACTCTCTATGTCCATTTGTACACATTATTTAGCACCCACTTGTGAGTGAGAATATGTAGTATTTGACTTTCTGTGCCTGGTTTGTTTCACTTAAGATAGTTACCTCCAGTTTCATCCATGTTGCTGCAAAAGAAATAATTTCATTCTTTTTTATGGCTAATAGTATTCTGTGGTGTATATGTACCACATTTTCTTTTTCCAGCCTACTATTGATGGACACTTAAGTTGATTCCCTACCTTTGCTATTGTGAATAGGATTGCCACAAACATGTGAGTATAGGTTTATTTTTAATATGATGACTTATTTTCCCTTGAGTACATATCCAGTAGTGAAATTGCTGGATCAAATGGTAGTTCTAATTTTAGTCATTTGAGAAATCTTCATATTGATTTCCATAAAGGTTGTATTAACCAACAGTATTTAAGCATTCCCTTTTCTCTGTATCCTCATCAACATCTGTTATTTTTGATCTTTTTAATAATAGCCTTTCTGAGTGGGGTAAGATAAAATCTCATTGCGGTTTTAATTTGGATTTCCCTGATGATTACTGAGGTTGAGCAGAAATAATCTTTTGCAATTAAAAGTAGAAACTTCAATTTGTTTTTTTGAAATTAGTATTTTTATGGGGTCAATGTGTGTGATGTAGCTAGAATTAAAAATGAAAAAGAGACATAATAACAAGTGTTGGAAAGGGTAGAGAAAAAGATGGAACTTTCCTGCACTACTGTTGGGAGCCTTCATACACTACTGATAGAACCTTCCTACACTACTGATGGAACTTTCCCACACTACTATAAAAAGACACAGCCATTTTGGAAAACAGTCTGGCAGTTCCTCAAAATGTTAAATGTAGAGTGACTCTTTGACTCCATCTATTCCACTCCTATGTATATACTCAAAATAAATGAACGTACAGGGCCACACAATAACTGGTATACAAATGTGCATACAGCAGTATTCATAATCGCCAAACAATTGTAAACCACACGCATGTCCATCAATGGATGAATACACAAACATTCGCGTGTTTATCTATTCAAAGGAGTGGCCAACCCATACAGAGGAGTAATATTTGGCCATAAAAAGAAATGAAATTCTGACATAGACTACAACACGGTTATACGTTGAAAACATCATGCTCAATGAAAGAAACCAGACAGGCAATGCCACATGTTATATGATTCCATTTACATGACATGCCAAGACTAGGTAAATATATAGACAGAATATAGATTAGTGGTTGCCAGGGATTGGAGACAGAGGTAATGGGAAGTAAATGTTTAACAAATATGAGGTTTCCCTTTTGGGGTGATAAAAATGTTCTGGAATTAGAGGTGATGGTTGCATGACTCTGTGAACATACAAAGAACCACTAAATTGGACACATTAAAAGAGGGAACTTTAGGATATGTGAGCAATATCTCACTAAAACTCAGTAAATCAATTATAAGGCAGAGTGTTCTTATGGAAAAAAAAAGATCTAGGTCTAAAACAGCTACAAACATGGTAACTAATTTATCCCACTTAAGCCATTAATTTCCTCATGTAATAATGTAAAATTACAAATGATTTTTTAAAAAATCTGAAGCATAATCTCGTAGCAATTCGGGTTTTTTCCTCATTTTTCTGCTACGTAGATACCTTAGTGTATGATAAAGCTGAAGGGAATTATCAATTAATCAAACTTATATGGATTATGAAGAAAAATTTGTGTTTATATTAGTATTTCCCTTAGTGACCAGCTAATGTGATTTGGACACCACACCATTTACTCTTCAAGGCTCCTTATAATTATAAAAGCCTATAAAAGGCAAATTGATTGATAAATAAATTTCAGTAATTCAATGAAAGGAGAAATTACAGGGTCAATAGACAGGTGGCATTGGTCTTCATTACATTTGCAGCCAATAAGTCTTCATATAATCAGAGGACAATATGGTGACCTTGAATAATCAGATGGTGGCATTAAGAAACATCCTCAGAAGCATTTGCAGAACACAAGTCTCATGCCTGACCTCCTTCCTCATACATTATGCAGAATCCACAAATGTCCACCTGTTCTCTTTGAAATAAGACACTTTATTCATTTAATGGTCGCCATTTCTAAAAGAGACAAGAGAAATTTGAAAGTCAACAGCCAAACTAAACAACAGCACAAGGAAATTACCAGACATCCAGAGGAGATATAATTTTGCAGGAAAAGGGACCTGGAGGCTTCAGTGGGGTGCAAGGGTGGAGAGGTAGATGGGCAGATGAATAGAACTGTGGATGGCTAGAACAATTGACAGATAGAATGACATAATGATAGAATAGTAGAACAACAGATGGATAGAAAGAGATTTAGTTTAAGTATTGGCTCATGCAATTATGGAAGCTGAGAAGTCCCACAATGTGCTGTCTGCAAGCTGGAGACCCAAAAAAGCCAGTGGTGTCATTGAAGAAGGTCTGAGAGCTGGAGAGACAATGGTGTAGATTCCAGTCCAAGTCTGAAGACCTGAGAGCTGGGAGCACTCAGGGCAGAAGATAAATGTCCCAGCTCAGCAGTGAGGAAGAAAGAGGGAGAGTCAGCCTTCCTCCACCTTTTTTATCTCTTCTGGCTTTCAGGGGATTAAATGATGTCTGCCCACATTGTGGAGGTTTCATCTGCTTTAATCTATGGATTCAAATACTAATCTCTTCTGGAAACACCCTTACAGACACACTAAAAAATAATGTCTAATCAGGGATCTTGGCATTCCATGACCCAGTCAAAGTGACAGCTAAAATGCGTCATTAAAGGAGCATTCCTGAGATCCCAGGATATAGATGTAGGCATGCTTTTAAAACAAAATTATTTTTACTTTAAATTCGGGGATACATGTGCAGGTTTGTTACATGGGTATATGGCATAATGCTGGGGTTTGGACTTCTAGTGAACCCATCACCCAAATAATGAACATTGTACCCAATAGATAATTTTTCAATGCTTAACTTTCTCCCACCCTCTCCCTCTTTTCGAGTCCCCAGTGGTTTTGTTTTTGTTTTTCTATTTTTCTTTTCTTTTTTTTTAAGAGACAAAATTTCACTCTATTGCCAGACCATTTTCCTTTTCTTTTTCTTTCTTTCTTTTCTTTTCTCTTTCTTTCTTTCTTTTTTTTTTTTTAAGACAGGGTCTTGATCTGTCACCCAGGTTGGAGAGCAGTGGTGCAATCACAGCTCACTGCAGCCTGGAACTCCTGGGCTTAAACAATTCTCCTGCCTCAGCCTCTCTAGCAGCTGAGACTACATGCAGATGCCATCATGCATGGCTAACAGGCATGCATTTTATCTGTCCAGAATCTTAGCCAGGGTTATGAACGCAGCTTTAAGGATATGCTGTTATCTTCGTTTACATTCTGAGAATTCATGTCACTCAGCCAGATGAGAGCCCTGCCCCATCCTTCCTCCTCCTGCTCTGCGCTTTCTTCTTCCCTTTCCTCTTACTCTGAAGGCAATTGACAGTCTCCAACTCCTTTTCCCTTGTAACCATGTTCTGCATCCCCTGGGACACCTGCAGCAAGCAGAAAATAGCAACGGTGCAGACATCTCAGTAAGTCTGTGTGTTGTGTTCACTCAAGTCTGTGTACTGTGTTCACTCAACTATTTAGTTCTCCAACCAAGCACTTCCATCCTTTAAAAAAATTGAATTTTCTTTCATTAATTCATACATTCAAGAACTATTTCACAGGTTCTGAACTTAGCTGTCAGGATACAAATGTGTTCAGATTCTATTTAAGAATTCCTAAGCTTTGTCTTTTAGATTTTTTTGTATTACTTCAATCTCTCATGTTCTTTTACAGACAGTAAGCTACATATTCTATCTCCATTTCTTCAAATAAAAAGGGTGTGTGGTTTAACTCATGCATCACCACCACCTTTTGGGAAAAGAGCAGAACTGATATTAAAGGGCTGAGGCTGTGCTTCCTAAAAAAAAAAAAACAACTCAAGGTTATCTCTCTATGCCCTCCTATGTTCCAAACTTGCCTGAGGGTTTGTCTGAGGCCAAACTTCCAAATGGATTTATGGCATCAAAACAAAACAAAACAAAACAAAACAAAAACAAGTAGATCCAATGTGGTTAAAATTGTTGGCTGTTATATTTGAGGAGTGCCAGGACGTTTGTGCATGGAACATCTGACACAAGATGATCCCATATTCCCACAGACATCACAGACTCACCTAAGGGAAAGGAAGATTTAAGAAGCTTAGTGGTCGAGAATAAAGGTCAGCCCAGGTGGACCTGCATGGACCAATTCTTGGAACAAATGGAAATAACAACAGTTATATGAATACCAGCAATACATAGATGATAACACAGATGCCTGGATACCACCACGCCCTATCTGTACTCCTTGGTCCAACACAAACAAAGCCTACCAACCTCCTTCTTCCCAAGAATATACAGCACCCATGGAAAAGACGGTCCCCTGACTTGTGTCTGCATTTCACCAATACAAACACATTCTGTTCTTTATAAACTCAGTGTATTAGCTCATTCTTGCATTACTATAAAAAAATGCTTGAGACTGGGTAATTTATAAAGAAAAGAGGTTTAATTGGCTCACAGTTCTGCAGGCTGTATAGGAAGCATGGTGTCAACCTCTGCTTCTGGAGAGGACTCAAGAAGCTTATAATTATGGTGCAAGGAGAAGGGGGAGCAGGCCCTTCACATGGCAGAAGTTAGGAGAAAGAAAGAGAGCGAGAGAGAGAAAGAGAGAGAGAGAGTTGGAGGGTGCCACATGCTTTTAAACAATCAGGTCTCACAAATCTCACTCACTATCATGAGGACAGCAACAAGAGGATGGTGCTAAGCCATTCATGGGAAATTCGCCCTTATGATCTAGTCTCCTCCCACCAGGCCCCCCTCCAATACTGGGGATTACAAATTAACATGAGATTGGGGCAGGGACAAAGATCCAAGCTATATCACTCAGGTTCTTCTGCATGAGAGCAAGACTCACTGTAGATTGTACGAAGGGCTGCAATTTATTCCTGTCTGAGTCCACAACAGCATCTGGGAGAGAGGTACTTATTTTGCTGGAGCACACTCAGGAAGACTGCCTCAAATGATGTTCCCAAGAGGCTCGAAGTACACTGTCAACTGCATGTCATGAGATGCTTCCCTGGTGAAGGATGAGTTCCTCGGGGTATTAAATTTAAAAGGTGAATCCAGGGATAAAAATGGAAAGAAATATTATTGGAGATTGTGTCTTGGCTAGGGGTATAAATATAACTTTTAGCCATGGAGAAACATGACGCTTTGTGTGTAGAAATGATCAGATCTTTATACTAAATCTGAAAATTAAAACTGTGCCCCGTTCTATTTCCCCTGCCTCTTCAGCCTCAACAGCACGAGAAGAAACATCTTTAGATACAATCCTGATAACCCCACGTCTACTCCCCTTCCACCATCCACTTGCCAAATATACCATCCATCTCTTCCTATGTTCCACTGTATCAGGATCTAATGAATATTGAATATTGTATTATTACAATAAAGTATGCTAGAGAAAAAAAAATGTTATTAAAAAAATCCTAAGGAAGAGAAAATATATTTACTATTCATTAACTGGAAGTCGATCATCATAAAGGTCTTCATCCTTATCGTCTTCAGGTTGAGTAGGCTGACGAGGACGACAAAGAGGAGAGGTTGGTCTTGCTGTCTCGGGACTGGCAGAGCCAAAATAAAATCCACAAAATCAAACTTGCGTTGTTTAAGGGTCAACCACATCTGCCTTCCAATACACTTGGTAGAAAAAGTTCATCTTTCTCTTAGATTTTCTCACTTATTGTCTAGCGATGGGAAGAACTTCATCTTTCTGTTAGAGTTTCCCACTTAGTTTATCCAGTGGTAGGGCAGAAACATCCTTCTATTTTGTCCAGGTTATCAGCCTTTTGAAGGGTTTTCTTCCAAACCTTTTTTTAATGGCTTTTTTTAAAATATTGTTTTATTTCTAATATATTTAGGGGGGTACAAGTGCAGGTTTTTTACATGCATATATTGCATAGTGGTGAAGTCTAGGTTTTAGTGAACCCATCATTCATATAGTGAACATTGTACACGTAGGTCATTTTTCAACACTTTCTCCCCTGCCACCCTCCCCTTTTTTGGAGTCCCCAGTGTCTATTGTTTCCATCTATATGTCCAAGCATACACATTTTTTAGTTCCCACTTATAAGTGAGAGCATGTGGTATTTTATTTTCTGCTTCTGAGTTAATTCACTTAGGATAATGGCCTGCAGGTTCACCCATGTTGCTGCAAAAGACATAATTTCATTCTTTTTATGGCTAAGTAGTATTCCATAGTGTATATGCACCACGTTTTCTTTATACAATCCTCTGTTGATGGACACTTACGTTGATTCCACATCGTTGCAATTGTGAATAGTGCTATGATAAACACACAAGTGCAGGTGTCTCCTTGATAGAATGATTTCTTTTCCTTTGGATACATATAGCTAGTAGTGGAATTGCTGGATCAAACTCTGGTTCTATTTTTAGTTCTTTGAGAAATCCTCATACTGTTTTCCAGAAAGGTTCTAACACTTTGATGTGGTTTGTCTGTGTCCCCACCCAAATCTCGAATTGTAGCTCCCATAATTTCCACGTGTAATGGGAGGGACCGGGTGGGAGGTAATTGAAACATGAATGTGGGTCTTTCCAATGCTGTTCTTGTGACAGTGAATATGTCTCACGAGACCTGATAGTTTTATAAAGGGGAGTTCCCCTGCACACACTCTCTTGCCTGCTGCCATGGAAGACATGACTTTGCTCCTTCACCTTCTGCCATGACTGTGAGGTTTCCCCAGCCATGTGGAACTGTGAGTCCATTAAGCCTCTTTCCTTTATAAATTAACCAGTCTTGAGTATGTCTTTATTAGCAGTGTAATAACAGACTAATATGCCCTTGATTGAATATCTGAGCAATTCTCTCACCAGCCAGCTGGATTCACTATTCTCCACTCTCTTCCATGTGTGCAGAGCCCCAGTCCTGCCTTGTGCTGCACTCATCAGTCTCTGTACACACACCCAAAAGGATGAATAGTTAAGAAAATCTAACATTGTGCAGACTGGGATACAAGAAAAAAAGTCCACTTACCATTGCTCTTCGACCTGACTGTTTCTGTCTGGGTAGCTTCCTCTCTCACGTTCCTCAATGATCCTTCCACTCTAGAACCATTCCTTCAAACCCCACAGAAGCCCTGCTAGCCTCTCCCTGGAACCGTTCCCATTTTAGGATTTCTTACACTGCAACCTGTTATTCCTATCACATAAGGCATCTCGTTACAATGTAGAATCCATTTCACAATCCCAGTTGGAGCTAGAGGTTCACCATGTCTAGCAAACTCTCCCATGGTTACATGATGCGTGTCTGTTTTCCTTGAACTTCTCCCCTCCACTTTTTTCAAGTGTTTCTTCTCCATTTATCAAACCCAAGCTGGTGTTTTCTGTCATTGCGTCTGTTGATTTTCTCCATTTATCTAACTTTACTTGCTGGTGTTTTCTGTGTCATGGGGTCCACTGATTTCTTCACTTTACCTTGTTCCCTAGGCTGTCACAGCATGCACACTTTTTGTTTCACTTACCAGCTCTGTGCCTCTTTCATATCTACATCATGGATGCACTTCCACTAGCTTCACTCTCATATCTCCAACCACATACCTGTGATGCCTTCCTGGATATACACAGACACTCAAAGTCAGCAAGGTTACAACACACTCAGCATGTCTCTGCCTAAGTGGTTCGTCCACCTGCATTTCTTCCTTTCATGTGCTGTACCAATCACTCACACTGGAAAATCTGATTATCAACCTTATCTTCTTTTCCCTTTAAGCCAGGGGTCCTCAAACCCCGGGCCATGGAATGGTACTGGTCTGTGTCCTGTTAGGAACCGTGCCACATAGCAGGAGGTGAGCGACAGGCTAGCGAGCGAAGCTTCATCTGTATTTACAGCCTCTTCCCATCACTCGCATTACCACCTGAGCTCTGCCTCCTGTCAGATCAGCAGTGGCATTAGATTCTCATGGGAGCACAAACCCTATTGTGAACTGAGCGTGTGAGGGATCTAGACTGTGTGCTCTTTATGAGAATCTAATGCCTGGTGATCTGTTACTGTCTCCCATTACCCCAGATGGGACCATCTAGTTGCAGGTAAACAAGCTCAGGGCTCCCACTGATTTCACACGATGCTGAGTTTGAGTTGTACAATTATTATATATTATGATGTAATAATAATAGAAATAAAGTGCACAATAAATGGCATGTGCTTGAATCATCCCGGAACCATCCTCCCCACCACCAGTCCGTGGAAAAATTGTCTTCCACTAAACCAGTCCCTGGTGCCAAAAAGGTTGGGAACTGCTGCCTGAAGCTTCTCCTCCCACATCCATCACCTCCCCCAATCAATGGCCATATTCTGGTGATTGAAACTGCTAAATATTTCCTGAAAATCTCACCACTCTCCTCTGGTTTACTTGTTTTGTTCATGCCCCTGTCTTCTCCTGGCTTGCCTATTACAAAGTTGTCTACGTGAGTCTCTGCCCTTAGGTTAATGACATCAAACCTACCCTCTATTCAGAAGACACTCCTGAAAACATGCATGATCACTTAACTCCTTCCAGCTCTTCAGTGGCTTACCATCGCCTGCAGGATGTCATAAAAACTAATTAACACGCTAGACCAAGCTGTGAAAGCCTCATTTCTCCATACTCCCTGCCTCTTAACTTTATGCTCTGACTACTTTCTACTCCAAGGGTGGTCCATGAATGGGTAGCATCAGTCTCAGCTTGGAGCTTGTTAGAAATGAAGAATCAAAGACACAACCCCAGACACAGAGAATTGGAACCTGCACTAAGCAGAATCCCAGAGGACTGAAATGCTCAAAGCATGGTAGAAAAGTGCTGCTCTAACACGGAATTTCCAAATCTAGATTCCATGACACACTCTTCCAGGAGAAACTCATTAATTCATTAAGCAATCGGTACACCTACATTTATTTATTTATTATTAGGAAAAAAATCTGTTTCTACTCTAGTTTGAGAGAGGATCTCGCTCTGTTGCCCAGGGTGCAGTGGCGCAATCATGGCTCACTGCAGCATTGACCTTCTGGGCTCAAGCAATTCTTCTACCTCAACCCCCTGAGTAGTTGGTACTTATAGTCATGCACACAGCTACTTTTAGTACTTTTTGTACAGATGGGGTTTTGCCATGTTGTCCAGGCTGGTCTCAAACTATTAATTGTGCTGAATTTAGTTTCTCTGTTTGCTTCCTTTTTGTCTTTTATAAATTTTTGAACTGATTATTTTCTTTGTTCTCTCCAGGAGGAGATTAGCTATTTACATATCACTGGTTTTGTTTCCCAACAGAACCAGCCCCTCAATTGATCAGAATGTTATTATATTTACAAATTATTTTCTTCCTGTCTCTTTAATAATATTTTGTTTTCTTTTAAACAAATTGAGTATAATTTATTAGTTTAATATGTGTTTATTATTAAAGGTGTCTACATTTGGAAATGTCTCTTGGGCTTTATTTATACTACAGTTTTAGACATGTAATATTTTATATATTTTATCCAGATGGTTTGAGATTAAAGTTTTGATGTCTCAGCTTAAAATTAATTTGCTGATTTGAAAATAAACAAATTCATGTGGTCCACAATTTTCCTATATTCATAGTCCTTTTATACTTTGTCACAGAATTCAGTTTAAGCAATTATAGTTTGAAATATAGACTCTTTGTGGACTAATATATGGCTAAATTTTATAAAGATTTTTGGTGTCTATATGATGAAAGATACTGTCTAATGGGGTGGAAAGGGATAATGTAGTAAAGTTTAAGTATTAGGATTATGTTAACCACATTAAAGGAGTTACATACATTCTCTTTATTCCGTAATCCTGTAACATAAAGTTTGTATAGATTTAGCATTGTTTCCATAGTAAATATTTGGTAGAATTTACTCGGAAAACAGTCAGGACCTGAAGTTTCATTTATGGGAAATGTTGAAACCCATGTTAAATTTTTGAGACCCATATTAGTATTGAAACTCATATTTAATTGAAATTTTCATTCTTTTTTTAAAACTAGATGTAGTACTGCCCAAATTTTCTATTGCTTCTTGTGCTGGTTTCACAGTGTTACGCTTTTCCAGGAATTTTTCCATTTCCTCTTAGTCATCAAATGTATAGTCATAAATTTAGTGGTAATATTCTCTTATTTCCCTTTCAGTGTCATTTCTTTTTATTATTCACTCTGGTAATCTGTGCTTTTAATTTGTCAGTCTCAGTCATGATTTATCAATTATAATCATCTCTTTGAATTTCTTTCCAATTTTTGTTTTCAATTTCAGTGAATGATGCTTTAATCATCACCTGTCCCAGTATAGACACAAAAATAATAAACATGGACAGAATATCCTGCTGTTTTATGACTAGTCTAAAGAACATGTTTGCGGAAAATTCTTCAAGATTCATGACATCAATGCTTCATCTCAACTGTGCTACTCGTTGGCATCGATGGGTCCAAACCTCCTAGAAAACGGTATTTGTAAATAATGCATTTTGGTAATTTTAGATGGCAAGGATGGGGATGCAGATCAATGGGTCCAATCCTCCTAGAAAACGGTATTTGTAAATAATGCATATTGGTAATTTTAGATGGCAAGGATGGGGATGCAGACAGAGTATTTCAGATGATGGGGATTTATGGAAGATATGTACAGGAAAGTTACAAACGATCAAACCTAAGTAGGACTCCCAGAAGTCCCCATAGTGCAAGGACACCTAGAATTTCAGGACAGCAGGGTTTCTTGGAGGCAGCACTACTGATTATTGACTCTGCTTTGTTGTAGGGAGTTAGCCAGGTGGATGCAGACTCATGACATGATTTGGTGATCCCAGCAGGGTCTGGATTGTCCCGATGGATTTGTCTACCATGTGTGAAGTGAAGAATGCATGCAGCCAAGCAGGGCAGCCCTCACTTGACCCCCTTAGAAGTGAGGGAGTCCGTGCAGTGGCCGAAGAGCACTGCAGGAGGTGCAGAAAAAATGGTGGGTAACTCCTTTACTCATTAGACAACTAGGGATGATTAATAGAATGTTCACAATAGTGGTTTTTACAGGAGAGGAAAAAAAAGTTTATACTATTTTGAGGGACATGTGTCTTTAAAATTTTTGGACTTACCACTCTGTCATTGATATTTTGGGGGATATCAAGAAAAGTCTTAGAAATTTAAAAAATGCTTAAAAATACATATATTATATGAATTTGTATTGTACATTAATAAAATTGATTTAATTAATATTTTATTTATTATGTGATATATACTTAAAATACATAAATTTCTGTATCTATATATACATACATAGATATAAATATAGATAGCTATAGATTAATATAGATGGATAGAGACACAATGTGGTAAACAGATAAAGTTTTAATTTTATCCTATATAAAGAGATTTTTGCCTAAATGAAATCAATTATCCAGAATAGTGCTTTTTGAATGGCTATTATTAAAAAGTCAAAAAAAAACAGATGTTGGTGAGGTTGTGGATAAAAGAGAATGCTTGTACACTGCCAGTAGGAATGTAAATTAGTTCATCTGCTTTGGAAAGCAGTTTGGTGATTTCTCAAAGAACTTAAAACAGAAAGACTATTTGACCCAGCTATCCCATTACTGGATATAGACCCAAAGGAAAATAAGTCCTTCTACCAAACAGACACATGCACTCACATGTTCACCGCAGCACAATTCACAATAGCAAAGACGTGGAATCAACCTAGGTGCCCATCAATGGTAGATTGAATTTTAAAAAATGAGGTGTCTATACAAGATGGAATACTACATAGCCTTAAGAAGAATGAGATCATATCTTTGCAACAACATGAACGCAGCTGGAGGCCATAATCCTTAGAAAATGAATGCAGGAACAGAAATCCAAAGGCTGCATGTTCTCACTTATAAGTGGGATCGAAACATTGAGCACACGTGGACACAAAGAAGGGAACAACAGACAGAAGGGTCTACTTGAGGGTGAAGGGTGGGAGGAGGGAGAGAATTAAAAAATTACCTATTGGATACCACGCTTATCACCCGGATGATGAAATAATCTGTACACCAAACCCCCGTGACCCACAATTTACCTACGTAACAGACCTGAATAGTGCTTCTCAACCAGCAATGTGAGAATGACTTACAAAACCTTTCTAAGTTTCCCCTAGTGAGCAAAAGTGCCACCAGTTCTGATCTACTGGTAAGAAAATGTCTATTTGTGGTATCATGTTATGCGAAAAATGTGATTACGACATGGAAAAATGAACCATGCACTCCATCCTGTGATTATATCTGACTTTAATAATGCCACCAAAATGACAATTTAAAGATGCTGCTCTGCAGAAGACCTCCAGAGGCATAGACCAGTGCTTTGCAGCATTATTTTAATGGATATAACAACTATTACTGAGCAATAAATACAAGCCAAATTTCCTTCCTTGTTGTTGTTTTTACTGAGGGAATAGGAATTCATAATAAATCTTGATTTACGAGTACATGTCAACATTTCAGTAAGTCATCAAATTCTTCAAACCTAGTATTTTAAAGGCTCACTGCCGCTCAGATCCAGTTGAATCCAGGCATCCATCTAGCATGAAGCTATATAAACAAAGTGGTGCAATTCGAGAAACTTCAAATTTGTGCTTTTCCATCTTTAAAGCAACTGCGACCAGGAACAAATGTATTATACTACTTAGACACCTAAAACATCATTTTCCTTTTTCCCAGGGGAAAAATAGACAATGAAAGTAAAGTAAAAAGAAATACAACTTTAAATAACTAATTATAAATGCTTTTATGATCTAAATTTAATTGTAGGCAGCTGCTTATATACATAAAGAACAGTACACTCAAATAATTCCTACCAGTCAATTTGTTAGTATACCAAGATAAGCTGCTTTTTTCTAGTGCCAGTTAGGGCTCCATCAAAGAACACATTTGTTTCCAGTTGAATTGAGAAAATTATAGCTTTTTGGGGGGAAGAAAATAACTGCCAAAATCCTGGTGTGCAGTGTGTGTCTGTGTGTGTCTGTTCACACTCAAATCTTCCAATGAGCTAATGTTTCTCATTAGTTTTTTTCCTTTTTAATTTTTGTGGGCACATAGTAGGTGTATATGTTTGTGTGGTATATGTGATGTTTTGAGCCTTATTACACAAATTCCTGAAGCTTGTTAGGTGAGCTGGTAATATAATACAGATACAGGTTATAGTTGTAAGCAAATAACCCCTTAATCACTCTCCTCCCGCTAAGTGATCTTTGCAACCAGCGTTCCCCATGGCATGTCTAAACATAGTGGACTTGCTTGGTTGTAGGACCAAGATACACTCCTGGGATAAATGTGGCCGAGTTGTATCTGCTGCCAGGGCTTTCAGATGGGTTGACCTGGCAATAGGTCCCCCCTGGGACTGATGATTAGGAAGAGTTAGTACCTGAAACGCAAGATGAGCTGTTACATTTGAATTTCAGATTCACGATTGGTTTTTTTCTTAGTGTAAGCATGTCCCATGCAATATCTGGGATATACTGATACTTTAAAAAATGTGTTCATTGTTTATCTAAAATTCAGCTGAGAGTCCTTGTTTTGTTATTGTTGTTATTGTTTTGTTTCTTAATAATCAAACAAAGTGCTGAGAATGGAGTTTGTTACCTGTGACTGGCTCCAAAGTCCCTGGAGGTCTGAAGTTTGCAGATCATCAGAGGTGACAGGATGGAGTGGACAGGCCAGTGATTCCCTTGAATGAGGAGAAGATATATTACATAGCTATCGACAAAACCGGAAGGCAAGTGGGGTTTCTGAGGACCTATTACAAATTATCTAGGCAAGTGGTTGCTCAACCTTTTAGGGCTGGCCATCCTTAAACAGAGGACCAACATAGAGCTGACGTAAGGTATCACTTACCTCTTTTAGGAGTAACATCTTAATGATTCTATTCATTGAACTAGGCTTTGTAAAATTGAATCACATCTGTTACAAGGATCTGGCAAATTCTGAAATTGGCTCCAAAACAAAAAGATCAGCAACAGTAGCATTTGTGTCACCCAAATCACCAGAAGTAGATCCAATTCACAAACTCTTTACTGTGTCTTAAAACAAACCAAATGAAACCAGTACGTCAAAGAGAGATCTGCACTCCCATGTTCATTGTGGCACTATTCACAATAGCCAAAATATGAAATCAACCTAGATCCCCCATCAATAATGGATTTCATAAGCAAATCTGGTACATATATACCATGGAATACTACACAGCCATAAAAAAGAACAAAATCATTTCCTTTGCAGCAACATGAATGCAGGTGGAGGCCACTATTTTAAAAGCATTAACACAGGAATAGAAAATCAAATACTGTATGTTCTCACTTTTAAGTAGGAGCTAAACATGGCGTACTCACGGACATAAAGATGGCAACAATTGACGCTGGTGACTACTAGAAAGGGTAAGAAGGAAAGGTGACAAAGGTTACAAACTAACTATTGGGTACTATGCTTACTACCTGAGTGATGGGATAAATTGTACCTCAAACCTCAGCATCACACAATATACCCATGTAACAAATCTGAACATGTACTCCCCTGAATCCCGAATAAAGGTAGAAAATATTAAATAAGTAAATAACACTGCATTTTACAAATGTCTCTTCTCAAAATCCCAATATCTCATCCATGTAGGGTTTTCTTTCATACAAACCACACACCCACACAACAGCGACCGATGTTCATCTTCCTTTGATTCTTCTCTTATCCAGTTTCCTTCTCTACTGTCTCCTTTCACCCCTCCCTCCCAGAAGTAGAAAATACCTTTGCCTCATGTACACTGGGGCAACTTCTCTCTCTTCTTCAAAACTTGGTATCAGATGTCACCTTGACTGGCATTTACTACCCAATCGCTTATTAAGCCAAGTAACTTTCAAACAGTGCCCATCTCTCCATGCAGGGATCCTGTTGCCTGCTGCATTCCAGGGCAGAGGTGTCCTCTGCTCCAGGTTAGTGGCTCAAGTGTTTGCCCAGCGCTGGAAACAGAGTGGGCAGATGTCCAAAGAGTGTTGACTATGTGCTGTGGATCACACAATAAAAGTGAAAAGAAAATAACTAACATTTTTTTTCTTTTTTAGCTGAATAAAAACGAGATAATTGTGCCCCAGTCAACACTGAGAGGTAAATACTGATGACTTTGTGCTGTTACTCTCCCTTTTCTTTTGTTTTCTCCTCTTTTTACATTATTTACTTAGAACAATATTTTAAAAAATTAAAATATGAATACGCTACTACTAGAAGGGTTATTAGAATTTTTAAGTATAATTGAATTTTTTGAAGCCTGAAAAACAATTTTTTAATATAGTAAAGGAAAAGTAAGCCTTCAGAAAGGCAATCGATCATATAGAGTGATCAAAGTATTGACATTTATCAATATGTTGCTAATAGCTTTGATTTGGTGGGTGCAGATTTGGTGGGAGCAGGGGAGGAATTGCTTCATTGTTGGTTTTCATTCATTTCTGCTGTATTATACCCTAAATTTCGTTATGAGGCTGATTTTTAAAAAATTGTTTACGTCTATTGATTAAAAGTTACAAGTATAAACACACAGGTTTTTTTCTGTTTCTGATTTTTCTGGTCAACCAAACCTGTTGCCCATTTGTCTGTGTTATGTTAGATGGTTAAAGCAGCGCATATGTTCATGGAATTGCTGAGTAGCAAGGTAAATTAGTTTGTAATTCCATCACAAATTAGACCCCAATAATAGTGTGTCCTAAGGGAAAGGAGATCAATGTGGGTTGGAGAAATCAGAGGACGCAGATGTCGAAGAGGCATTTTTGAAAGACAGACAGGTTTTAAATAAAGGTGAGGAAGGGGCAAAGTCATTACAGCTAGAGGGTAGTCATTACAGGTAGTCATTATTTGCTAGAGAAAGGAGAGTGGTTTCCCATCAGGGATGAATAAGCCTCATGAAAGAATGTGTTACAGGCTGGGCACGGTGGCTCACGCCTGTAATCCCAACACTTTGAGAGGCCGAGGCTGGTGGATCACTTGAGGTCAGGAGTTTGAGACCAGCCTGGCCAACATAGTGAAACCCCCGTCTCTACTGAAAAAAAAAAAAATTAGCTCGGTGTGGTGGTGCAACAGCTGTAATCCCAGCTACTCAGGAGACTGAGGCAGGAGAATCACTTGAACCCGGGAGGAGGAAGTTGCAGTGAGCCAAGGTTGTGCCACTGCCTGGGCAACAGAGCAAAATTCCCTCTGAAAAAAAACAAAAAACAAAAAAGAATGTGTTACAAAGGAGAGATAAAATACTGAAACTAGAGTACTAGAGTATAATGTGAGTTAGTAGAGACACATATGGGAGAGCCCAGATACAGGAAACTTACAGTGCATTTCCATTAGCCTCAAGGCTGTTTCTCAATTACTTGTTACTCACAGTGTTGCTCATCTTTTTGTGTATGTGACGTCTTGTTTTCTTAAAAAGATTTTAGACTTGTTCTTGGAGTGATTTAAGCTGATCACAATCTTAGTGAAGAACACTTACTAAAAGCTTGTTAAAATTTAAAATAAATAAGTAGAACAGAGATAAAATCATCGTCATCATCTTTATCATCATTACCACCATCATCACCAACACCATCACTATCATCACCATCATCATCATCGCCATCACCATCATCATTATCATTATCACCGTCATCACGATCATCATCCCCATCATCACCAACATCATCATCACCACCATCATCAACATTATTACCATCATCACCATTATCATCACTGTTATCACCATCATTGCTATCATTATTACCATCATTACCATAACCATCATTGCCATCATCACCATCACCATCATCATCACCATCATCAGCGTCCCCACCATCACCATCATTACCATTATCACTATCACAGATGAGGACAATTTATTTTATAGAAAGAAAACAAGAAAAAGGCTAAGAGTGGCATGATTCACCAGTAGAAAAGTATAAGCTTCTGGTTAAGGTGGAGACACTCTATTTTAACCTCCCTTTAGCGATTAGCATTTATTGAGTTCTTTCCATGTTCAGAGTCTGAGGGAATAGAGGTAGACCCAATTTTTTTTAAAAGGAACACACAGATCCGTGTACTTAGTTTATAAACCCATTGCAACTTTTATGCATCTATTTTATGCATTAATCTCTGAGTAAAAGCTACTTGAGGCTTTCATCAGCTCTAAAACTTGCCAGAAATAACCTATGAAATGCCTCCTTTTAATTTTGTGGGTCTGCTGGCTGTTGTGTTAGGAGGCATTACCCATTGCCAGTGCAGTCTAGTCTCACTGCCAAAAATAACTCTTCACACCAGGTAATTAGATTAGGACCAGCAGGCTGGAAGATAAAGGCCACTCAGTTCCTCAGGCAGAAGAGTACACTTTATTTTTTTACCAACTTAAGATTTCCAAGCAGAAATAACCTGGAGGAAAAACTGTTACAGACGAGAGATTCATCAAGCCCATGAAATATAATTAGAACTTTCAGTTCTTTCCCACAAGAGGAATTCTAAAGGGGCATTGAGAAATTTGCAATAGAATTCTAATCCTACTCAAGTAATAGATGCATTTAGCACACGTCAGTGTTTAACACTGTCTGAGTTTCGTAGATGGAGGAAGGTGGAAAATATGCAATTAACAATAAATGGGGACAATGTGGGCCCCTGAGATAGATCGTTCTGAATTTGTGATTTTACCTAAAAATATACAGGTAGAACAGCATTGAGTACTCTCCTAATGTAAAATGCCATGTCTCCTTGCAAAGCCTGAGATCCTGAGGTATTTGTAAATTTAAGAAGACAGAAATAAGAAGAGCACACTGAAGGTGATGTTTACACACCAGGCAGGCTTTCCAGACAAAATATTGCAAGGGACATACTTACACTAAATAATTACTCATTTTTTTCTGCAAATCAAAATTAACTTGCCCTATTTGCTAAATCTGGCAATCCCCCCTGGTCACTACTCTCTACTTCTATGAGTTTGACTTTTTTAGATTCCACATGTAAGTGAGATTATGTGGTATTTGTCTCTCTACTCCTGGGTTGTTTCACTTAGCATAATCTCCTCCAGCTTTATCCATACTTTTACAAATGACAGAATTTCCTTCTGTTTTAAGGCTGAATGAAATCCTATTGTGTATGTATATGTCATTCTAATCTCCTTTTATACCACCTAGAGCACATCCTAACCTGGATGCCTTCATCATCTTTAACTTTAATCTTGAGACGATTTTCCTTGGCAAGGCTCAGAGTGAGGGTTGCTATTGGCTTCTAGTGGGTGGAGAGCACGAAGGCTGATAAACCTCTCACAGTGCATGGGACAGTCTCATGCCACACAAATAATAATCCAGGTCCAAATTGTCAGGTGTGCTGCTGTTTGAACCCAGATCTCCTGTCTTCTTCATCCCATAAGAGTATTTGAAATGAATAATTGAAGCATCTTTTTCCCTTTTTAGGTACTAAGACTAATGCAGCTGCATGCCAGCATAATTTTCCCCCCTAAGCACTCAAAATATCTTTCCAGAAATATAATAATAATAATAATAATAATGATTGCTATTATTATTTGCAGTCCAACTGTATACAGTACCCAGTTTTTGGAAAATTAGCCTACTCATATAAGAGTTAATAAAGTAATAGGACAAAACTCCCCTGTCTTAAAATATTCAAACCTTGTTTGGAAAGAATATGCAAACAACACACATTTTCCTAAGAACATACAGCGCAATGAATACAGGCTAAATGAAAGACATAATTGCTAAATAGTTAGGGCCAATCAAATAATGCAGAAATGCCTTACACTGAAGAAATACTGCTCATCTTGATCAAATATGACCACAAAGTTATCTTGTCTAATCCTAGTGCTGAGCAATCAATTGCTCTAGAAGGATGTAAAGAATGGTAGAATGTTTTGTTTTGTTTTTGAGACAACGTCTCACTCTGTCACCCAGGCTGGAGTACAGTAGCTCCATCTCAGCTCACTGCAACCTCCACTTCCCAGCCTCAAGCCATCCTCCCACCTCAGCCTTCCAAGTAGCTGGGACTACAGGTGAGCACCATCACACTCAGCTAATTTTTTGTATTGTTTGTAAGAAACAAGGTTTCACCATGTTACCCAAGCTGGTCTTGAACTTGTGAGCTCAAGTGATTTGCCCTCCTTGGCCTCCTAAAGTGCTGCAATTATAGGCATGAACCGCCACGCCCAGCCAAGAATGGCAGGGTTCTGTTTCAAGTCTATTTTCATGATAGGAAATAACGGGTAATATTTTTCAGTTGTCTTCCTCAAGTTCAAGTACTTTTATGAGAAATTGACAAATCCAGGTCTCTTCCCCCAAGATGATGACAATCTCTAGAGAAAACATTTAAAAAATTACATGAAGAAAAGGAAAGTTGATCTCATTCCCAAACCTCAAGTTACAGTTTCAGAGCCTTTTAAGGTATTATTTTGTTTTAATTGACAAATAATAATTGTATATATTTATAGGGTACAATTTGAGGTCTTAATATCTATATATAGATAGATATAGATATACACACATGTATATAAAACATGATATATTACATGATTGAATGAAGCTAATTAGCATATTCACCACTTTAAAAACCTATCATTCGTGGTGAAAACATTACAAATCTACTGTTTTAGCAATTTTGACAGATGCATTATGTTATGATTAACTATAGTCAGCATGCTGTACAATAGATCTTTCAAACTTGTTCTTCTCGTCTAATTGGAACTTTGTATGCTTTGACCAACATCTCCTAAGCCTCCCACCCAGCTCCTGGTAAGTATCATTCCATTCTCTACTTCTATGAGTTTTACTTTTTTGGATTTCACATATAAGTAAGACTGTGTGGTATTTGTTTCTCTATGCCTGGTTTATTTCACTTAACATTCTGTCCTCCAGTTTCATTCATGCTGTTGCAAATGACAGAATTTCCTTCTGTTTTAAGGCTGAGTAGAATCTCATTTGTATCCACACAACATTTTAAAAATCTCTTTTTCCACCATCTGGAGGACATCCTAACTTGGTTGCCTTCATCACCTTTAACTCATCATGACCAAGTGCATCATCTCTTTGCCAGCATATCACTAGTGATCATTGCCACTCCAGTGTCCATTGTCTCAATTCATGTCTTCACTATCCCTTTCCAAGCAAAAAGCACACAAGATTAATCCTGGACTCTGCTCTCTTCCCTCCTCTGAGATCCTGTGTGTCAGCATGTCCTGTCAATTCCATTTGGTAAATACCAGTTGAACGCACCCATTTCCAACCCTGCCCACCCATGATACACATGCACCCAAACCACTACCGTGTCTCCATTACCACTACAAGAAGGCTGCAAAGATCAGAGGAAGCCTGGTTGATGCTAAAAAGAGCATCCACTCTTTTCTCATTGGTACCATCTTGCTTCCCTTCCAAACCAGACAACACTATGTATCCAGAGTTATCCTTCCAAAACAGAACACGAATCTCACCACCCCCAGGCTAAAAATGTCCACATTGCTTTTCATATGAATTATAAATACCTTATTGGATCTGCTGGGCCACAACAAAGTCCTCTGTCTGCTGCTCCCATCTCATAATTATCCCTCTTGCTCTCTCCTACCTCTCTCTCATGCTAAGCACCAGCCATATGGGACATGATTTTGCCTGATTTTGCCCTTAAAACATGTTGAGCTTTCTCTCACAGAAGAACATGTCTTATTGTTTAATAACAGCTTGGCTATTTTCTCACACTCAACTTCTACTCAAGGCTACACTCCACCTTTTCTGCATGCTGTTTCTTCATCCCTCATTTCTGCAAAACTTCTTTGACCCACCAGACTAGATTAGGTATCCTCTCTCATCAGCACACTGAATTTAATATAAGGATTGAGTCTCTCATTCTTTCTCTGATCTGTATGATTTGTGACAGCTGAGATGGGTCCTCTCTTAGTCACACACATCACCTGCTTACCTTCAAGCATATTAGAAGTCTGGATGTATACATCTCTCGGCAATTGGTGTAGCTCAAGTTTTACATGTTACAAGTGTTTCAAATTTTGTGAATAACGGCAGGATAAATAAACACAAATTACTTTTGCCCGTGTTGTTCCGTGAGGAATGTAGAACTATATCACCATAATGGCAGACTTCTCCCATTTCCAACACAGCCCTGAGGTTGTTCCATGGAAATACTTGCTGTATTTTCCCTTTTGGCCCATTCTTCACTTTGACAGAAAGGATCTAGAGTCAACAAAAGCAAAACAACAACAACAAACAAACAAATAAACAAACAAAAACCCCACACAACAGAAAAAAACACAAGGAAAAATTTTGTACTATTCTTCTCACTCAAGTGGGTGAGAATATGGCATATGGAAGAAATATCCTTGGATTTGTTTCTAACATGACATAAGACTGTGAGGGAGGAATGAACTAAATCAGACAAAATTCACCATGTTTTTATTTTGGAAATGAAGGCAGTGGATGAGATTTTTCTAGCACATAGCCCACATATGCCTTCAAAACCTCACATAAAATTTTTACAAAAAAAAAATAACTCTTCAATTATGCAACTGATCAATCTATCACCAAGCATCAACTCATTTAATAAGATTGACTTTGCCATATTGTCTGGCCACCACTCTGGGTGTATAATTAACTGCTTTGCAAAAATCTCAAATTATATGACTTGTAATGTAACTTATAAGTTGTGTAGCGCTTTCCATCAGAAAGCACACAATACAATTAGGGTTTCTCACCTTGGCCCAATTGACAGTTTGGACCCAATGATTGTTTGCTATGGGGACCGTCCTGTGCATTGTAGGACTTTTAACATCACCCCATGGTCTCTACACATGGGACCCCAGTAGTGTCCACTCTCCCAACTGTGACAGCCAAAACTCTTTTCAGACATTGTCAAATGTCCCCCACTGGGAGTGATTTTACCCCGGGGGGGAGGGGGACATTTGGCAATGTCTGAAAACAGTTTACTGCATGACGATTTAGATAAATTCAACTAAAAATGTATGTCCCTACCATGTTCCAGGCAATATTCTAATGTCCCCTCCAACATCTCTTGCAGTCTAAGAGGGAGAATGAGCACGTGCATGTTCAATGAGTGTGTGCAGACATGGAAGTACTTAAAGTATAGAGACAGTACAGAGGCAAAAAAAAAAAAAAAAAAAAAAGAGGTACACAAGGATGGATGAATAGATATGTATAAGAAAAAAACTTTCCAGAGATGGTACTAGCTATTCAGGTTTTTGAGGGATGAATAGGAGTTCACCTGGTCACATGGGTGGGGTGGGGGGGGTGTAAGCAAGTTATCCATGAGTGGGCTGTCAGTAAAACAAAATACAGTACTGAAGATAATAAGGCTGAAACATGAAAAGTTTGGAAAGCAACAGGACACATTATCATTTAGTGAAACACTATGCAAAGCACAAATCCCATAACATTCAGAAAATGTGGAATGTAGTAAAGGTAGGCAGGCCACACGTTTATCAGGGCAGGAGAACCTGACCCAGACTCTTACTTTCAAATGGGAAATGAAAGGCTTTTACTGTTTTGCTCTGTATGATTTCATAAAAATGAGGGAACCATTGATTATCCGTGGTCAGTTTACGGGAAAAAAAAAGTTATTTTAGCATCCATTGATGCAACTAAGAAAATGCAAACAAGTTAGACGATCCTTTGTCTTCCTAGGACTGATCACCTCACAGCAAGTCTTAGTATTTGCACCATGGGCAACTCGCTGCACAATCACCTGGGACTATCTGTTAAATAGACCCATCCTTGTTCCTACCCAAACTGATAGAACCAGTTTTCCTCGACATGAGATCACAGAATCTGCAAGCAAAATGTTCACCCAGTTTATTCTTACATGCTGCAAAGTCTGAGAATGTCTAGTCTGGTCTAACTTTCATAGTAACCTGCAATTTAAATAGGTAGAATTGCAAATCAAATCTGTTGCTCTATGTGGAAAGTGAGTATAAACATAAAACGAGGAATATATGTCATTGGAGGGTTTCCTAAACATGAAGACAGAGCAGATTTTAAATAAAAAGAATGAAGAGACATTACTTACATGGAAAAAAGCCCAGAGTGAAGGTGAATAAATTAATTTAAATTTTGTTTTTCTTTTTCAGATGGAGTCTTGCTCTGTCGCCCAGGCTGGAGTGTAGTGACACGATCTCGGTTCACTACAACTTCCGCCCCTTGGGTTCAAGCAATTCTCCTGCTTCAGCCTCCTGAGTATCTGGGACTATGGGTGTGTGCCACAACGCCCTGGCTAATTCTTGTATTTTTAGTAGAGATAGGGTTTCACCATGTTGGCCAGGCTGGTCTCAAACTCCTGACATCAAGTCTTCTGCCTGACTGGGCCTCCCAAAGTGCTGGGATTACAGGAGTGAGCCACCACACCTGGTCAAATAAAACCTTGAAATCAAATATCAATTGTCAAAACTTTTTCTTCTATATTCTTTTTTGGGGGATAAAAGAGAGAAGATATAAATGGACACTGGAGGTTTCGGTTGTAAAAAAAATATATATATATATGTTTATATATTTATATATATTTATGTGTTATATATAATTAAAGACACCCATTAGCCAATCTGTATTTCTATGGTAGCTTTTCTTTCCCCGAGCCTCTTAAAAATACCATGAATAGTTGCAGGAGGTTTTCATCCTGATTTTTCTTCTTCTTGAGAGGAAGCAGATTATAAACCCATTAAATAACTATGCTCTAATTGTAAGGCTAAAATGCTGTGAAGAGCCATGGCTCCTTGGTGAATTAAACAGGGTTACTTTCAGAGACAGAAATTAATTGCTTGTGACAAACTCGAAGTAACAAGTGAAGAAATAGGAAGAAAGCAGTAGAGTAGCCTGGAGGAAGAGAAACTGTGGGGAGTAAATGGCATTTTATTCCAGAGTAAGTCAAGAGCCTGTGTACAGGTAGAGTTTTATCGACCACAGAAAAGAGAGGCTGAAAATAGACTGTTTTCATGCTACTACATACTGGGTTCTCCATGCAAATCCTCTTTATAGAGATGCTGTGCTGTTGCTGCTATAAATTCATACCTGCACTCTTTTTCAAAGAACCATTTATTTGCTTCTACCTCACCTGGAGATGACTGGGAGTTGATATTCCTGCACACATCCTAAGTTAACTGCTAGCAAACATCTGACCAATGCAGCTCTGCTTCATTTGCTCTGGGTGAGGAATACCCTCTGGGACCACTTAGACTGTACAGCTCCCTGTAGGATCAAACTGAGGACTCCTGGTCTTCTCCACCTGCTTTTCTTTGCTTTTTATGGGTTTCTCCTGAAAGCATTTGCTCAGTACCTCACCAAACAAGAATACTCAGCCCAGGTCCTGTTGCTTGAGAACCAAACCTTAGACATGTGCTATTTGCACATTATCTAAGATACAGGGATGCTTTAAATCAGGGGTCCCCGGCCCCTGGGCCATGGACCACTACTCGTCCATGGCCTGTGAGCCATGGTTGAGCAAGCAAAGCTTCATCTGTATTTATAGCCACTCCCCATCTCTCTCATCACTGCCTGAGCTCTGCCTCCTGTCAGATCAGCAGCGGCATGATTCTCATAGGAGCAAGAACTCTATTGTGAACTGTGCATGCGAGATATCTAAATTGCATGCTCCTTATGAGAATCTAATGCCTGATGATCTGTCACTGTCTCCCATCGCCCCCAGATGGGACTGTCTAGTTGCATGAAAACAAGCTCAGGGCTCCCACTGATTCTACATGATGGTGAGTCGTATAATTATTTAATTATATATTACAATGGAATAAAAATAGAAATCAGTGTCCAATAGATGTAATGTGCTTGAATCATCCCAAAACCATCCCCCACAATCCCGCCACCACTGTCTGTGGAAAAATTGTCTTCCACTAAACCAATCCCTGGTGCCAAAAAGGTTGGGGGCTGCTGATTTAAATCTTAGTTATGTGTAACATTTGAAGAAATACCAAGCACTTTAAACAAAGTCGTTTTCTCACAACTAAACAGACTGTGAGTACTGGAATATTTAATAGTATTATTTTTAATACTATTTATTTATAAATAAATTTAATAGTATTACTTTTAATATTTATTTATAAATAAATTTAATAGTATTATTAAAATGTAACGATAAGTTGAAATCAGAGTTTTTTCTTAAAGTAATAGAACATTTTCTTTTTTTCGACTTTTATTTTAGGTTTGGGGGTACATGGGAAGGTTTGTTACATCAGTAAACATGTGTCACAGGTGTTTGTCGTGCAGATTATTTCATCACCCTGGTTTTAAGCCCAGTACCCAATAGTTATCTTTCCTATTCCTCTCCCTCCTCCCATCCTTCCCCCACAAGTAGACCCCAGTATCTGTCATTTCCTTCTTTGTAGAACATTTTCAGTGTTGACAGGTTTACTGTATTCAGCAAAGAACTACTCTACTGATTGAAGAGGAGTTCAGTGCAAATCCCTTATCAAGCCTGAATTCAAGGTGAAGGTTGGTTGTGTTTATGAAGAGAATTGGCAGCTGCCTAGTAGAGGTAGTTATAGGATTGCTTGAACAAAACTTCATGATCTGCAACAGTTCCAGATATTTTAAAGTTAGTGATTCATTTATACCAACTTCAGGACTGACATTTAACCTCATGAGAAGATATGTCTAAGACGCCTTTCCAGTAGGGAGACTCTCTGAGAAGCAATGGAACCTAGGACAAGTATGTTTGGTGGTTTGGGCTCTGGTTTCTCAATTTCGGATGCACACTGGAAAGATGTGCAAAGTTGTGAAAGGAGAAAGAATGCCAGAGATTGTTGACGACCAACTAAATCAACCCCTGGTAGGGGGATATCCCAGAGAAGTAGGTTTGCAGGTGGAGTCTGACATGCTTTATTTCTGACACATGCATCAGTTTCCTAGACAGTGTGAATGCTTGGGTCTGTGGACTGCAAATGTCAAATTTCTGGAAGATGAAGAACAAGAAGTCTAGACTTAGTCATTGCAAGATGAAAGGATTCTAGGTGGCTTCAGAGGGACACAAAGGTGAGCTCACCAGGAAAGAAACATGGAGGACCTACTGTGATGGTTGTTCACGAAACCTGGAGCTAGGGTTTAGCAAAAGCTGGAATGAAGACCAAAATGGCAAGGGACAAAGAGATCTAAAGAAGGCACATTGTAAATTTCCTGAATGTCACTTGAAATTTTCTGTGATAGGAAAAAACAATAGTTGTTTTTTTGCTGTAAAAAAATTAAATGACAGTAAACTGGAATTTTTTAAAAAACATTTAAGTTCCAGGGTACAAGTGCATAGGTAAACTTGTGTCATGGGTGTTTGTTGAAACAATTATTTCATCACTCAGGTATTAAGCCTAATACTCATTAATTATTTTCCAGATCCTCTTCCTCCTCCCACCCTCTACCCTCCAAAAGGCTCCAATGTATGTTGGTCCCCTCTGTGTGTCCATGTGTTCTCATCATTTAGCTTCCACTTATAAGTGAGAACATGCAGTATTTGGCTTTCTGTTCCTGCATTAGTTTGCTTAGGATAATAGCCTCCAGCTCCAACCATGTCACTGCAAAGAACTTGATCTCATTCTTTTTTATGGCTGCATAGTATTCCATGGTGCATATGTACCATATTTTCTTTATCTAGTCTATCGCTGATGGGCATTTAGGCTGATTCCATGTCTCTGTTATTGTGAATAGTGCTGCAGTGAACATGCATGTGCATGTGTCTTTATAATAGAATGATTTATATTCCTTTGGGTATATACCCAGTAATGGAATTGCTGGGTTGAATGGTATTTCTGGCTTTAGGTCTTTGAAGAATTGTCACACTGTCTTCCACAATGGTTGAACTAATTTACACTCCCATCAACAGTGTATAAGCGTTCCTTTTCCTCCACAACCTTGCCAGCATCTCTTATTTTTTGACTTTTTATTAATAGCCATTCTGACTGGCGTTAGATGGTATCTCTTAAAAGATGCTTTTAGTAAATCCAAAATGAATTTAACTATAAGTGTTTTTTTTTCAATAGTCAAAGAAGATCAATAGAATCAGTCATCTGAAATCTGAAACAAATGCTTAAACAATGTGTAATGATTTTTCACAGGGTCTGAGCATATGACAACAGCCACTTATATAATGGCTTCAATTTGTGTCCACATTTTTCTCTCACACACATACACAGAGATAGAAAAATGGAAGAAATAAATCATTATTTTGGCTATGAAAATATTTGGTTAGAAAAGTATGAGAAAGACACTAAACAATTATTTTACAAAATGCAAAAGAGAGATTTTCAGTGAAGTCCCCAGACAATTTCCCATGAGATGCAGCACCTTTCTAATGGTATTGGAGATTCACCGATTCGAAGTTAACACCATTGAAAGAGTATTGGTGGATAAAATGGTGGAAAGGATGTGTAGATGGTTATATGGCCAAATGTTCAATTTTAGAATAGTGGAGATTTTAGAAGAGGCTACAAGAGTCATGGTCTGACAAATGCCATTACAAAGAAAATATAGACTCAAGTTCCTGGACCAATAGTTAGAAATGCGAGAGAATAACCAGAGTGAAAAAAAAAAAAAAAAAAAACAGTTATTTTCAGAGAGAAAGTCATTCCAATGATAAATCAGGTAGATGTCTCTGGCATTTTTAAGAAAAAGGGAGAGTTTGTTTGTTTGCAGGAGTGTTTAACAAAACAATGGAGGAAATTAATGAAACAGAGTAACCAGGTGAGAATGTGCTCAACATTCACGGGTTAATTGTCGGGGGTGTAGGGGGGGAGTAATGACCAGAGGACTCTAGGTTCTGTGTCCTGTTAAGGAGTGAAAACTTAGTCAGAGAAGATTGACAGATTGCAAGGTTTTCATTCAGTTTCTGTTGTTTGCTTTTGCTTTAATATTACAGTAAGTTGGTTTCATACATCCGAGTGACTGAGGATTCCCAATAATGTCAGGAAACCCCACGCAATATCTGTGTTTTGAAACCTTCTTTGTCCAGAGCTCCATTTGGGACACTGGAAAAATAACAAAGAGCTGTAGACCCAACCCTGCCCGGGTGTGATCTCTCCTTGATCTCTGCCCTCATTGTCAGAGGCCTTTGAACAGAGAGACTCCATCTTGAACAGGGGGCTGGGTGAAATGAGGCTGAGACCTGCTGGGCTGCATTCCCAGGAGGTTAGGCATTCTTAGTCACAGGATGAGATAGGAGGTCAGCACAAGATACAGGGCACAAAGACCTTGCTGATAAAACAGGTTGCAGTAAAGAAGCTGGCCAGAACCCACCAAAACCAAGATGGGAGGAAAGTGACTCTGGTTGTGCTCACTGCTCATTATGCGCTAGTTATAATGCATTAGCTGCTGAAAGACACTTTCATCAGCACCAGGACAGTTTACAAATGCCATGGCAATGTCCGGAAGTTACTCTATGTGGTGTAAAAGGGGAGGAACTCAGTTCCAGGAATTGCCCACCCCTTTCCTGGAAAACTCATGAATAATCCACCCCTTGTATAGCCTATAATCAAGAAATAACTGTAAGTATACTCAGTCAAGCAGCCCATGCCACTGCTCTGTCTATGGAGTAGCCATTCTTTTTATCCCTTTACTTTCTTAATAAACTTACTTTCGCTTTACTCTATGGATTCATGTGAATTCTTTCTTGTGTGAAATTCAAGAACCCTCTCTTGGGGTCTAGATCAGGACCCCTTTCCGGTAATACCATGAATTTGATATTAGACTGCCAGGTGATTTTTTTTTTTTCATAAACTTCAGTCTTTTGAAACAAAACGTTCCCAAACTATGAATTAGACAGTGTCCTTTATATTATTGTACACAAATCACCAAAAGCTAAATAAATACTTTCTTTTTTTTTTTTTTTTTTTTTTTGTGACGGAGTCTTGCTCTGTCGCCCAGGCTGGAGTGCAGAGGCTGATCTTGGCTCACTGCAGCCTCTGCCTCCTGGGTTCAAGTGATCCTCCTGCCTCAGCCTCCCAAGTAGCTGGATTATAAGCATGTACTACCATGCCCAGACAATTTTTGTATTTTTAGCAGAGACAGGGTTTCACCATGTTGGTCAGGCTGGTCTCGAACTCCTGACCTCAAATGATTCGCCCACCTGGGCCTCCCAAAGTGCTAGGATTACAGGTATGAGCCATCATGCCCGGGAGAGAAATACACTTTTAATGGTTCTAATTTTGAATTAATCGATCTCCAATGTCATTAGAAAGGTGTTGCATCCCATGGAAAGTTGTCTGGGGACTTTATTGAAAATCTCTCTCTTTTGCATTTTGTAAGATAATTTTTAGTCTCTTTCTCATACGTTTCCAGCCAAATATCTTCATAGCCAAAATAATTATTTATTTTGCCATCTTTCTATCTCTATGAGAAAAAGAGAGAGGGAGATGTGCACATAAATTCAAGCCACTATATAACTGACTGTTGTCACCTATTCAGACATTGTGAAAAATCATTACCCATTGTTTAAGCATTTATTTCAGATTTCAGATGACTAACTTTATTTATCTTTTTTGATTTTTGAGGAAAATATCCACTTTCAATTAAATTCATTTTGGATTTACTAAAAGCATCTCTTAATATTGTCCTGTTTACTGTCATTTAATTTTTGTTTTACAGCAAACAGACAACTTTATGGTTTTTCGCTGTCACAGAAAATTTCAAGTGACATTCAGGATATTTGCAATGTGCCTTCTTCAGATCTCTTTGTTCCTTGCAATTCGGGTCTTCATTTTCACTTTAGCATTTCTACACAATTCTGTGCCTTCATTGTACATTTTAAAATATGCAGACACTTTATAAATTACAAAATGATTTAATTATGTTATGATTAAAATAATAAATATTTCTATGTAATTACTTGTTACTATTTACAGACGTATCACCACAAATGTTGTTGACTCAAAAAAAAACACAAAAATCAACAAATAACAATGCTATATCAGTCTATAAAAGATTATTCAAACTGAATCAATCTGTTGATCCTGATGACATCTGGGACTAGTGTATGTGTAATGGGAAAAACTACGCACTCACTCAACACGAATAGGACAATATAACAAAAAGATCTTACACAAGGCAACAATTAAAATAAAATATAGTCCTAACAAAATAATAAAATTCTGCTTAATAGCAAACTATTTTATACTGCTTTCATTTTTTAAATTTAAATTTAAAATAATTGAAATAAAATTAAAAATGAATTGCTCAGTTATATTAGCCACACTGCAAGAGCTCAAGGTGATATGCGGCCAGAGACTACCGAATTGGATAGTGCAGCCCTAGAGAAGTCCCCAAAAATAAATAAAGTAGAAAGAATCACTCATAAGGCAATAGAGAGATAAAATGGCAAATTTAAACACTGAATCTAAAAGAAGGCAGAAAAGCTGAGGAGAAACGGAGAACAAATAAGATGAATTTAAAAAAAAAATAGCAAGAGAGTAGAGTTGCATCCAACCATATTCATGATTTTATTACTGAAAATAAGCATGCCAATAAAACCACAGATGATCAGACAGGACACGCACACACAAAAGAAGTAATTACATTCTTTTTTTAAACTTGTATTTTAGTTTCAGGGGTACATGTGCAGGCTTGTTACTAATTACATTCTACAAGAAATACAATTTAAAAACAAAATCTCACAAGGGGTTAAAAGAAAACAACAGAAAAAAAGCATGTGATTTAAGTGTTAATTGTAGAAAAGCAAAGAAACAATATTAATCTCAGACAAAGTACACTTCAGGCCAAGAACTATTAGCAAAGATAAAGAGGGGAATTTCAAAAGGAAACAAGAGTCAATCTATTATAACAATTGTGAGTGTGTATGCACTTGGTAATACAAGAACTTCAGCACACACACATTAAAAAAAAAAAAAAACTGACAGAACTGCAAGGAGAAATAGATAAACCCACAATTACATTTAGAGATTCCAAGACTCCCCAGTCAGTAAATGCTAGAACAAGTAGGTAGAAAATCAACAAGAATATAGCATCTATGAGCAGCAATATTAACATAGGTGACATTTATAGAACTCTATATTCCATAATGATAAAATACATTATTTTTAAGTGCCCAGAAGGCATTCATTAAGATTCACCACATGCCGAGCTGAGAAATAAGTCCCCATAAATTTAAAATGATTGAAGTCTGAGCATGGTGGAGTTAAAATTGAAACACATGCACACACACACATACACACACACACACAACTAGTAATCCCCTATTTGGAATTTAAAGCACATTTCTAAATAGTCCACAGGAAGAAGAAAAAAATAATTGCAAGGGAAGTAGAAAAATATGTTGACTGAATGAAAATTAAAACACAGTATAAAAGTGGTAGTTTTCAGCTAAAGCTTAATGCTTACAGGGAAACTTAAAGCTTTAAATAATCTTATAAAATAAGAAAGTTTCCCAAACCTAAGTTTCCCATTGAAGAAGCTAGAAAAAAGAAAAAAAAAACTAAAAGTTAAACAAAAGCTAAGTAAAAGAGTGAAAGTAACAATATAAAAAGAAATAATCAAAATAGAAAAAGAAGGAAACAAGAAAATCAATGAAACCAAAAGATGATTCTTTAGTAAAGATTCATAAAATTGATAACACTTTTAGCTAGACTTCTCAAGGAAAAAAAGACAGAATTTAACAATGTCAGGGATTTTATAATATAAATTATTACAGATTCTACAAACTTTAAAAACATAATAAGGAAATACTATGAAGGACTTTGAGTAAACCAATATAAAATCTTGAAGAAAAATGGTAAATTCTTGAAATATGTAACTGAAACGGATACGGTACGAAATGGAAAAGATGAATAGGCCAAATCTATTAAGAAAATGGAATTAATTATTAATAGCTCACCACAAGAAAAACTCTGAAACCAGTCAGTTTCACTGGTAAATTCTACCAAATTTATAATAAAGAAATAAAACCAATACTACATAAACTCTTCCAAAAAATGAAAAGGAAGGAACATCTTCCAATTCATCTTATGAAACACACATTATTCTGCTATTAAAACCAGAAAAGACATTACCAATATCTCTCATAAACGTAAATGCAGAAATCCTTGACAGAAATTTTAGAAAATTAAACCAGGTAATATATATAAAATACATGATAAATAAGGACCAATTGAGCTTTATCCCAGGAATGGAAAGAAGATTCAGTACTAAAAAAAATAAATTAATGCAAGTCACCATATTTACAGAATAAGAAAAAAATTTCAAAGGACGCAGAAAAAAATGTGACAAACACAGTTATAAAAACAGACTTCAGCAAACTAGGAATAGAAAATGAATTAATTAACCTCAAAAAGACATCTACAAAGAAAAAGGACAGCTAACTTCATAATTATTGATGAAAAACTGAATGCTCTTCCTCTAAGACCCATTTTTCTTTAACATGGCACTGGGTGTTCAAGCCATTAACTAAATAAAGAAAAAGAAATTTTATATACTCTAGCAAGAAAGTAGTGAACCTGTCTTTATTTGAAGATGTAATTATCGTGCATGCAGCAAATCTTAAAGACTCTTCAAAAAAGCCCACGGAAATAATGAGAGCATTAACCAAGGAACTGAAAATAAGGGAAATATGTGAAACCAAGTGTATGATTTATACAAGCCAAAACCTAATGAAAATTCAATTGCGAAGCATTTACAGTTACATCAAAAATGAAATACTTATATATTTAACAAATTATGTGCAAAACCTGTACACAGAAAATTACAAAACATTGTTAAAAGACATTAGAGAATAATTAACCAAATGAAATTATGTGTCTCACAAAGTTTATGTATTCTAAATATAATTAACTCTCACAACTCAAGTCCAATAATGTAATTTTTAATGGGCAAATATTGGAATAGACATTTCTCAAATGAAGTCATATTAATAATCAATAGCGCATGAAAAGACGCACATCAGTACAAATGCAAATTAAAACTACAATGAGATTATCATTAAATCATTAGAAAGTCTGAAAGCAAGAAACAAACAGATCTAAAAATACCATACGTAGGTGATGAAGGGGAGAAACTGGAACTGTCGGATTTTTCTTGTGAGAGTGTAAAAATGTCACAACCACTTGGGAAAACAGTTTGCCAATTTCTTATAAAATTACCTATCCCTTTACAATATGACCTAGTGAAATACCTAGGACAGAAATTCCTAAGAGAAATAAGAACATGTCCACAGAAAGACTTTGATGCTAACATTCATGGTAGCATTATTCCTAATAGCATCGAACTAGAAATAAGCTAAATATTCATTATCAGTTAACTGGATAAACAATTCATGGTCTGTTTCCAATATCATCTACTACTCAGCAATAAGTAGGAAGAAACTGCTCACATACAACTTGGATGTTTCTGTTTTAAAAATTAATTTTAATTTTATTTTTTCCTTGAGAAGTCTAGCTAAAAGTTTATCGATATTGCATTGTTGTTAAATATAGTCACCTTACCCTGCTATTGAACATAATAACTTCTTTTTTCTACCTAAATATATGTTAGTACCCGCTACTTTTACCATTTAGAAAATAAAAGTGCAGCTTTCTGTCAGTGCTTATTTAATTTTACAGAAATACGCTCTTTGAGGCCAAAGCAAGTCTGACTGATTTTCAATGTGAACATAAGATATAAAAACTGTTATTGGTGTTATTTGTAAACAGAACTAGCATAAGAATCACCTGAATCATCAGAGTCGTCTATTTCAGGAAAACTGGATTCATGAAATGAAACTTCAGCCAACAACTGTTAGAGATCAATGTTAACATCACATGTAGGAATGCTATGTTTTCTAGGATTTAACATTTTCAGCAATGAAGAATTGCTATATTTTTGTAAATGGAATTGCCACTACTAAAAATACAATGCTGTGTTTTGTTCCCAAAGTCGACATACTAGAGCAATGTGAAAATAATAATAAAAGTGAGATATTACAGGGCAAAGTTGTCTCGTTGTAAACACCGCAGCCCCAAGTGCCCCTGGTAAGTTGCCCCTGGCAAATGGGAAAAGGGTTAACTAACCTCCCTCATCCCCCATTCCCATAACATAACCCGTCTCTAACTCCATGAGATCCACTTTTTTATCTCCCATGTATAAGTGAAAATATGAGATATTTGTCTTTCTGTGCCTGGTTTATGATTTTAGTCTTTTTATGGCTGAATAGGATTCCATTGTGTTTATGTACCATGTTTTCTTTATCCAATCATCCACTGATGAACACTTAGGTTGATTCCATATCTTTGCTATTGTAAATAGTGCTGCAATAAACATGGAGGTGCAGGTATCTTTGTGAGATATTGATTTCTTTTCCTTTGAATAAATACCCAGGAGTTGGAATGCTGGATCTTATTGTAATTCTATTTTTAGTCTTCTGATAAATCTCCATACTGTTCTCTATGGCGGCTGTACTAATTTACATTCCCACCAACAGTGTATAAGAATTCCTTTTTCTCCACATCCTCGACATTATCTGTTACTTTTTGTATTTTATTAATAGCCATTCTACCTTGGTTGAGATGATATCTCATAGCGGGTTTGATTTGCATTTCCTTGATGATAGTTATGATGAGTATTTTTTCATATACCTGTTGGCCATTTATATATCTTCTTTGGAGAAATGTCTCTTTATTTCCTTTGCCCATTTTTAAATGGCATTATTTGTTTTATTTACTGTTGTTTTAGTTTTTTGTATATTCTGACTTCACATTTGATACATGAGAGTTTTCGAGCCCGACCTACATCTTCTCCTTTGGCCTCCACATCTGGGCAAACTGATGACAATATCTGCATGCAACCTCTCCTAGTGACAGTGAGTAGTTCAAACCATGCAAACCCCAGCTGGTGCCACCTAATAATAATAAAAACCAAAGTCACCATTTGCTGCCTTGCTCAAATCATTCTGGACAAATTTGTGTCATCCCCTGACTCCACAGTTCCCCATAAAGTCTCATTATGTGAATAACAAATGTCATATTCTCTTGGGGCATGTGGTGTCATCAGTCTATACATCCTAACCAAACTTGACATTGGAGGGAGTTGTTGATTGTGCCGTCTGCATGGAAACCGCAAGATGCATCTCAAAACATAACTCTAAGTTTTAAAAAAATCTAAGAAAAAACAAAATGAAAGCCGTGTAATTTTGTTCCTATTTAAATCTAGAAAAAGCAAACTGTATACAGAACTAGATAGCCAAAGCAGATTAGTAGCTTCCAGAGAATGAGGGGAGTGGAAGATATGCCAATTGCAAAAATACTGAAAAGAATCTTTAAGTTGATGGAAACATCATATATTTTGGTGGTTTTTCTGATTAACCATGAGTAAACATTTGTCAAAACTCACCAAATTTTAAGAGGGTATAATTTGTGGTATGCGAATTATACCATAATGAAGCTGCTTTTTTAAAGGAAAGAGTTAAAATAGGCTTGAGGGCTTGATAAGAATAAACAATACTTATGAAAGCTGATGTGGACAAAGTGTTTCATCTTGTTCTTTTTTTTTTTATTTTTATTTATTTTTTTTTTTTTGATGGAGTCTTGCTCTGTCGCCCAGGCTGGAGTGCAGTGGCGTGATCTCGGCTCACTGCAAGCTCCGCCTCCCGGGTTCACGCCATTCTCCTGCCTCAGCCTCCCGAGTAGCTGGGATTACAGGCGCCCGCCACCAGGCCCGGCTAATTTTTTGTATTTTTAGTACAGACGGGGTTTCACCGTGTTAGCCAGGATGGTCTCGATCTCCTGACCTCGTGATCCACCCATCTCGGCCTCCCAAAGTGCTGGGATTACAGGCTTGAGCCACTGCGCCCAGCTGACAAAGTGTTTCAGTTAGAGACAAATTAACAGGTTGCCAAGCATCCTTGAGTGTCCCAGTGAAATTAATGAAATAAAAAGCAAAACATTCGACCCAGTGTTGTAATTTACATTTTTTCCCTATTTTCTCCGCAGTGATGAATGGAAAAAATAATGCTGGGTTTAGCCAAGGCTGGAGTTGGCAAGAAATTTTCTGCAGAATGACATGGCCCCAGTATTTGTGGAAGCCTTCTTGGAGGGGATTCTTTAGAAGATGTGGATGAGAAAAGACCATCATGTACATAGGACTACCAGATTGTACAATTTGGAAAATTTATACTATAAACTAAACACATATGGAGTGAATATTTAAATAGAGAAATTGTTATGCAGTATTTAATCCATGAAAAGAACAATATTGAAAGTAGCAGCATCTCTGTGTGATAAAATTACCTGTTAAACAGAAGGGTATAATCACTTTTAAAAGACACTTGTCTCAAGAGACATGCAAAGGGCCAACAAGCATATAAAAAAAAAAAGGCTCAACATCATTAATCATCAGGGAAATGCAAATTTAAACTTTAAGGAGACATCAGCCCACACCTGTTAAGATGGCTATTATCAAAAGGGCATAGATTACAGCTTGCCAGTTACTTTTGTGGTTAGATAAGTCTTAAAGGTCACGAACACATTGGCAATGCCAAGAACTGTGAATCTATTTCTATTCTTGTCAGATGGTGATTGACAAGAAAGCCAAATCTAACCCTAGGCTGACTCGTGAGAAAAAACTTCCAGCCAAACTGAAAAATTAGTTTAGATTTTCTGAAATTTTGTATAATTGTAATAAAACCTATGTAGTTTTTTCTCTAGTTTCTATGTTAGCAAAATTATTTTGAGATTCTTCCACATTGTAGCATGTTTCAGCAGTTCATTACTTTTTTTTAATGAGTAGCAATACATTTTATGGATGGATTTACTACCTTTAGTTCAGTGGTCCCCAACCTTTTTGGCACCAGGGACTGGTTTCGTGGAAGACAATTTTTCCATGGACTGAGTGGAGGTTGAGGGCTGGGGCCAGTATAGTTTTGGGATGATTTAAGTGCATTACATTTATTGTGCACTTTATTTCTATCATTGTTACATCATAATATATAATGAAATAATTATACAACTCACTATAATGTAGAATCAGTGGAAGCCCTGAGTTTCTTTTCCTGCAACTGAACAGTCCCACCTGGGGGTGATGGGAGACATGACAGATCATCAGGCATTAGATTCTCATAATGAATGCACAACCTAGATCCTTCGCAAACACATTTCATAATAGGGTTCACACTCCTATGAGAATCTAATGCTGCTGCTGATCTGACAGGAGGCAAAGTTCAGGTGGTAATGTGAGCAATGGGGAGTGGCTGTAAATAGAGATGAAGCTTCACTCGCTCACCACTCACCTCTTGTTATATGGCCCAGTTCCTAATGGGCCATGGATTGTTACTGCTCCATGGCCTGGACCCTTCATGGCCTTGGGGACCCCTGCTTTAGTTCATTCATTAACCTGATGAAGGACATCTGACGTTTTTCCATATTTTGTCTTTACAAATAAAGCCACTGTAAACATTCATACTTTAAAAAGAAAAAGAAAAGACAAAATACGACAAGTGTTGTTGAGAATGTGGAGAAAGGGAACCCTATCACACTGTTGCCAGGAAGGTAAATTAGTGCAGCCATTATACAAAACAGCATGGAGTTTCCACAAAAAGAAAAAAAAAATTAAAAATAGAACTCCAGATGATCCAGCAATTGCACTTCTGGGTATGTACCCAAAAGAATGGAAATCAGTATGTTGTAGAGATGTCTGCACTTCCACGTGCATTGCAGCACTATTCACAATAACCAAGATATGGAATCAACCTAATTGTCCATCAATGGATGAATGGATAAATAAAATGGGATATACATGCACAATGGAATATTATTCAGTCTTGAAAGGCCTTAGTAATGCTAAGTAATACTGCAATCAGAGGTCAGCCATAGCTGTGTCTTCATAACTGGAAAAGGGTTCTCTTCCCAGCTATCTTGGGTTATTGGCAGAATTCATTTCCTACTGTATTCAGGACAAATGGAAGCTCATATCTACAAAGTCAGCAAGGAGAACAAGACCATAGAGAGTCACCTAGGAAGATGTAGTCCTGGGAGTGACAGACAACTCATCACCATAGCCATTTTTCATTGGTCACACCTCCTGCCCACATTCAAGATGAGTGGGTTGTTGAAGGGCATGAACTCCAGGAGGTGAAGGTCCTGAGGGCCACCTGAAAATCTGCCCACCACCATGACCCAGGAGTTTGTGAAATGCACTTGAAAGCAACCTGAATGTCCAAAAAAAAAAGTTTACTCTAGCAGAGTAGAGTGATTATGGTTCTGTGGTGTTCTCCTGGGAATCCCTGCTCTGATCCCCAAAGTGCAGCTTTGTGAAGATTGGAGGCTACCTTGTTTTGAAATTCTAATAGGGCTTTTCATGCCAGACTGCAGTTTTAAAGGGGATTTGTGGAGCTATGATTTGTTCAAACAACATCCCATCCTATGATTTGTTCAAACAACATCCCTGGCCATCTGAGTTTACATAATTATTTTCCCATCTCAGGCCCCTGCTGGGTCCTTCATACTCCTAGAGTATTCATGAAACCAACAGGACTCCAAGCTTCTTGTCTCTTGGCTCTAAGGGTGTTGAATGTGTTTCTTGGGTGCTTAGGGAAGCTCTGCACTGTATGACTTTAGCGTGTTGTGAAAAACTTGTTCTCAGTAGCACTGCTTGCCACTTAATCACTGTTGATCTCTCTTGCTGTGGTTTATGATGCAAACTGCCCCAGGTTTTCAGGAGAAGAAAACTGGCTCTAAAATATCATGATTGGATCAGATAGTAATAAATAACAACAAAGCACACGTTTGCTCTTTCTTATGGTCTAGCTGAGGCCAAGGAGACTAAGACCAGTGAAACAAGAGAAGAAAAACAATCACCTAGTGATATGGTTTGGCTGTGTCCCCACCCAAATCTCATCTTGAATTCCCACGTGTTGTGGGAGGGACCTGGTGGGAGGTAATTGAATCATGAGGGCGGGTCTTTCCCGTGCTGCTCTTGTGATAGTGAATAAGTCTCACGAGATCTGATGGTTTTAAGAACAGGAGTTTCCCTGCACAAGCTCTTTCTCTTTGCCTGCTGCCATCCATGTAAGACATGACATGTTCCTCCTTGCCTTCTGTCATAATTGTGAGACTTCCCCAGCCACATGGAACTGTACATCCATTACACCACTTTCTTTTGTAAATTGCCCAGTCTTGGGTATGTCTTTATCAGCAGCATGAAAACAGACTAATACACCTAGTTCAGTCCTTTCTTTCTCTATTGCGTTTTCTAGAGAATTGGTGAGTTTGATTTTTAATAATGTTCTCTATTATTCCCTAAGTTTTACTCTCCCTTTTACTTTGTAACCAAATGTCCAGCAAATCACCATATTACCTGGTATACATATAATTTACCTGCTTTCCTTTTTTATTTCTCACTTTTTAAAATTTTTTTCACTCTGTCACTCAGGCTGGAGTGCAGTGGCACAGTCCCGGCTCACTGCAACCTCCAACTTCTGGGCTCAAGTGATTCTCCCACCTCAGCCTCCCAAGTAGCTAGGACCACATGTGCTCACCACCACACCCAGCTTTTAAATTTTTTTGTAGAGATAGGGTCTCACTATGGTGCCCAGGCTGGTCTCCCTCTCCTTGGCTTAAGCAATCCCCCTGCCTTGGCCTCCCAAAGTACTAAGATTACAGGCATAAGCCACGGTGCCAGACCTGCCTTCCTTTTTTACAGAGAAGAAAATCTGACTTGTCCTTGAACAAGGTAAACTCCTTCATCCTTCCTCCTCCCCAGCAAGCCCACTCATCCACTGATGTTCTTATTAATAAGCCATCCTGCAGTGGAAGGAAGTAACATTTCCATTTTTGAGGCAAGATAAACCCGTCACGTTGTCAGCCTGGATAATCCTCCCATAATTTGATATACCAATCAGCTCCAATCTGGGCATTTTATCGCCCGTATGTGCCTGGTTCTGCCACAACAACTCTGATTTAATACTGCAGCAACTGCTCTGCAACTCAAGAAAAATGGCTTCACTCTAAAGAAAAGTAGAGTATGGTCAAGACCGATCTGCCATGCCCAGTAAAGAAAATGTCCAATGAATACGCTCATTTATTAAATGTGCAGATATTCAAGGGACTGCTTTGGGGGGCCCCGTCCATTTCCAAGAAGTGTGGTCCAAATGCAAGTCTCTTGATCCATATTTCAAACATAGGAAGAAAGTAATATTCCTACTTTAAAGCATCCTTCTAAAAATTAATGAGGGTGAGAAAAATCAAGTTAGGAATACTGTTTTTGTTTTAAGATCTTCTGACCTCTTAACCCAGTTAACTAACCAAGGCCAAGGAGATAATTAGGAGAGCCATGAAGTCAGTCCATAGAAGAAAAGCCAGAATGCTCTGGGACTTGAAAGCAGATATCATTCCTCTAATTTATTCAGTCTAATTAAATATTACCCATATGTCATGTGCATGGCAAAAGAGACCTTCAATTCAGAATAGGAACATAGGTCCTTCCATTAGGACCAATGGAAAATGGAAAGTTTAATGATAAATTCTATGATTTCATAAGCCATCACTGGCATTACCCCCAAACAAAAGTAACATTTTTCTCACATATTATTAGTGTCTGATTTTAAACTTACTCTTAATAAACAGTATTAGGTTCATTTGATAAATGGAGCAGAATATCTGTTCTTTTTCTTTCTTTCTTTCTTCAAGTTTCTATCTCATGATCCATCAAGCGTCATATTTTTGGGTCACCAATTATTATTTATCTGCAATGAAACGACTGATGTGCACTTGGGCAAGACATTAGACTCAGATTTGCCTCTAAGCTGCTCATATCAACAAGCAGAGCTTAGAAGGGAGGGTGACTGTTTCTTATCAATTCTGCATAGACTATAGCATTGCTTTAACAAATTGAGTCCTCTGAGAGCTTGAGAGAATTTGGTCTCATCAGAGGCTGCATGTGCTGAGATGCCCCTGCATTGTGGCGGGGGCCAAGAGACCCAGCTTGGATGCAGATTCCAAAATCAATAGCACCCACGAGCAACCTTGCATGTAGAATAGCAGGGCTATTCACGTAAGATTTAGCATGAGTCATCCTGAGACACCGCCTTTAAACTTCTGGGGAAGTAAAGTTTGGGCACAAATGGAACTCCTGCAAACAAATGGTAGAAAGTAAGTAAAACAATGTAGTTTATCCTTGGTAATGAAAACCCATTTTTAGCTCATTTTTAGCTCAAACCCCAGTGCAAATAATTGGAAGAACTTTTTCCCTGAGCAACACAGCTTACTTGGTGACTGAGGGGGAACACGAAAAAATGCTCTTGACTTACAGGAACATCTTGATTCTTGGTCCTACACAAATAGAGTGCATTAAAGGGACAAGAAACCACCCTGTCAAAAAGACATCTGCACTCATATGTTTATTGTAACACTATTCACAATAGCAAAGATATGGAATCAACCTAAGTGTCCAACAGATGACTGGAGAAAGAAAATGCGATTGGATAAAGAAAATGATTGGATAAAGAAAATTACACATAATTTTGGTAGTGTTCTTAATTCATGCTCCACCCACTGATATCAAGAAAATCCTCAAGAATAAATTCTGGGACAAAAATAAATAAATAAATTGTGTCTTTTGATGCAACATGGCTTGAACTGAAAGCCATTCTCGTAAGTGAAATAACACAGAAACAGAAAGTCAAATACCATAAATTCTCACTTATAAGTGCGACCTAAATAATGTGTACAGGAAGACATAGAGTGTAGAATCATGGGCATTAGAGACTGAGAAGGATTGGGTTGGGAAGGAGGAGTGAGGGATGAAAAATTACCTATTGGATGCAATGTTCACCATTCAAGTGATGGTTACATTAAAAGCCTAGACTTCACAACTATGCAATGTACCTGTGTAACAAAACTGCACTTGTACCTCTTACATGTATACAGATAAAAACATTTTTAAAATAAGATAAGGGTTTTGGAGTGTATGCTGAGTAATTGTGCATGCGTAGGATTCCAATGGTTCTACTTTAATTAAAGACATGGCTCGGTCTTGAGACAGGTTAAAATTGATGCTTCCATCTCAACCACATCATAGCTAACAGGCAGTAGACACAAACATTTACATAATTTTGGTAATGTTCTTAATTCGTTCTGCACCCACTGATATCAAGAAAATCCTTAAGAATAAACTCTGGGGAAAACTAACAGTGGGAGAGACTTGAAAACCAAAGTGATCTCGACTTTAATAATAACCTGGTCTGCATATGTGATGCTCCTATAATTCCATCAATTGCATCTGCAAGTCCCACTGCCCCCATCTAATAATATAAGATTTGCCCTCAGTCATAATTCATTTGTGCCTGAACTACAGGATAAATCTGATAACTTAATTCATGGAGTGAGAGCAAGGTCACTACTGGTGAAGATTTAAATGACCGTTGCATTATTCTTAATAGAAGATGCCCTATTTAGAAAACAAAACCTATACACTGGCCAGAGAAGATGCATTTGAGGCAAAATAAATACAGCTGGTCTTTTAAGCATGGCAATACATTAATAGATGAATGTCAACCTCTCTGTGATCTGTATTAATTTGTTGGTGCAATTAAAGTGACAATCTGGCCAGGTGCAGTGGTGCACTCCTGCAATCCCAGCACTTTGGGAAGCCGAGGTGGGTGGATCACTTGAGCTCAGTAGTTGAAGACTAGCCTAGGCAACATGACAAAACCCCCTCTCTACAAAAAAACGCAAAACTTAGCTGGGCATTGTGGTGTGGGCCTGTAGTCCCAGCTACTCGGGTGGCTGAGGTGGGAGGATCATGTGAGCTCAGGAGGTTGAGGCTGCAGTAAGCTATGATTGCACCACTGCACTCCAGTCTAGGTAACAGAATGAGACCCTGTCTAAAAATTTTTTTTTAAAAAAGTGACAATCTCACTTTATAATCCCTGCTTGTTCTTTATGCAGTACATTAAAAATAGGATTCATTCATGATGTTGTGACACCACATGTAATCACACAAACAATATGCTAACACATCAGACATGAGGACATGAGATTTGATAGTTTACACAAAGAAAGGGACTAGCATTTCATTAACAATGAGTGCATATTAAAAGCAGCAGAAAAGTGTCACTACTTTAATTGTTTTTTTAACTGCAATTCACATTCCCTTGAGTGAACTTCTTCCAAGTTTTGTCAGATGTGGAGAATGGAATGTGACCAGTTGGTTTGCCATTTCCTACCGATATGTGGTCTATTCTCCCTTGCTGGGTGATTCAGGATCCTCAGCAGAAACTCACACGGAAATTGAGGACAATAACCCCACTAAATATAATTTTGTCCTCTTAACAACCTTTTTGTGGTTAAAAATTGACATTTGACCAGGAATCCATTGAGAAAAATAATACATCAGGAGTCTGTGGTGAACACACCAAGATGAACCCCAACGACTCCACCATTGAATACTCTCCTTTATTTTTTGTGCCAACAGACCTGTAACTTGCTTCTAACCAATGGAATATGACACAAGTGATGGTGCATTCATAATTAGATTATGTTCATCAAAGACTATGTCTTAACAGCCTGTGTGAAAGATTATCCCGGTGACCTTGAAGAAGTAAGCTACTATGTTGTGAACTACCTATATAACGGAATCATGTCAACAGAGTGAGAGACCATCCCCACAAAAGATACAAAAATTAACTGGGCATGGTGGCATGTGCCTGTAATCCTAGCAACTTGGGAGGCTAAGGTGGGAGGATCGCGTAAGCCCAGGAGTTTGAGGCTGCAGTGAGCTATGATCATGCCACTGTACTCCAGCCTGGGTAACATAGCGAGACCTCTGTCTCTACAAGAAATTTAAAAAAAAAAAAAAATAGCTGAGTGTAGTGGCACACACCTGTAGTACCAGCTACTTGGGAGTCTGAGGCTGGGGGCTTACTCAAGCTCAGGAGGTCAAGGCTGCAGTGAGCCATGATCGCACCACTGCACTGCAGCCTAAGTGATGACACAGTAAGAACCTGTCTCTCCCAAAAAAGGAGATTCATTGATGTTGCAGGAACCTGGAAGACACTCAGTGAATATGGCTTCAAGTTCTGCAACTTCAACTGAATTCAAGCAACAACTGCGTGAGCTTGGAGGAACACCCTGAGTTCCAGAAAAACAACACAGTCTGGGCAACTCCTCAACTGTACCCTGGGAAGACCTAGAACACAGAACCCAGTAAGCCATGCAAGACATCTCAGCCTCATATAACGAGCTAATAAATGCATGCCACTTTAAGTTGCCAAGTTTGTGGTATTTTGTTGCACAGCATAGCTAACTAATGCAGAGACATTAAGAAGGAGGTTATCAAAAGATGACCAAACAGCCCCAAATGTCTCACATGGATGAATAGAATCCTGGTGCAAGGTCTGGTCTTCAGTCTGAAACCTCAGAAATTAAAACTGAATGTACTGTTCAGCAGTGAAACAGTATTAACCAGTGGGATTGCTGTACAACACAAGTATGCTTATTTGTGTGTTGCTTCCTTTTTTATTTTTTATTTTTATTTTGAGACAAATTCTCCCTCTGTCACCCAGACTGGAGTGCAGTGGCATGATCTGGGCTCACTGCAACCTCTGCCTCCCGGTTCAAGTGATTCTTGTGCCTCAGCCTCCCAAGTAGCTGGGACTAGAGGTACACGCCACCACGCCTGGCTAAGTTTTGTATTTTTAGTAGAGATGGGATTTCACCATGTTGGCCAGACTGGTCTCGAACTCCTGACCTCAAGTGATCCATTTGCCTCAGCCTCCCAAAGTGCTGGGATCACAGGCATGAGCCTGTCTCTCTCTCTCTCTCTCTTTTTTTTTTTTTCCAAGTGGGAAATTTAACAATTAGACCAGAAAATGCATCTAAGCAAATTTATGTGGGAAACCAAAGTACAATTTAAAAGTTGCATTCCGGCCAGGCATGGTGACTCAATGCCTGTAATCCCAGAACTTTGAGACACTAAGGTAGGAAGATTGCTTGAGCCTAGGAGTTTGAGACCAGCCTGGGAAACACAGTGAGATCCCCATCTCTGCAGAAAAATTAAATAATAATAATAATAATAATAAACTAAAAATTTAGCCAAATGTAGTGGCACGCACCTATAGCTACTTGGAAGCTGAGACAGGAGGATCACAGGAGCTCAGGAGGTCAAGGCTACAGTGAGCTATGATTGTGCCACTACACTCCAGCCTGGGCAACAGATCAAGACCCTGTCTTTAAAAACTAATAAGGGTTGTTTTCTGAACATAGAATCAGACCAAGCTATGATCTATGATGTCCATCCCAATCTCTACCAACATCAGGGTATTACCATCTTTTTTTTTTTTTTTTTTTTGAGACAGAGTCTTTCTCTGTAGCCCAGGCTGGAGTGCAGTGGTGTGATCTCGGCTCACTGCAACCTCCGCCTCTCGGGTTCAAGCAATTCTCCTGCCTCAGCCTCCCAAGTAGCTGGGATTACAGTCACATGCCACCATGCCTGTATTTTTTGTATTTTTAGTAGAGACGGGGTTTCACCATGCTGGTCAGGCTGGTCTCGAACTCCTGACCTCATGATCCATCCTCAGCCTCCCAAAGTGCTGGGATTACAGGCGTGAGCCATCGCGCCCAGCCTGGGTATTACCATCTTAAAGCTGTGATATTTATGGAATATACATATATATCTTTATTCTTAGTGTCTAGCACTCTTAGAATGATTCTTCTCTCCTGATAAATATTTTGGATGGATATTTATGAGTTTTGTCCCAAGACTCTCCTGTATCTGTAATTCCATAATTGACAACACTCCAATGGTATGTCATTTTCCTCTAGCTTTAGTGACATAACACAATGTAAGCTAAATTTATATTTTCCTTAAAACAAACCTCTTTTAGGTGAATTTGCATATGGTTGATCTGACCCAATCAGTCTTGTGTTATACTTTATAAGTCAGAAGAAATCTTTCTTCTCTTTTCCTGTCTAAGCTTTTAAGAACACCTAGCAATTTTCACCCATACTTCTTACACAGAATCAGGAGCTTCATGAAAGTATACAGCCCACTTAGGACCACGGAGTTAGTGCAATGAACATATGAGTGCATTACAAGGATATATCCAGTGCATTTCACAAACTGTCAATTTTAATTTTCATAACAACATGAGGAAGTAGGTACTACCAGCCTTATGCTATCAATATTATCAATTAAGGCTCAGAGAACAGTGAAACTTTAATAACTCCAAAACCACTCAGTAAGTAAGCATGAAAGCAGGGTTTCAATTGCTGGCTTCTGTGATTGAAGCCTGGGTTCTTTTTTAAAAACGATAATTTCAACTTCCATTTTAGACTCAGGGGGTACACGTGCAGGTTTGTTATCTGGGCAAATTGTGTGATGCTGAGGTTTGTGGAGTGAAGGAACCCATCACCCAGGTATTGAGCACAATACTCAATAGTTAGTTTTTCAACCCTGGCCCCCCTCCTCACCCTTCAGCCTCTGGTAGTCCCCAGTGCCTATTGTTCCCATCTTTATGTCCATGTGTACTCAGTATTTAGCTCCTACTTATAAGTGAGAACATTTGGCATTTGGTTTTCTTTTCCTGCATTAATTTTCTTACGATAATGGCCTTCAACTCCATCTACGTTGCTGCAAAGGATATGATCTTGTTCCTTTTCACAGCTGCGTGCTACTCCATGGTGTATATGTTCCACATTTTCTTTATCCAGTCCACTGTTGGTGGGTACTTAGGTTGATTACATGTCTTTGCTGTTGTGAAATGAACATACGAGTGCATGTGACTTTCTGGTAGAACGATTTGTTTTCTTTTGGGTAGACACCCAGTAATGTGATTGCTAGGTCAAATGGTAGTTCTATTTTAAGTTCTCCGAGAAATCTCCAAACTGTTCTCCACAATGCAAGGCCTAGAATTCTTACTGAATAGCCTGTATAAAAAAAGGATAGACAGTCACGAGAAAAACAACAGAATTTTGAGGCAGTAACTTAATAAAGAAGATATAGGTAGAAATGGACATTTTTAAAATGTAACTGGCAATCCAGAGATTTTTGAGGTTAACAAAGACCTTGGCATCCTAAAATATCCTCACTCTCTGCTTCCACTGTTTATGAGAACAGATAGTGTTTTCTTTACAGTATTTAAGGGTTTAAAAGTGGAAATATCTTTGCTCTTATATGCTGAATCCCTGGAGTCCTTTTCCCACAGGATCTTTAATATCAAGGGGCATCTGCTCAAGCTTTCAAGTCTCAGTGAGCACCTTCTGCCTTCACTTGCAATTTTGCTATCATTGCATCCACCAGGAAGAGCTACCTTCACCACACTGGCTGGTCATTGCGGCTCTTCCTCTAGTGTCGTGTAGTGCACACCCCTATTTCTCAGCATCTGAGCATCCTCCCCACCACTTTTCCAATCCATGAGAACCTCTGTGGTGCCAAATGGCACAGATGTCATATCTCTTGGTCCTGGTCACAGCGAATACTTCCCTCTGCCTTTTGATATCTGAGAAGTAGGCAGCTTCAAAAGTCATTTTTTCATGTTCCTTCCTTGGCTTAGTTTCTTAAGGCTACCGTAACAAAGTACCACACACTGGGTGGCTTAAAAGAACAGAAATTTACTGGGGACGAGAAATCTGAAACCAAAGTGTGGGCAGCGTTGTTTCCTCCTGGAGGATCTGAGACAGAATCTGTCCCACGCCTCTGCCCCAGCTACTAGTGCTTGCTGGTGTTCCTTGACTTGTCAATGCATCACTCTAATTTCTGATTCTGTCGTCATGAGACCTTCTTTTCTGTGTGTCTGTGTCCAAATTTCCGTCTTAGAAAAGCAAAACAAAAACAAAAAACAAAACAAAACAAAAAAACCATGGGGCCTCTCTGTAACCCAGGCTGGACTGCAGCGGTGTGATCATAGCTCACTGCAGCCTCCAACTTGTGGGCTCAAGTGATCCTCCCATCTCAGCCTCCCAAGTAGCTGCGAATACAGGCGTGCCCACCACACCTGGTTAAGCTCTTCTAATTTTTTGTAGAGATGGGATCTCACTATGTTGCCCAGTATGGTCTCAAATTCCTGGCTTCAAATGATCCTCCTGTCTTGGCCTTCCAAAGTGCTTGGATTACAGGTGTAAGCCACCATGACTGGCCAGAAATTTCCACCTTCTTATAAGAATACCAGTCATTGCACTGGAGCTCACTCTAACCCAGAATGACCTATCTCATTGTAACTTGATTACATTTTCAAAAACTCTGTTTTCAAATAAGATCACATTCACAGGTGCTGGTGCTAGGATGCAGACATATCATTTTTTGGAGGGAAACACAATTTTATCCACTATACTTGTCAGAGTCTACCCAGAGCCATCTGCTGCCTCAACTAACTCACAAAGTTGCTTGTTTTGGCCGGGCACAGTGGCTTACTCTCGTAATCCCAGCACTTTGGGAGTCTGAGGTAGGAGGATTGCTTGAGCTCAGGAATTGGAGACCAGCCTAGAAAACATAGGGAGACCTTGTCTGAAAAGAAAGAAAGAAAGGAAGGAAGGAAGGAAGGAAGGAAGGAAGGAAGGAAGGAAGGAAGGAAGGAAGGAAGGAAGGAAGGAAAGAAAGAAAGAAAGAAAGAAAGAAAGAAAGAAAGAAAGAAAGAAAGAAAGAGAAAGAAAGAAAGAAAAGAGAGAAAGAGAGAAAGAAAAGAAAGAGAAGAAAAGTTGGGTGTGGTGGTGCACAGCTGTAGTCCCAGCTACTCGGGAGGCTGAGGTGAGAAGACTGCTTGAGCCCAGGAGGTCAAGGCTACAGTGAGCTTTGATTGCACCACTGCACTCCAGCCTGGGCAACAGAGCAAGACCATGTCTTTAAAAAAAAGAAAAAAAGATTTGCGTGTTTTTTCTCTTGCTGGACTCCTCCAATTCACTCTATAGTACAACTGGAAGTTATTTAAAGGAACAACAAAAGTTTGGCTGCAGACCAAACTCGGTAGGGGAGGACACACACAGCAGCTCACCGAGAATGGAAACAGAGTCATTGCCCAGTAATGGTGCCATAGCACACCCTGAGATGTGCATGGAACTAAAAATTCAGGGCAAACAACTTTGAATTGGAGCTTGGTGCCCTGACTCTCTGATCCTCACCACATCTTCCCCCAACCCTCCAAAAAAAACTTTGCTCACCTCTTCCCCCTTTCTCTTCACACTGGATTAAACCCCACCTCTGCCAGTTCCACCTTAGGTATGGCCAAAAATTTTTCCATCCTTCTCCGACCCTAGATATGAATGGGAAACAGTGTCCAAAATCAATATGGAGCTTGCTATCTTGATTCCAAATTTCAAGGAAGGATAATAGCATCCCTTAATTGTGCTACATACATAAAGCACATTTCTCTAAAGAAGAAGCACATCACAAAAGTGTGTGAACCAATCTGAGATTAAACACAGTCCCTAGTTTTGTCTCAGAAAAGGCTTTGTTTATATTCCAAACCTCCCTCCCTCACCACCTGCCTCCGCCAAGCCTCAGACTGCATCAGCATTTGGCATGAAGCACCACCAAAGGCACTATCGACTCCAGTCTCCCAAGAAGCATCGAGCATTCAGAAACCGGCACTTCAGGTTAATTCTCAGCCATCAGAAGCACAGCCATCTCAGAATAGCAAGTAGGTCCCCGGCGACAACATCGAGTGAGGTGTCAAAAGTTTTGGAATTAAGAACTGAGTGACCTTATTCAAAGTGCAATTTGAGAGAAAATTGCATCTGCGAAATACATAATAGTGCTAAGAAAAAAAAAAGCACAGGATACTGAAGGTCAGAAGACAAAGACGCAATGGATTCGTGAGTGGCGTGATTGCTGTGCAGGGAAGAACAAGCTCAGAGTTACCCTGGGAGTTTCGCTTTCATTGGGATACACGTCCCAGCCATGCATGTCTGGATTACAAGAAAACAAATGCATACAACCTGAGACACATGTCTCGCTTCATGGAGCATTTTTTAAAATTTCTGAAACCACGCACTAATGTGTTCAGGAATCCAGGTGCATCACAGTGATTCTGGGAGGCAGAAATATCTAACCCATCCTGTTTTATTTTACAATTGGAAATTTATTTTCTGATGATGATCAATGGAGACTCAGGAAAGCAGATTCAAAAGCAGACTTTCAATGAGTTTTGAAGGAATAGTGACATTCTTCACAATGACGTGCAACTTTGCTTTTAACAGTCATGGGAGCGGTTTTGTTCATAGGGCAATACTTGATCTACGTCCATACGTCTACACCATATAATTTGAAGTACTACTATTTCAAACCCATGGAAAATTCAAATACAAAATCTCTGATGCCTGTTGCAATTTTTGCAGAATGGTACAGGTCAACTGTCCAAACCAGTGCTTCTGATGCTGTTTGCTAATTTACTCTTCCAATAATTTTACTATTATAAGCAATTATGCATATGCATAAAAGTATACGGGATGTAACTGAAAAAACAAAAACTTTGGTTTTCATGCAAATGTCACGTTAATTCTACTAATATATAAATAGCACAATCTTCTTTGTTACCCAAAGCGCTTAGATTTAAAGGAAGATGAACCAATGTCCCGCTAAGTGTTGTTCAAGGAATTAAGAGACAGCTTTCTACCTGCAAAAGTATTACTCTCTGCTTTCATGAGTTCAAATTTCAGAGGGCACACGTGAGTGACATCATGCGATATCTATCTTTCTGTACCTGGCTTATTTTATGAAGCATAGTATCCTGCAGTTTCATCCACGTTGTTGTAATTGACAAGGTTTCCTTCTTTTTTAAGGCTGGAGAGTGTTGCACTCTGCATAGGTACTACATTTTATGATTCATTCATTTGCTGATGGACACTTAGGTTGTTTTCATATCTTGGCTTTTGTGAATGCACGTGGGAATGAAGGTATCTGGAGATATTGGTCAAGGGGTACAAACGAAATTATAAGATGGATAAGCTCTGAGGACCTAATGTATAGCATGGGGACAAATGTTTCTTAAATTTTCATAAGCAAGGTGATTTTAAGTGTTCCCAACATACACAGACATACACACATGAACACACACACACACACACAAATGGTAACTATGGGTGGCAATGAGTATGTTAGTTAATTTGATTGTGGTAATCATTATAAGATGTGTACATACATAAGACCATTACATTCTAGACCTTGAATACATACATTTTTGTCAACTAAATATTTAAAAATTTAGGCTGCAGTGGGATGTGGTCACGCCACTGCACTCCAGCCTAGGCAACAGAGTGAGACCCTGTCTCAGAAAATACATATGTATTTAACATTTTTTTTAAAAAAAGTAGTACTGCCATTTAGCTACAATCTGTATTTTGCAAGTTTTAGGTTCCATCATGGTTTTAACTCTTGCACTTTTTCTCAAGAGATATTACTCCAACTATATCTCAAAATATGCTTCAGAATTCATGTACTTAGCAGAGTATATAATTGCATTTGTAATGAAGCGTTCTTCTTACCTAAAGAGAGAGGTCTCACCTTAGCCCTCACCCCCTGAAAGGTGATCTCCTGGCCACTGGAATGTCCTGTTCAATAGAAGTGTCTTTGCCTGTAATCTTTGGCCACCCAACAGTCTAACAAGGTGGTTAAGGCTGGGTCCTTGGGCCATACCATATCCAGAAGAGCTGTAGACTAGAGATGAGCTCTGCCTCCAGGAGGAGCTTGAGACCAAAGCTCAGCAATGTGGAAGTTTGTGATTGAACTCCATTAAATACTGGACAGAAAGGCTCATCTGAGCTTCTCTGTTTGGCAATACACAGTGCATACGGTCATGTGTCACATCCAGGGGGAAGCAACTCCATCCATAACTGCAGAATGAAGAGAACACTGGAAGCTCCATATTTAGACCCCTGCTGGACTCTGCCCCATGCACTGTTTCTCTCGGCTAATTTTCATCTGTCCTTCCTCTGTAATAAACCTAATCCTGAGTAGAAGAGCTTTCAGGGAGTTCGATGAGTTCTAGCAAATTATCAAAACTGAGAGTGATCTTAAGGACCCCTTGAGTTGTGATTGGTGTCAGAATTGAGGATGGTTTTTGGGGGACTATGCTATCTCCATTTCCAATGGGCGTAACTCTTTCAAAGAAAACTAGAAGTGAGATGGGATTATGTTGATCTTCAGTGGAGTTATCCACTCCACAAATGTGTGTGTTGACAATTGAATATGATTTATAAAGAACGATTAACAGTCATATGAGCTGTTTTGCTCATATGGCAATACTTGATCTACATCCACACATCTATATCATATAGTTTGAAGAATCACTATATCAAAATCATGGAAGATTCAAATACTAAATCTTTGATGTCTGTTGCAATTTTTGCAGAATGGTACAGGTCAACGGACCAAACCAGTGCTTCTGATGCCATTCGCTAATTTATCCTTCCAAAAATTTTACTGTTATGAGTAAATATGCATATGCATGTAAGTATATGGGTTGTAACTGGAGTTAGTTCCCTTTCTCCCAAAACAGTTGCCATAAACTTGCAGTTATTCTATGGGCTGCCTTTTTGTTGTTGTTTTTCGTGTGCTTGCTTGTTTCACTCAATAATGTAACCTGTAGCTCACTCATACCAATGCCTAGATTTCTACTTTGTCTCCGTTACATTTCTTCTGTCTCTGTACCATAGTTTGTTGAATCAGTTTTCTATAGAGGGACATTTGGGATGTTTCCAATCTTTGAGATTACAGATCACACCGGAGTGATGTATTAGTCCATTCTCACATTGCTGTAAAGGTACTACCTGAGACTGGGTAGTTTATAAACAAAAGAGGTTTAATTGACTCATAGTTCCTCATGACTGGGGAGGCCTCAGGAAATTCACAATCATGGTGCAAGGTGAAGGTGCAAGGCACATCTTACATGGTGGCAAGGAAGAAAAGAGAATGCAGGGGAAACTGCCACGTTTAAAACCATCAGATTTCATGAGAACTCCCTCGCTATCATAAGAACAAACTGGGGGAAACCGCCCCCATGATCCAATCATCCCCACCAGGTCCCTCTCTTGACACATGGGGATTACAACTAGAGATGAGATTTGGGAGGGGACACAAAGCCAAACCATATCAACTGAGTAACATTGTACAAAAGAGATGCTCTGTTTTACCCTATTTATCTTTGGCTTTGGTTTCTAGACATAGATCAAAGGGTAACTGGATATGCATTTTGCCAAATTTCCCTCCTATCAGTGTGGTACCATTCTGCATTTCCACCAGCAACACATGGTGCCTATTTTCCCACAGCCTGGCCAACAGATTTTGTGGCCAAACTTCTGCATTTTTCCAATCTGCTTGTTGAGAAGTGGTGTCTATGTATGATGTCAATTTGCAATTCTGCCATTGAGAGTGCATGGTTGAACATATTTTCATATATTAGGTCCTTTTTCATGTCTTCTATTGAAGACCATCTGTTCATTTATCTTGCACACTTCTTAAGTAGATTTTGGTTTTTGGAAGTTTTTTTGTCTTGATTATGTTAGAGAGAGTCCTTTGTCTGTGATTTCCACTGCAAATATCTTTTCCAGCTTGCCATGTTTCTTTAAACTCTACTTATGAAAGGTCTTGTGATGTGAAAGTTTTATATGCAGTGGATTCATTAAATTTATATGCAGTGAATTTATTGCTTTAAAAATTCAAGCAATGGGAGGTTTCTTTATTTCTAGGACATAACTTGTTGCGTATTTTTACAGGTTTATCTTTTGAGACATTTTAGTTATTGTGGTATACATTTGTTATGCATCCTATTTTAACTTTTCTTTTAACTTTCAAATGTCTGCCCAGTTGTCCAAATACAATCTACTAAAACATTCACTTGTCCCTGTTGATGTGTGATGCTGCATTTACCAAACATTGTATTGCTATGTAATCCTACATCTGATTTGGGGATTTCTATTGTGTTCCATGGGTCCCTCATGAACCAATGCAGCAGTTTTAATTATAGGTGCAATACAACATTTTAATATCTAATGGGTCTGACTTCCCATTGACATTGTTTATATTCTTTTTTTATTATACTTTAAGTTCTGGGATACATGTGCAGAACGTGCAGGTTTGTTACATAGGTATACACATGCCATGGTGGTTTGCTGCACCCATCAACCCGTCGTCTACATTAGTTATTTCTCCTAATGCTCTCCCTTCCCAGCCCCCCACCACCCAACAGGCCCTGGTGTGTGATGTTCCCCTCCCTGTGTCCATGTTTTCTCATTGTTCAACTCCCACTTATGAGTGAGAGCATGTGGTGTTTGGTTTTCTGTTCCTGTGTTACTTTGCTGAGAATGATGGTTTCCAGCTTCATCCATGACCCTGCAAAGGACATGAACTCATTCATTTTTATGGCTGCATAGTATTCCATGGTGTATATGTGCCGCATTTTCTTTATCCAGTCTATCATTGATGGGCATTTGGGTTGGTTCCAAGTCTTTGCTGTTGTGAATAGTGCTGCAATAAACATACATGTGCATGTGTCTTTACACTAGAATGATTTATAATTCTTTGGGTACCCAGTAATGGGATGGCTGTGTCAAATGGTATCTCTGGTTCTAGATCCTTGAAGAATTGCCACACTGTCTTCCATAATGACTGAACTAATCTACACTACCACCAACAGTGTAAAAGTGTTCCTATTTCTCCACATCCTCATCCTCTGTTGTTTCCTGACTTTTTAATGATTGCCATTCTAACTGGTGTGAGATTGTATCTCATTGTGGTTTTGATTTGCGTTTCTCTAATGACCAGTGATGATGAGCTTTTTTCATATGTTTGTTAACTGTGTAAATGTCTTCTTTTGAGAAGTGTCTGTTCATATCCTTTGCCCAATTTTTGATGGGGTTGTTTGTTTTTTTCTTATAAATTTGTTTAAGTTCCTTGTAGATTCTGGATATTAGCCCTTTGTCAGATGGATAGATTACAAAAATTTTCTCCCATTCTGTAGGTTGCCTGTTCACGCCGATGATAGTTTCTTTTGCTGTGCAGAAGCTCTTTAGCTTAATTCGATCCCATTTGTCAATTTTGGCTTTTGTTGCCATTACTTTTGGTGTTTTATTCATTAAGTCTTTGCCCACGCCTATGTCCTGGATGGTATTGCCTAGGTTTTCTTCTAGGGTTTTTATGGTTTTAGGTCTTATGTTTAAGTCTTAATCCGTCTTGAGTTAATTTTTATATAAGGTGTAAGGAAGGGGTCCAGTTTCAGTTTTCTGCCTATGGCTAGCCAGTTTTCCCAACACCATTTATTAAGTAGGGAATCCCTTCCCCATTGCTTGTTTTTGTCAGGTTTGTCAAAGATCAGATGGTTGCAGATGTGTGGCATTTTTTCTGAGGCCTCCATCATCCTGATACCAAAACCTGGCAGAGACACAATAAAAGAAGAAAATTTCAGGCCAATATCCCTGATGAACATTGATGCTAAAATCTTCAATAAAATACTGGCAAACCGAATCCAGCAACACATCAAAAAGCTTATCCACCATGGTCAAGTTGGCTTCATCCCTGGGATGCAATGCTGGTTTGACATATGCAAATCAATAAACATAATCCATCACATAAACAGAACCAATGACAAAAACCACATGATTATCTCAACAGATGCAGAAAAGGCATTCGATAAAATTCAACACCCCTTCATGCTAAAAACTCTCAATAAACTGGGTATTGATGGAAGGTATCTCAGAATAATAAGAGATATTTATGACAAACCCACTGCCAATATCATACTGAATGGGCAAAAGCTGGAAGCATTCCCTTTGAAAACCGGCACAAGACAAGGATGCCCTCTCTCACCACTCCTATTCAACATAGTATTGGAAGTTCTGGCCAGGGCAATCAGGCAAGAGAAAGAAGTAAAGGGTATTCACATAGGAAGAGAGGAAGTCAAATTGTCTCTGTTTGTGGATGACATGATTGTATATTTAGAAAACCCCACCGTCTCAGCCCAAAATCTCCTTAAGCTGGTAAGCAACTTCAGCAAAGTCTCAGCATTCAAAATCAATGTGCAAAAGTCACAAGCATTCCTACACACCAATAACAGACAGAGAGCCAAATCATGAGTGAACTCCCATTCACAATTGCTACAAAGAGAATAAAATACCTAGGAATACAACTTACAAGGAATGTGAAGGACCTCTTCAAGGAGAACTACAAAACACTGCTCAAGTAAATAAGAGAGGACACAAACAAATGGAGAAACATTCCATGCTCATGGATAGGAAGAACCAATATCGTGAAAATGGCCATACTGCCCAAAGTAATTTAGAGATTCAATGCTATCCTCATCAAGCTATCATTGACTTTCTTCACAGAATTAGAAAAAACTACTTTAAATTTCATATGGAACCAAAAAAGAGCCCATATAGCAAAGACAATCCTAAGCAAAAAGAACAAAGCTAGAGGCTTCATACTACCTGACTTCAAACTATACTACAAGCCTACAGTAACCAAAACAGCATGGTACTGCTTATTTTCACAGTAGTGTCCTAATCCTTCCTGCATGTATATTTCTTGATGTCACCTTTACAATCATGTTTTCTAAGTGCATAAAATTTTAGGAATAGGGTCCTGCTCTGTCACTCAGACTGGAGTGCAGTGGCATGACCACAGGTCACTGCAGCTTCAAACTTGTGGGTTCAAGTGATCCCCCTGCCTCAGCCTCCCAAGTATTTGGGACTACAGGTAAAAACCACCATGCTCAGCTCTTGGTTAGTATTTTTATTGAACTGGCATTGAATTCATAAGTAAATTTACAGGGAGTTGATGGACTTACATATTTAAGTGGATTGACTTTCTGTAGCTGCTGTGTACATTTGTAAATTTGGTAATTTAATTTTGGTAATTTTCTGTATACATCTGTAAATTGGTAATTTTACCACAAAGTCAAAGCCTCTTAAAAACATCTATTTATTATCTCACCATTGGGTGGGTCAAAAGTCCTGTGTGCTCACCTTACCACTGTGCTCTGGGTCTCCCTAAGCTAAAATCAAGGTGTCAGCTGTCCTGAGTTTTTATAAGGAGATTCAGGGATGTCAGTTTCCAAGCCCACTTGAATTCTTGGCAGAATCTTGCCATCGAAGGACTGAAGTCTTCATTTCTTCACTGTCTGCCATGGAGGGAAGAAGGAGAAACCCTCAGTTGTTAGAGTCCTTTTGCTGGTCCTTGCAGATATCTCCTCCATCTCAGAACATTGCAGCAATGGTGGGTTAAACTCTTCTCACCCTTGGAATCTTTCTGCTTTTTCCTTTTGCCTCCCCATCTCTCTTTCTCCAGAAAAAGAAAATTCTCTGCTTTCAAGGGCACCTGTGATTAGATTGGACCCACCTGGTTAAGTAGGATAATTTTTCTCTTGTAAGGTCAATGACATCAATTACCTGCAAAGTCCCTGTACCATGTAATGAACATAATACAGGTCCTGGAGTTTAGAGTGTGGATATCTATGTGAGGATATCATTCTGCCTCCTATAATACATCAAGCTTCTTTGCTTTTTTAAGACTCCTCTATATAGCCATTATCAAAAAGTCAAAAAATAATAGATGTTCGTGTAGATGTGGTGAAAGGGGAATGCTTATCCACTGCTGGTGGGAGTGTAAATTAGTACAACCTCTATGGAAACAGTTTGGAGACTTCTTAAAGAACTGAAACTAAAAGAACTAAAAGAACTTAAAGAACTAAAAGTAGATCTACCATTCGATCCAGCAATCCCACTACTTGGTATCTACCCAAAGGAAAAAAGTCATTATATCAAAAAGACACCTGCAACACATATGTTTGTCACAGCACAATTCACAATTGCAAAGATATGGAACCGACCTAAGTGCCCATGGACCAATGAGTGGATCAATAAGATGCAGTATATATGCACCATGAAATACTGGTGCATATATACTCAGCTGTATGTATTTAAAAAAAAAGATAATGTTTTTTGCAGCACCTTGGATAGAGCTAGAGGACATTATTCTAAGTGAAATAACTCAGGAATGGAAAATCAAATACCGTATGTTCTCACTTATAAGTGGGAGCTAAACTATGGGTATGCAAAGGCATACAGAGTGGTAGAATGGACATTGGACACTCAGAAGGGGGAGGGTAGGGGGCAATGGATAAAAAACTATATATTGCATACAACGCACACTACTTGGATGACAGGCACACTAAAATCTCAGACTTCACCACTCTACAATTAATCCATGTAACCAAAAACCACTTGTAGCCCAAAATCTATTAAAATAAAAATATTTAACAAATACTTCTCTGAATATATTTTAAAATATGTATACATACTGAAATACCTTTCCCTTTTTCAAATCTTTCTGCCAGGTCTAGGTGATGCCTTCAGGCCATCAGCTTTGAGCACTAACACAGCAGCATGCCAATATCATGTTTTACGCCAGGAACCAGTTGCAAAAACAAAGAACAAATAATGTGCTAATGATTTACCTCCCATAGTTAACCAATAAATATTTGCTCAGAACGTGGCAAGTAGTTACAAGTTGTGTAAAGAAATGTTCACAATAAGGGTCGGGTGTGATGTTTCATGCCTGTAATCCCAGCACTTTGGAAGGCTGAGGCAGACAGATCATTTGAGGTCAGGAGATCGAGACCAGCCTGGCCAACATGGTGAACCCCCATCTTTACTAAAAATACAAAAATTAGCCGGGCTTGGTGGCACGTGCCTATAATCCCAGCCACTTGGGAACCTGAGGCACAAGAATCGCTTGAACCCGAGAGGTGGAGGTTGCAGTGAGCTGAGATCTCATCACTGCACTCCAGCCTGGACGACAGAGTGAGACTCCATCTCAAAAACAAACAAACAAAAAAAAAGAAATGTTCACAATAAGAAATGCACTTAAATTATTTGTGATGCTATGTCTTGAAAATATTTTCTTTTAAAAAATTACAAATAATATATCTACCACCTCACATACTTATCTTTTTGTGATGAGAATATTTAAAATCTACTCTGTTAGCAATTTTTAAGTTTACTATATGGTATTATTAACTATAGTCGCCATGTTGTACAGAAGATCTCTTGAACTTATTCCTCCTCTTTATCCTTTGACCAACATCTTCTCATCCACGACCCCTTCCACTCAGCCTCTGGAAACTATCATTCTACTCTCTGCTTTTATTAGTTCTTTTTTCTTAGATTCTACATATAAGTGAGAACATGCATTATTTACCTTTCTAAACCTGCTTTGTTTCATTTCACATAATGTTCTCTTGTGTCATCCATGTGGTCAAAAATGAAACAAAAACGTCTGTCTTTTACAAAAGGTCTTAAACTATGATACATCAGAATTGCACATACAAATTCTAAAATTGATTGAAGCCAGGCATGGTGGCACTTGCTTGTAGTCTCAGCTACTCAGGAGGCTGAGGGAGGAGGATCACTTGAGCCCAGGAGTTCAATACCAGCCTGGGAAACACAGCAAGACCCTGACTTTAAAATAAAACAAATACTAAAATCTCACGAATCACCACTAAAGAACTTACTCATGTAACCAAATACCACCTGTTCCACAAAAACCTATGGAAATAAAAATTAAAATAAAATAAAACAAACAAATGTACAACAGATGTGGCTTATTGGAATCTCTCATTTCCAGTTTTGATCATGAACTTCAAGAAATTCAGAGGAAGTATTGAAAGACCTCTGCTGTAAAATGCACAAAATTCATCACGTGCACACAACTTCTCTTCTAATTCCAGAGTCATTGGAGCCCCTGAATTTTCTCCCTCGTTCCTGCATTGGACTCCAGCAGGACATCCAGGACACAAGAGATTCACAGAAAATGGGGAATCTCTAGAAGAGAAAGGGTTCAGTGGAGATATAGCCAACCGCTCTTTCCTTAATGTTTGCAGAGCCTTGGAGCCCCTGGCCCAGGGACTGTGGCCTTCTGGGCTTGGGCCTGTCTGCAGCCAGGAAAGGGCAGAGTAACCCCATCTGGCCCTAATGCAGGAGAGATATTGTTTACCTGACAATTGATCTCACTCTGGACAGGACACAGTTTCCAGGAGAAACTTCCAGTCAACCCATGGGGGCAATGTCTGCAGAGCTATCTACTGCTGTTCTGAAATGAAAGTGTTAATAAAACCCTAACTATCCAGACAAAATGGGCTCTCTGTGGCTGAGAGTGACCCTCAAATTAAGATAAAAGGAACCCAGTGGCCAGGGGGAGTGAGAGAAGAGAGTCACAAAGCACTTTGTTCCTGGAGATAGCAGCTCTGAATATCCAGCTTGTGCTGAGCTGAGATGGTTCTTAGCTCACTGAAGCTGAGAAACCCTGGCTGGAAAATTCCTCCCAACAGCTACCTCTGGGTTTGAGCTTAGAAACTACCTAATCAGTACTCATTATTTTCAACCTCAAAGACCAAACAAATTTAAATACATCATTTAAACACACAGATTTGTACCATATTTTCTTTATCTATTGTTAATGGCATTTAGGTTGATTCCGTGTCTTTGCTATTGTGAATAGTGGTGCAGTGAACATACACGTGCATGTATATTTATAATAGAATGATTTATATTCCTTTGGATATATATCCAGTAATAGGATTGCTGGGTCAAAAGGAATTTCTATCTCTAGGTCTTTGAGGAATTGCCACACCATCTTCCACAATGGTTGAACTAATTCACACTCCCATCAACAGTGTAAAAGTGTTCCTTTTTCTCCACAACCTCACCAGCACCTGCTGTTTTTTGACTTTTTAATAATAGCCGTTCTGACTAGTGTGAGCTGGTAGCTCATTGTGGTTTTGATTTGCACTTCTCTAATGATCAGTGATGTTGAGCTTTTGTTCATATGATTTTTGGTACATATACACCATGGAATACTATGCAGCTATAAAAAAGAATGAGATCATGTCCTTTGCAGAAACATGGATGGAGCTGGAGGCCATTATCCTTAGCCAAATAATGCAGGAAGAGAAAACCAAATACTGTGTGTTCTCACTTATAAATGATGAGAACACATGACACATAGAAGGGAACAACACAGACTGGGGCCTACCAGAAGTCAGAGGGTGGGAGGAGGGAGAGGATCAGGAAAAATAGCTAGTGGATACCAGGCTTAATACCTGGGTGATGAAATAATTTGTACAACAAACCCCCATGACACACATTTACCTATGTAACATACCTGCACATACTGCACATGTACCCCGAACTTAAAAACTTAAAATAAAAGCATATATATACATGTGTGTGTGTGTGCATATATATATATATATATATTCTATCTATCTATCTATCCATCTCTCTGTGTGTGTGTGTGTGTGTGTGTGTGTGTGTGTGTGTGTGTGTGTGTGTGTGTGTGTAATGACATACAGGTCTAATTGAGGACTGGGACAGGAACCTTCCCGATTTAAGCCAGGCCCCCTCTTTGTCCTCCGGGGCTCATTTTGTTTTACACTGGAGTCTGCATCTCCCAATCTGCAGATTGTCTTTCATGGAAAACAAAGCTCTCCCTTTTTCCTCTGCAGATCTCAGAGTCTTCTGTTAATCATATCAAGGGATTATTCTATGTCCAGGACAGGTCTGAGGCTCCAGAAAGCAAGAGGTGAAAGGAGCAAAAGGTGTCCTTTTCCAATTAGAGTACGGATTATCCTCAGCTTCTAGAAATGCAAAGCCTTAGCCACAGTGGTTCCTGTGAGCACGTGCCTCACCACACGTGTTCACACCTAGAAAGCAGTCTGTGGAACACACTCTTATTTTGAAAGAGAAAACAAATCAAGCTACAGTTCCCCAAGGTATCCAAAGAAATGAATGAATATATCACACCTTATTGAAAGTTTAAGATCTCCATGTTGGGCAGGTATCATGATCCTTTCATTAAAATTATAAATGCAAACTCAGAGTATTCAGAGAAGCTAAAAGCAGTCTAAAGTAGATTTTACCCATAAAAGTAATTCTTTGGGTTAAAAAAGGCATTATATTCACACTGATGGCCATAATTAGTCCTTCAAGGATTTAAATGGACTACGGTTGGGTGCACCATAAGCAAAATTCGACTTACATATGATGTCTCCCAGTTTTAGACCAATTTCTGCCTGATTAAAATCAATCGAGGAGAGTGTGGTGGCTCACACCTGTAATCCCAGCATTTTTGGAGGCTGAGGTGGGACAGTCGCTTGAGCTCAGAAGTTCAAGACCAGCCTTGGAAACAGAGTGAGATCCCATCTCTATTATATTTAAAATTTTTTTTAAAGTAAAATCAACCTATGCATGTTAAATGCAATATTTAATTTAATTATATTTACTGATAGAAATGGAAATATTTTACTAACAACTAGAATGCTCACACACATGAATGAAGACATTTATTCTCTCCTATGCAATGAAAACTGACATTTCCTTGAGAAAGCTTTGGAACCAATATAATAGTGGATTACTAGAAAGTAGTAAAACGTCAATAAAATGCAAGCTAAATAGCTGATCCAACTATCTTTTCTCACTGATATAAGATAATTTGAGGCTTAAAGAATAGATTCAAAATTACAACATCATAGTAATTTATCTAAATAGCCAAAAAACCACTTTAATGCCAAAAAAATTGAGTCAATCTGATCTGTATAAATGATTTAATATATTCAGGGGTAAAATAGTCATTGGGACATTTTCTTTCATTTACAGAATTAAGTAGTATTGATTTGTCTACTACACACACTAACTCATGCACACATATTTATAAGCACTGGATTCATAGGGATAAAAAGAGTATAAATGCAAGTTACAGTATTTTTCTAGTATTTGGATACTATGAATAAAATAAGGCAAACTATTATACATGCATTGCATGAAGATTGTATTGTTATCTCTTCATCTTCCAGGTTTTTTGTGTTTTGCAACAGATCTGATCCTTTGAAAGAATTTAAATCTGTGTCTTCAGCTGCACAGGGATGTTTAACATTTTTTATTGAAAGCATAGTACTATAACGATTACAGCAATAGGCACTACTGTGAGTGCTGAAAATCCTTACCATAAACTCTTGTAATGAGATAAGAACTAATTGGATGCAAAGCTTTGTGAGAATAGTATACTGTCATACCTAAAATTCCCAACCTATCTATACTCTTAGAGACTCTTGGTGATCTGTTTTATAGAGTAGGTTTTATGCAGAGACAAGAGTAGGATTTTGTCTTGGTGTCTCTACAGCATCCCAAATTCCATTTTTGGTCGCTGTTCTTTCTCTAAAGCACCATGCCCAGGTCACATTGTGTAGCACTTTGAACTTCCCATTTCAACTCAGAGCTGGGCAGCATACCCCAGTGTGCCCTCAGACTTTTCTCCTTCCAATGGAAGGTCCAAATTTTCCTTTCCCTAGGGCCTGGTGGTCTACATGAATGCCATGGTATCAATTAGTTCATGTTAAAAAAGAAATAGCTTGTGATGTCTTGTTTCAACGAGAAAACTTCAATGAACCTTCAATGTTTCAATGCACAGAAGACAAAAGAAGGGAAGAGAAGGAAAGGGAAGGGGAGAAGAGGAAAAAAAAGCAGTAAAAGAATAGGAGACAGAAAAGGAGAGGAGAGGAGAGAAAACCATCATAAAGATTTAATATGTGAAACAACTCAGAAACAGTCAAATGTCCTATGTTCTCACTTATAAGTGGGAGCTAAATAATGTGTACACACGGATATAGAGAATGCAATAACAGACATCGGAGACTCAGAAGGGTGGGCGGGGCTGGGCGGTGAGGGACGAGAAATTACTTAACAGGTACAATGTACACTATTCAGGTGATGGTTACTCTAAAAGCTCAGACTTCACCACTGTGCAGTCTATCCATGTAACGAAACTGCAGTTGTATATTCTACCCCTTACATTTCTACAAATAATACATAAAGATTTAATGAGCCACAGCAAGGCAATAAAAACAATAATTGAGGGGAAAGGAGTTATACTGAATTCTTCTAGTCTTACCTAAAATTTTAATTTTTTCATGGAGGAAATGAGTTTCCTTCGCCACCATTTTAAAACATATGAAATTGCTTAATTTAATTTAATTTGTTTAATTTTTCTTTGTTCTCCTCTATCATTTTTTGATGCTTATAGAAGGGAATTTTCCTTTATATGTCACATTTATTGATCCACTACCTACTGGTTTGTTTTGTTTTGTTTTTAGGTACTCCACCAGCTATAATTAGACACAGTAATTACTTCTTGTTCATTAACATATACAATTATTTTCTAGGGAAAGGCAATTTTTAAATAAAGTCTCGACTCTCAGATGAAAGAAAATTATACACATTGCATTTAATATTTCCAACAGCTATGTCAATTCTCATCATTTTCTCTCTAATTAAGGAAGCATGCAAAAAGTTATTTTAATAGAAAATGTATGGTCTTATTAAATGCTCTTCAACCTTCATTAATTTTCATCAAAAGTCTTTAAAAAACACAACAAAAGGAGTATGGGAAATAAAAAATTGCTTTATGATGGCAGTATTTTTCTTCCGTATTTATCCCATGCCTGGTACATGTATATTTGTATATTTTTTGTATGTATATATGTAATATATGTATGCATTATGTATGTACATGTGTATGCACATATATAAACTATATACATGAGTTATATATACCGTCCTGTTGCTTAATAACAAGGATAAATTTTGAGAAATGCATCATTAGGCAATTTCATCATTGTGTGAACATCATCGAGTGGACTTACACAAACCAAGATGGGAGAACCTGCTACACACCTAGGCTAGATGTATGGCCTACTGCTCTTTCACTACACACCTGAATAACGGTTTACTGTACTGAATACTTCAGACAATTTAATGCAATTGTAAGTATCTGTGTATCTAAACATCTAAACATAGAAAAAGCAGAGTAAAAATATGGTATTATAATCTTAGAAGATCGCCTATGTCTATGTAATCTGTCGTTGACTGAAATATCATTATGTGGCTCATAACTGTATAGATTATCTATCCATTTATGTATCTATCTCTCCATCCACCCCTCCATGCATCCATTCATCATCCATCCATCCATTCATCCATCCATCCACTCATGCATCCATCCATCTTATCTATCTAGCTAGCTATCTATCTATCTACCCATCTATCTATGAACTATATTTTATGTTACTCCTTGTAGTTCTGTATTTAATAAAGAAGCAATGGCTTGTTAGTCTCTCCACCATAAAAATATCTTAGCCCTTGTTCGTAAATGGTAGCACCGACACTCGTCCACAAATTGGAAAGAGATTCCTCATGAATGTAGCATTAAAAAAAAAACCATACATCCTCTGGTTCTCAGAAAGGAGAACAGTCAGAAGAGAAATAACCCAGGAGAAGGTGCAGAACACATTTATATGGATGGCAGAAATCACCAACTGTCTTGGGAATGGAAACCAACGTGACTAGGAAGAAAGCTGCCAATCCATTTTAAAAACACACATTGATGCTTTTTTATCTGTTTTATCTCATGAGCAAAGCACTTGACTTTTCAGTTACCTTTTTTTTTCAAAATATACATTGAATATGCTTTTTGAGCTAACAGATTTCAAGCTTGTGAATGTCTTGGGGGTCGAATGGTTTTCTACTGTTAAAAGCCTGTAGGTGCTGTGGCACCCTCATTTGGTGTTTTAATGTTGCAGGGATACCTGAGAGGAGCTTTGTTTCCTAAAGTTTATGCTTTGGTTTGTTGGGATTGGTTTGCTTTGTTTTCTACCTGGATGTTTATAGGGTATTGCTTTCATTTTTTCAGGATATGTCTAGGCATGATCTTATTTTGGATGTTATTTTCTGAAGTGCCAGTGATGAATACTAATTTGTACGAGTAGGGAGTTGAAACCTCCACACATATCAGGAAGAAGGGCTTAATTGAAGGAAAGCTAGTAACAGATAAATTAAGCACTGTCTGAGCAATTCCCCCACTTTTCCATGTTTATCCTAGCACAAACACCCACAATGATGTTCTCTCTGTCTCTTTTGCTCTTTTTTTCTCTTTTTTCTCTCTCTCTCTCACACACACACAAACACAGCACACATATCCACAGAAACACACACACCACACACATAAACACAAAGACACACAGTCAGACATATGTACACAAACTCAAGTGTACACACAGAAGCACATGCACACACACACACAAGCATACATATACACAGAAACATACAGGTACTCACAAACACACACATGCACACAACACACAGATTCCCAGAAATACATGCAGAAGCACACACACCCATTTAACGAGCAGTCACTTTCTGGTATTTATCATTCCTGAATGATCATAAAATAGATATTGCAGACAGCTGAGGCAGGAGTCACCAAGTCAAGGGAATTGTTGAGTTTCTGGAAAACACAGATTCCTGAGTACAAAGGTTAGGGGGAAAGTAAAGAGTGCGGTACAACTGCTTCTTCTTTCAGTTGGTCTTGGAGTTTAGGCTCAGGCATAAATGTTTCCTGAAGGGAAATTTAGGTTTTCTTTTATTCTTTTTTTTTCTCCACAACTTCCTGTACCTTATGACTAATTGACATTCTTTTCAAAGACTGGTTTATTAGTCTTGTTTCATGGTTATTCTACATTTCCATTAAAAAAGTCTTTGTGGGCATTTTACAAAACATTTCAGATTTACAAAAGAAAATTCCCTCGGTATGAATTTAAAGGGAAGCAATCCATTTTTTTCTCAAGTTTAATTTTACATACAGGGGATACATGCACAGGTTTGCTATGTGGGTACATTGTACCCAGGTAGTGAGCATAGTACTCAAGAGGTAGTTTTTCAAGCCATGACACACTCCCTCCCACCTGTCTCCCTGCCGGTGTCTATTGTCTATTGAGAACAGTGTCCGTTGCTCCTACGTTTATGTTCATGTGTACTCAATGTTTGTCTCCCACTTACAAGTGAGAACATGTGGTATTTGCTTTTCTTTTCCCGTATTAATTCACTTAGGATGACAGCCACCAGCTCCATTCATGTTGCTGCAAAGGACAATATTTCATTCTTTTTTATGGCTGCATAGTATTTCATGGTGTATGTGCACCACATTTTCTTTATCCAGTCTATGGATGGGCACTTGGGTTGATTCCCTGTATTTGCTATTATGAATAGCATGGCAATGAACATACAAGTGCAGTGTGTTTTGGGGTAGAATGATTTATTTTCCTTTGGATATATACCCAGTAATGAGGTTGCTGGGTTGAATGGTAGCTCTGTTGTAAATTCTTTGAGAAATCTCCAGACTGCTTTCCCCAGTGGCTGAACTAACTTACATTCCCACCAGCAGTGTGTAAGTGTTCCCTTTTCTCCGCATCCTCACTAGCATCTGTTATTTTTGACTTTTTAAGAATAGTCACTCCAACTGGTGTGAGATGATATCTCACTGTGGTTTTGATTTGCATAGGAAAGGAATTATTTTTAAGACAAGATTACAATGAGACAATCAGTGAGCACCAGATATCTGGTACTTACGGCCTGTCGTAAAATTTGGAACCTAGTGTTGTCACTGAGCACAGGCTCGGCTTGGCTGTTTGCCACTTGCAAAGCGAAGAAGAAGAATGAGATGCAGTGGGGGGAAAGTGCTGACAGTGGGGAAGTGGCCAGGTTCACACCTAAAGAAACCACCTCAAAGTTTCAACTGGACAAGGGGACTTTAAAAGGGGATCTTGGAATGGGAAGCATGCGGGAGGGGTGCCAGATAGGAGGTCTGCATGTGTTGTTCCGAAGGTCATCTCAAGCGATGGTCCACCTGGAGCTCAGGCTGGTGTCATCTCAACAATTGCCAGGGTGTAGACTAACCCCAGTGAGGTAATCTCTAGGATTTCGCAGCTGGGTCTCCATATCTGATTGATCTCAAGATTAGCCCCTGGACCTTCCAATGAGCACATAATTACATACAAGAGTATAGTTAAATAAATATGCATGGTGTAAGGGAGTGAATGGTGAGAAAGAGAGGGATGTTGTATTCCAAAGAAAGTTCATTTCTATGATATATTTTAAGACTAAGGAGGGGCCGGGTGCAGTGGCTCCTGCCTGTAATCCTAGCACTTTGGGAGGCCGAGGTGGGCGGATCACTTGAGGCCAGGAGTTTGAGACCAGCCTGACCAACATGGTGAAACCCCATCTCAACTAAAATACAAAAAGTACCTGGGCGTGGTGGTGTGTGCCTGTCATCCAAGCTACTCTGGAGGCTGAGGCAGGAGAACCGCTTGAACCAGGAAGGCAGAGATTGCAGTGAGCTGAGATTGTGCCACTTCACTCCAGCCTGGGTGACAGAGCGAGACTCTGTCTCAAAACACAAACAAACAAAAACTAAGGAGGGCAAAAAGGTTTTGGCAGAACATTTTAAAGTTACATCTTGAGACTGGGGGGAAAGGAAAAAAAGTTTTAAAGTGCACTTTGAGGCTACACTGTTTGGTTACACTGTGACTATACGGTCACTATTCTGACTATTTGTGTCTTGTTAGGAGTAAATAAAAGTGTAGAATAGACCTTTTCACAATAGTCAAGATATGGAATCAAGCTGGGTATCCAACAACAGATGGATGAATAAAGAAAGTGTGGTACATATACACAACGGAATACTATTTAGCCATAAAAGGAATGAAATTTTGTCATTTGCAACAACATAGACAGAACTTGAGGACATTGTGTTAGGTGAAATAAGTCAGAAATAAAAAGTTAAACATTGTGTGTTCTCACTCATAGGTGGAAGCCAATAAAGTGGATCTCAGAATACTAGAGGCTGAGAAGGGGAAGGGGAAGGGGAAGGCAGGGACAAGGAGAAATTTGTTAAAGGATACAAAATTACAGCCAGATAGGAGGAATAAGCTCTAGTGTTCTGTGGCTCTGTAGGATGATTACAGTTAACAATAATATATTTATATAGTTTCAAATAACTAGAAGAGAGGATATTGAATGTTCACAACACAAAGCAATGATCAATGTTTGAGATGATGGATGTGCTAATTACCCTGATATGATTACTCTACAATATATGCATTGCAATATCACTATGCACTCCATAAATATGTATCATGACTATGTGTCCATTTAAATTTTTTTTTTAATTTTTAATTTCTTGTGGGGAAATTGCAGTCCATGTTAATTGTTCTGAGGGAATTACGTGGAGCAGTCACCACAGAAATCAGTATAGTGATCCTTTAAGAAATTACAAAGAGAATTAGAGAATTAGCATATGATCCTGTAATCCTACTTCTGGGCATATACCCAAGGGAATTGAAAGCAGAGTCTTAAAGAGATATTTTCACACCCAAAGTATATTGCAGTATTAATCACAATAACCAAAAGGTAGAAGCAATCCAAGTGTCCACTGGCAGACGAATAGGTAAACTGAATGTGGTTTATCTATACAATAGAATGTTATTCAGCCTTAAAAAGGAAGGAAATTTTGACACATGCTACTACGTGGATGAACCTTGAGAACATTATGCTCAGTGAAATTAACCAGTCACAAAAGGACCATAGTTTATTATTCCACTTACATGAGGCACTTAGAGTCACCAAATGTATAGAGACAGAAAGTAGAATGGTGCTTACAGGGCATTGGAGGGGAGAATGGGGAGTTGTTGCTTAATGAGGACAGAGTTTCAGTTTGGGAAGACAAAAATTTCTGGAGATGAATAATGGTGATGGTTGCACAATAATATGAATGTACTTAATTCCACTGAACTCAGTGCCTAAGAATGATTGAGAGGTAAATTTTATGTTCTATGTTTGTTTGTTTTACCACACATAGAAATGTAAAGGATTGTAAAACATTAAATAAAAGAAAAAACAAAAACAAACAAACAAAAGAAAGCTGCCACTTCACTCTCTTGACCTGACACACTTCTCCTTGCCATGGCATTTCTTCCTAACTTTGTACACTTCTGCAAAATAAAGTTTCTGTCCCAGAAACCACAGCAACTTTGCCATTGTGTAACAGCAGAAGCAAACCCAATAAAAAAATGAGAGTGTGCAGAGCTCTAGTATCAGTCAGCAAAAAGAGCAAATAATAGGGCAAGAGAAATAGAGAAACAGCACCAAAATATCTGGAATACCCCTTTCTGTAGACTGTCATGCTCTCCAAGGAGCTTATGAGGGTAGCAACTAGGGAGGAGGCAGAAGCACTGGCCTCAGGCCGAAAATTTAAGGGATCACCAAGAAACTTTGTATCCAAGATAAATAATATTTAATGCAACATTTAAAGAAATAAACATGGATGCAAATAATAATAATATAAAATTCCAGGATAGAAACAGGACCAGAATTTTGAAGAAAAGCAGCATTGGTATTATTAATTAACTTTTTTTTCTGTTGCTTTCAGCTCCAATATGACTCTGTGTTATCTACATAGCAACTCCCTGGACTCCAATAACAGCTTGGCTTAATTCTAGCTCAGTGATCCCCAAATAAGGGGAGGATATTTGGCAAGGTGTGGAGACAGTTTTGGTGTCACCAGTTGGAGAAGGGAATGTTATTGGCCTCTGGTGGGTGGAACCAGAGGATGTTGCTCAACATCCTACAGTGCACAGGATGGCCCCCACCTTCACAAAGCCTCATCCAGCCCCAAATGTCAGTAGTGCTGACATTGAGAAACCTGTTCTGACCAATCCCGGTTGTATACAAGTTTTCACATCTGCGTCACCCTCCCCAACCGGATTCGAATCTCTGCCAGGTCATGCCCATGTCATTAAGTTTGCAGTCCTCTTGGTTCCTGCATGCTCTGACAGGGGAGTAGGGTGTCTTTTTGGGGTCTTTGAATGCTCATTACCAAATTAACCTACCCCTAATGAAGCAACCTCAACAGCCATCACTAAGCAAAGACTCCAGCCCACCAAAGTCTCCAGAAAGACAATGCTAACATCCCAATTTTTACCTTTGTTATATTAAATATATTTTACCACCTAATGTCTATTTATGATAAACATTTACTAGATTTCAGGCAGAGAATGAGATTTCCTATGTAGCCTTCTGCAGTTCCCTGCAGTGATTTATAGAGGTAAAAGATGAGAAGATTGGGTCATTGTGATTTAAATATCTCGGAACCCTTGGAGATTCAAAAACATCCTACCTTTGGCGGGGCGCAGTGGCTCACGCCTGTAATCCCAGCACTTTGGGAGGCCAAGACGGGTGGATCATGAGGTCAGGAGATTGAGACCATCCTGGCTAACATGGTGAAACCCCATCTCTACTAAAAATACAAAAAAAAAAAATTAGCCAAGTGTGGTTGCGGGCACCTGTAGTCCCAGCTACTCGGGAGGCTGAGGCAGGAGAATGGCGTGAACCAGGAAGGCGGAGCTTGCAGTGAGCCAAGATCGCGCCACTGCACTCCAGCCTGGGCAACAGAGTGAGACTCTGTCAAAAAAAAAAAAAAAATCCTACCTTTTAGCATCTGTTGCAATATTTCATTACTTTATAATAAGGTTTAGCTTAAATGCTAAGGGTGTTTATGCTTAAGTACAGTTTAAACGTTTGAAAAGTATTTCACCTGAAATCTAGCATGGGGAGAAACACAACATTCATGCATTGACCAGAGTGGACATGAATTATCTGCCTTAGAAAGCACAGCTCAGCGAAAGTCAAGAAAGGCATGCATCCTAAGATCTCAAGTTTATATCACTCTCAGATCAATATCCATGGAAGTTGGTAGATCATAGCCCAAACGCAGAAAATGTCAAACTTCCCAAATACTATGTGTGCACTAGTACCCATCAGCAACCCTACTGTCATTCAGAGAATAGCAAAACGCTAGGTTTATGAATTACGGACATAATTCGTCATGTACTCCCACCCAAAAAAAGTCCTTGGCATCTTATACTTAGATGATACACAGTAAAAATTTATTACATAGTGAACTTTTGTTATATCTAATATCAGAAAGTATTACATGGTAACTTGCTGATTGGAAATCTAATTATGTTTCTATTTGGCTATAATTTTAAATCAAGATATCTAGCTACATAATACTTACTGCTTCTGGGAGTTCTTAAGAGAAGATATAATACAGTTTATTTAATACGACTATTTTTCTAAATTTATTTCAGTAGCTTTATGGGTACAAGTGGTTTGGGGTGTATAAATGAATTATATGGTGGTGAAGTCTGGGCTTTTAGTACACTTTTCACCCAAATAGTGTAAATTGTACCCAACAGGTGATATTTTACTTCTCATCCCCCCCATCTTCCCCACTTCAGAGTCTTCAATGTCCATTTTACCACTCTGAATCCCTTTGCCTACCCATAGCTTAGCTCCCACTTTTAAGTGATAACGTACAGTGTTTGGTTTTCTTTTCTGAGTTACTTCATTTAGGATAATGGCCTCCAGTTCTATCCAAGTTGCTGCAAAAGATATGATTTTCTTCTTTTTTATAGCTGAGTAATATTCCATGGTGTATATGTACCACATTTTCTTTATCCACTCATCTCTTTGATGGGCACTTAGATTGATTCCATATCTTTACAATAGTGAATTATGCTGTGATAAAAATACGACTGCAGGTGACTTTTTAATTATAATGATTACTTTTCCTTTGGGTTGAAACCCAGTAGTGGGATTGCAGGGTCAAATAGTAGATCTACTTTCAGTTATTTGGGAAATCTCCTTTTGTTTTTTTAGGGGTTTTCTAATTCACATTCCCACCAACAGTGTATTTGTGTTCCCATGACATCTGTGCCAACATCTATTGTTTTTTGACTTTTCAATAATGACCATTCTGACTGGGGTAAGTTGGCATCTTATTATGCTCTTAATTTGCATTTCCATGATGATATGTGATGTTGAGCATTTTTCATATTTTTTTGGCTATTTGAATATCCTCTTTTGAGAAATGTCTAGTCCTGTCATTTGCTCATTTTTAATGGGATTATTAGGTTCTCAAACAAATCAGCAAGAAAAAACCTGCATAATCCCACTGAAAAAGTATGGCTACCTAATCATGATTAATCAATAGCATAATAACACTAACAATAATCTCAATAAGTATTCCCCATGGACAGCATTTTGCAGTCTCTGTATTGCTTTTATTGTGTTTCTCAGAAGGGACAAAACAGTGAAATAGATAAATAAGAACCTCAAAGATTACAATAAGCAACTTATCAGAACAGCACATATTCACTCATTGTCTACATGACATAGTCGTAAATTCTAGTGACCAAAGCAAACATGGCAATGGGATTTGAGACTCCCCTAAATGAACTTTAAAAGGAAAATCCCTCCCTTGATTTTCCCTCAGAACATATAGGCTTATCCGACACTAGGAAGCAGTTTGATTCATGGACCCAGCATTTAAAACTTGATTCATACAACATCCTGCTGACCATCAGGCATAAGGCAGCTCTTGCACTTATATTAGTGGGTAGATATTATATATCCACGTATAGACTTTTAGACATAGCCTGCAGGTAAAAGACAAAGGTAAGAGAATGCCATTCCACTCAAGACACACTTCGGGTTAGATTAGAAAAGGGTTATTTATGAAAACAGCCACACCCCGTCATCATGGAGTAGATACTTAACATTAAAATGCCTGTACATAGACCATAGTTTTTCAACCATGACACTATTAACAACTGGGAATGCAAAATCCTTTGTTATGAGGGCCACCACAGTTCACCATTGTAAAGATATGGAATCAATTCTGTGCACTATAGGATGATGAGAAACATCCCTGGCCTCCACCCACAAGAAGCCAATACTCCTCACCACCCTTTCTTGTGACAATTAATGTTTCCAGACATTGCCAAGTGTCCCCTGCAGGAAGAACTATTCTCAGTTAAGACATTCTGTCATAAAGACACATGCATGCATTATGTTCAGCACAGCACTATTCACAATAGTAAACACATGGAATCAACCTAAATCCCCATTAATGGTAGACTGGATAAAGAAAATGTGGCACATATACACCATGGAATACTATACAGCCATAAAAGAGAATGAGATCATGTCCCTTGCAGGGGCATAGATGGAGCTGGAGGCCGTTATGCTTAGCAAACTAACGCAGGAACAGAAAACCAAATATTGCATGTTCTCACTTATAAGTAGGAGCTAAATGATGAGAACACATGGACACATAGAGGAGAACAAGAGACACTGGGGCCTATTGAAAGGTGGTGGGTGGGAAGAGACAGAAGATCAGGAAAAATAACTAATGGGTACTAGGTTTAGTACCTAGGTAATGAAATACTCTATACAACAAACCCCTGTGACATGAGTTTACCTACATAACAAACCTGCACATGTACCCCTGAACCTAAAATAAAAGTTTAAAAAAGAATTTAAAAAAGAACCACAGGCATAGATGAAGAATATAATAATATTAACCAAAAAAAAGGGGGGTTAGGCAAATTTATTTCTGCATTCTAGGCTTCTGGGTGGCTTTAATTTTATTCTACATTTTTGCAAACTCATGAAATATAACTTTTAAAATGAATGAATGAGACCTTCTATATGCATGTTTAATCATATAATCATATAGTCATCTGAAGTCATTTGAGTAATATAATAATATAATCACCTGTGCATCGTATCTGAGTAAATATAATGCAATTGCTGAATTGTTTTACCACCAACCTGAGTAGGACACATGTTGAATCTTTCAACCTCCTACAGAATGCTTTCAATTTTAAGACACTGGGATTTGAGATCACTTTGGGCCCAAAACTTCTTGCTTTCATTATTTGATTTCTAATTGAACTATGTCCACCTGCCTAATCACAATTAATCAATAGCATAATAATAATATTAATCTCAATAACTATTTCCCATGGACAGCACTTTGCAGTCTCTGTATCACTTTTATTATCTGCATTTGCACATTACAAAAATCCCAGGCAGAGGTAAGGAAAGGTTTTTGCACATCCAATTTGTGGATGTGCAAAGATGGAGATGAAAATTCTGACATGCCACACTCATGTAGCAATTTAGGGAAAATCAAAGAATGGCAACACAAAGCTTTCTAATCTACATCTGGTTTGCGTATCCATTTTTGCTTTATTACTCACTCTAACTTTCAGAATATTCCCTTCCTTGCAAGAAGCAGAAAAAGAAACAAGTCTCTATATATCCCAATTACATTTTTTTTCTGAACAGAATAAGTTATCCTCTTGGCCTCATTAACTCATTCCAAGACTTTTCCCCTTTACTGCTAATCATTATTTTGACTGGGTCATTGCAAAATGCAATTCACATTGAGTCATTTCTGGAACAGTGACATAAAGCATGAAACTACCTGTTAAAGGGCTGCATGATTTAAAAATAAATAAAAGGAGAAAAGAGAAGAAAGAATGAACTAATAAAGTTCTGTTTTGCTATTCTGGTGTCCGCTGGCTCTCTCTAAGAAATTAATGTTTGAAAGTTGGGAGATCCATAAATTCCTTGAAATAATTTGCAATGCTTGGTAATATATGCTTAAGTGACTTTTCCTTGGAAGAGGGTCTATGTCTTTCATCAGACTCTCCAGGGAGCCAGAGATTCCAGAATGCTAAGCTTCATTCATTCTTTCATCCATCCATCGTCGGTTAAGAAATTAATGTGCACCTCCCCTGTGTTAACACAGAAAATTAAGCATGATCAAATCCTGGAAATTCAAAGAACCTGCCGTGTTCTAGGAAATAAATAGGTAACTATGATTTGTGCATGAAGCTCCTGGAGGGTCACTTAATGGAGTCTGGACTTTATCCTGAAGGTCGCTTGAAAGCTGCTAAACACGATAAGAGTCATGAACAGGGAAATGAGAGCTGTCCTTGGAAAAGTGATGAAGTAGACAACCTCAGAGGCAACTCGGCTGTTGGAATCCAAATCTCACTGTAGTAGGGCAAATGTTCTTGCTATCTTGTTTTCCTCTGATCTTTCCTCGTTTTGTAAAAAGAATCAAACAGATCTTTCAACGTGAAGCTTAACAAGCAACGAATTCCACCCCTGATTTTTTTACAGGTGATTCCACTATAGTACTGGCTACTATGATTTTCACCATAGGTTATGGGCTGAGCTGTGGCCCCCAATATGCAGATGTCAAAGCCCTAAGCCCCAGGACCTCAGTATGGGACTGTATTTGGAGATGGGGTCTTTAAACAGGTCATTAAGGTAAAATGAGGTACCTAGAGTGGGCCCTAATCTAATAGGACTGTGGTCCTTTTAAGAAGAGGAGATGAGGGGCCGAGCATGGAGTCTCATGCCTGTAATCCCAACACTTTGGGAGGCCGAGACGGGTGGATCACAAGGTCAGGAGATCGAGACCATCCTGGTTAACACAGTGTAACCCCGTCTCTACTAAAAATACAAAAAATTAGCCAGGCATGGTGGAGGGCACCTGTAGTCCCAGCTACTCGGGAAGCTGAGGCAGGAGAATAGAGTGAGCCTGGGAGGCGAGCTTGCAGTGAACCGAGATCGTGCCACTGCACTCCAGCCTGGGTGACAGAGCGAGGCTCTGTCTCAAAAAAATAAATAAATAAATAAATAATAAATAAAAAAGAGGAGACAAGGGCTGGGCGCAGTGGCTTCCGCCTGTAATCCCAGCACTTTGGGAAGCTGAGGAGGGTGGATCACCTGAGGTCAGGAGTTCGAGACCAGCCTGACCAAAATGGAGAAACCCCGTCTCTACTAAAAATACAAAATTAGCTGGGGGTGGTGGCACATGCCTGTAATCCCAGCTACTTCGGAGGCTGAGGCAGGAGAATCGCTTGAACCCAGGAGGCGGAGGTTGCAGTGAGCCGAGATCACGCCATTGCACTCCAGCCTCGGCAACAAGAGGGAGATTCCATCTCAAAAAAAAAAAAAAAGAAGAAGAAGAGGAGATGAGGCCACAGACACACACAGAGGCATGACCATGTGAGGACACAGGGAGAGGACAGCATCTACAAACCAAAGAGAGGCCTCAGGAGAAACCAGCCCTGCTCACACCTTGATCTTAGTCTTCCAGCCTCCAGGACTGTGAGAGAATAAATGTGTGTTGTTTATAAGCCTCTCAGTCTATGGTATTCTGTTATAGCAGCCTGAAATGGACTAAAACACCTCATAAGAAGAGGAAATGAAGACACAGACATGCACAGAGGGATGACCAGGTGAGGACACAAAAATGATGGCATCAACAACACACCTTGATCTCAGACTTCAAGCCTCCAAGGCCACAGAAGAAAAAATTCCTATTGTTTAAGCCACCCAGGCTGTGGTCCTTTGTTATGGTGGCCCAAGCAAGTGAACACAACATATATCCTTTTCCTCTCTATCATTTAGATTACATTTTCTTGACCCTATTACTGTCCCTTACTCCATTCCTCGAATTTCTTATTCACCCCTCTATTAGTCAGGGTTCTCTACAGGGACAGAACTAATAGGAGATATATATACATACATATATATATATATACACATACATATATATACACATGCATATTTGTACACATACATATATATATATATATAGAGAGAGAGAGAGAGAGTTTATTAAGGAGTATTAACTCACATGATCACAAGGTCCCACAGTAGGCCATCTGCAAGCTGAGGAGCAATGAAGCCAGTCTGAGTCCCAAAGCTGAAGAACTTGGAGTCCGATATTCAAGGGCAGGAAGCATCCAGCACAGGAGAAACATGTAGGCTGGGAGGCTAAGCCAGTATAGTCTTTTATGTTTTTCTGCCTGTTTTATATTCCGGCCGTGCTGGCAGCTGATTAGATGGTGTTCACCCAGATTAAGGGTGGGTTTGCCTTCCCCAGCCCACTGACTCAAATGTTAATCTCTCTTGGCAACACCCTCACAGACACACCCAGGAACAATACTTTGCATCCTTCAATCCAATCAAGTTGACACACAGTATTAACCATCACATCCCCAATATCAGGTTATGTATGGGGGAAAGATATTGGACCTCATGCATGGAGAGGTTGAAGATTCACTGGATACACTAGAGGGAACATAATATATGAAGTGAGCTTCCTGGGGATATCAGAACAAAAGGTGTTGGAAGATGGTTGGAGATGTGCACAGGGGAGTGTGATTGTTCCTAAATAGACAGAAAGTAACACCAGGCAAGATGCAGAGACCAATTGAAATACAAAACAGTATTGGAAGTGGAAGGTATTCCTGTATGGTGGCATCTGTTTTCCCTGTGACACAGAAGAGATTTTTTTCAGGAAATACTAAAAGTTTTCAATTGTCTCTGCTAGAAATGGGAGCAAGAGTTAAGTAAGCTCTCTGTATTGTCATGCTCCACCCCAAAAGATATGTACCCCTGGAACCTGTGAACAGAAGCTTATTTGGAAATATAGTCTTTGCACATGTGATATAGTTAAGTATCTCAAAATGAGACCATTGTGCATTTAATTTGAGTCCTGCTAAATGCAACAACAAGTGTCCTTGTAAGAGGCAAAAGAGGAGATACAGACACAGAGGAGAAGGCCAGGAGGAGACGGAGGCAGAGACTGGAGTGATGCAGCCACAAGCCCAGGGATGCCTGGAGCCCCCGGGAGCTGGGAGAGGCAGGAAGGATCCTCCGCCTAGAGCCTCCAGAAGGAACTGGATACAATTGTAGTGTATTCAACTAGGAAGCCAGTCTGATTCCAAAGCTGAAGAACTTGAGTCCGATATTCAAGGGCAAAAAGGTACGTCCACAGCCTAAGCCCTGGAACCTGTGAATTGGACCATCTTTGCAAATAGGGTCTTTGCATATTTAATTAGTTAAGGATCTGAAGATGACATCATCTTGAATTAGGGAGAGCCCTGAATGTAATGATCATTGTCCTTCCAAGACACAGAAAAGGAGATACAGACACAGAGGAAAAGGCCACGTGGAGATGGAGGCAGACTGGAGTGATGCAGCCGCAAGCCCAGGGATGCCTAGAGCCTACAGGAGCTGGAAGAGGCAGGAAGGATCCTCCCCTAGGGCCTCTGAGGGAAGTGAGACCCTGCTGACACTTTGATGTTGTACTTCTGGTCTCCAGAACTTTGAAAGAATAAATTTCAGTTATTTTAAATCATCAAGTATGCAGTAATTTGTTACAACAGTCCTAGAAAGTAACACAGGCTACAAAGAAACGTACCAGGCAACAAAGGAAAGCAGGGTAGACAGTGAAGAACCCGACTTTATCCTGGCAATGAACCACTTAATTGCCAAATTTCTCACACACTCTTCCAAAACTAGGACAAAAGCAGTGAAAAGACAAACAACCTGATCTAGAATAAGGCATTTTGTGAATCACTGTGATAAAAAAAAATAAAGACAGATAAGGCATTGAAAATCAGGAATGAAGATGCAGTAATCACCCATGCTGTTCAGGCTCTATGGGCATCGGTGTGAGATGGCAGAAAGGCTGATAACTGGGGAACAATGGAGGAGCTGAGAGACTGGAGGTCCCATTTTGGTAGGAATTGAGAGTTTAGGAAGTTGAAGATCTAAGTTGGAGTCAGAGTGGAAGTTTTCAGTGTAAGGTTTTAGATGGATGACAGTTTCAGAAAATGGCACATCCGGCCATGGTAGAGGGTGGTAATGGTGGATTGAAAATGAAGGTCATTGACATGAAGTAGAACAAGGAATGGCGAGACCAATACCAGTAAGGAATGGATTGTCTGCATGAACAACAAGACAGTAACATTTCAGGATGAGGATCAGCAGAATGACAGCCAGGGATCCCATTCCTCTTATACTTGCACTAGAACATGAATACATGTGTTAGAATGGCTTGACCAACATGCTATGAAGAACTTAGAACCAGGCAAATAAACTGGATCCATTATTCCTAATCTTCTTACTCACTGAGATGCAAGAGGGAGGAAGGTAAAGTCCACTGTAGCTGCTTCTAAAAGATTGAATTTGTCCTTTTGGAATGCTTTTAAGGAGCTCTGAATTGCAAAGACCTCAAGTCAGCATTTCTGGTTTGACCTCTAAGAAAGGTGTGAAGATGTGTGTATTTTATAGTCATTAAAAGATACTTCAAAAGAAATGCAAGCTGTGTAGTCATCTGATTCTTCCACAGACTATGATGGTTCAAACTTTGTAAATGCTTTTAAGTAAGAGGCGCAGGATAAAAGGAAACGTCCGAATGAGCTGTCTCTTCTTTGTTCACTTCAAAAGAATTCCAAACATTTCCAGTTGTGCTTAATAATCACTCTCATTGAAACTATTTCTCTCAAAATGCTCACTTTTGTTACCTAAGAGAAGACTTCTTCTATTTTTTTATTTTCTGAGGATCAAAAGCTAAATGCTTCTCTGTTTTGATTAAAGTAAAAGTCTCATAAAAAATGAACCATTTTTGAAGTGTGCATTTCAGTGGCCTTAGTACACTCACAATGTTGTACAACCATCACCTCTGTCTAATCACAAATCATTTTGGTCAGTTTATTCTCTCTTGATCCCATTCATTCATTCTCTGATGAATTTGAGGCATAGTAAAATTGCATTCTGTAAGAACCTGAGAAAGGAAAACATGCTATAATTCTCTCCCACCGAAACCCGGAAGGGAAGTGTTAATGTTTCCTTCCGCTTTCTCCCTTTGTCTATTTGCAGTGGGCTGTTTCATCCAAATGCCATTCAGACCTCAGGGAGCAAGGGGCCCTTCGAGGCTGAAGAATGCTCTATTTAATATTTCTCTAAGATCATCTTTCCAACGGCCGTTTTCTAGTGAGAATCCTGAACAGTGAATCTGAAAGGAGCAGATGGAAGCTTTTATTCGCTGAAGAGCATAATCAGTTAAGTGACTTTTACTTTCATCCGATGGGACTCCAGTTCGGAGTCTGTGATATCAGACAGACACAATGCTGTCTCGCTGATACCTTTCAAGGAAAGAGTCTTTCTCACAGTCCAGTACAATACCCCAGAATCCAACCTGGAAAATAACAGCCATTCATCAAAATAACTTATACAATGATGCCTTTGTACTGAGTTACTGATATTAAGATACTTTGGGGTAAGGAAAAAATCCAGTGTAAGTGTGATCACGTTTGCTCAAGATTTCAAGTAATTCCAAAATATTTCTTACTAATTCAAAGAAAATGTGATACTCTAATCTTCTCCAAATTACACCATAATTATTCAGGCCATACACACTATTTGGGAGAGTTGCCATGCATCAGAAAAGACAGAAGATTAATCAGAACTGAAGACATTATGATATTAAAAAGGGTTGCCTAGATGGTTACCAGAGGCTGGGAAGGATAGTTGGGAGTTGGTAGAGGAGGTGGGGATGTTTAATGGGTACAAAACAGACAAAAAGAATGAATAAGACCTACTTTTTGATAGCACAACAGGGTGACCTAAGTCAGTCATAACTCAACTGTACATTTTATAATAAAAGAACTTAAAGAAAGTAATTGGATTATTTGTAACTCAAAGGATAAATGCTTGAGGGGATGGATACACCCCGTTCTCCGTGATGTGCTTATTTCACATTAAAAATTGAAAAAGAGAGTTGCCTTTGAAGTGCAACAGCAGCACACAGAAGACACACCTCACTGGGCCTTGGAGAATCAAAGGTCCCCAAAGGAAATGGTGCCTATGCTGAAACTAAAGGGAACAGCCAAGAGGGAGCTTGGTGAAACCTTTAAACGCACATTCTAGAAGAAGGGAGACATTTTCTGGGCAGAGAGAGCCACATGGTCATGGACCAAGAGGTAAGCTTGGTGTCCCTGTAGCAAGCAGGAATAGCAAAAACAAACACAAACAAAACCAAAAAGCAACCAGACCAGTAGACAGAGTCTTCTCTTTGAGGCAAAATCCAAAAGGAATGCACGTTGTTCTGATCACCATACAGAGCTGCCATACAAGGGCTGGGAACAGAAGGAAGACAAATGGACTGGTGTGTTTCAGGAAGAGGACTCCAGCTATAGTTTGGAGAATTAATCACATTGGATGGAAGAGGAAGACAAAACATTTTGGCAGCCTTTTATGTTTACATATGATATGGTTTGTCTCCGTCCCAACCCAAATATCACCTTGAATTATAGCTCCCATAATCCCCACATGTCATGAGAGGAGCCTGGTGGGAGGTAATTTAATCATGGGGCGGGGGGGGACAGGTTTTCCTATGCTGTTTTCATGATAGTGAATAAGTCTCAGGAGATCTGATGGTTTTTTAAAGGACAGTCTCCCTGCACACACTCTCTTGCCTGCTGCCACGTAAGACATGCTTTTGCTTCCCCTTTGCCTTCTGCCATGACTGTGGGACCTCCCCAGCCATGTGGAACTGTGAGTCCATTAAACCTCCTTCCTTTATAAGTTTCTCAGTCTTGGGTATGTCTTTATTAGCAGCGTGAGAACAGAGTAAAGCACTTCTATGTCTCTCTTTTTTTAAAAAAGCCAAGACCAACTATTTGACAATGACGTTAGCTAATATATTAAGTTATACCCTATCAGGGAAAATATAAAGGATGGTGTTGGTATTTCTACACCAAGTAGTGCAATAGTAGTATTTCACAGAGTATATAGCTTTCACAGTCAGTAACGTATCTCTCATTCCAATATGTGGAAACAGAACTCGCCTCCATCCTGGCTTTACAATTCATAACATTGCTCAATTTCTTCAAAACTCCACTCTTAGTGAATCTAGATAACTCACTAAATATTAATATAATGCATTGACTTGTGTCTCTGAAAAAGACAGCTCTAAGTCCTAACCTCTAGAACTTGTGAATTTGGAAAAATAATCTTTGCAAATGTAATTTTAAGGTGAGAATCAAGATGAGATTATGCTGGATTAGGGGCAGCAGGCCCCAAATCTGATGACAAGTGTTCTTACAAGAGATATAGAGAGAAAAGTGGGAAAATTCACTGGAGAGATGGTGTCAGAGAGTGGAATGATGTGGCCACAAGCCAAGGGACACCTAGAGCCACCAGGAGCTGGGAGAGGCAGGGAGGATCCTCCCCTAGAGCCTCCAGAAAGAACTGGGTACAATTATAATGGGTTGAATGGTGACCCCCTAAATATGTGTCTATGTCCTATCCCCCAGAAACCGTGAATGGAACCTTATTTGAAAATAGGATCTTCGCAGATGTCATTAGTTAAGAATCTGAAGATGAGATCATCTTGGATTAGGGTGGGCCCTAAATGCAGTGACAGGCATCCTTCTAAGAGACAGAAGAGGAGACACAGATACAGAGGAGAAGGCCACGTGGAGATGGAGGCAGAAACTGGAGTGATGTAGTCACAAGCCCAGGGATGCCTGGAGCCTCCAGGAGCTGGGAGAGGCAGGAATGATCCTCCCCTAGAGCTGTCCAAGCGAGCGTGACACCTTGATTTTCTGAGAGAGTGTGGCCCTGCCAACAGCTCCATCTTGGACTTCTGTTCTCTACAATGATAAGAGGATAAATTTATGTTGTTTAAGCCACCTGTCTTGTGACAACTAGTTAAGACTACCCCCAGGAAACTAATACAAATAACTATGCCTTTTGTCCAACATAAAGCTTTAAACATTATTCTGAATTTTAAATTAAAACAATTTTTTAAAACTGATTGAATTGGAATGTGACAAATATATTTTTTTAAAAGCCTTTTCCACAAATGATGCTGGAACAACTGAACATTTACATCTTAAAAAAAAGAACCTTGACATAGACTTTACATCCTTCACAAAAGTGAACTCAGAATGAGTTGCAGACCTTAATGCCAGATGCAAAACTATAAAACACCTCGAAAATAACACAGGGGAAAATCTAGATGCCTTTTTAATTTGGTAATGATTTTTAGTTGCATCACCAAAGCATTATCCAGCAAAGGAAGAATTGGCAAGCTGGACTTCATGAAAATTAAAAATTTTATACTCTGCAAAAGACACTGTCAAGAGAATGAGAAGACAAGCCACAGACAGGGAGAAAATATTTCCAAAAGGCATAGCAGATAAAAGACTGTTATTCGAAATATGCAAAAAACTCAGGACTCAACAGTAAGAAGATAAGCAATTTTAAGTGGGTCAAAAACTTTAAGATACAGCACCAAAGAAGATGTATAGATGGCAAACAAGCATATGAAGAGATATTCCACATTATATGTCATTAGGAAATTAGAAATCAAAACAGTGAGATACCGCTATACACCTATAGAAAAAAGGGCCAAAATTCAGAGCACTGACAACACCACATGCTGGTGAGAATGTGAAGCAACAGGAACTCTCACTCCTAGAAGATGGAAATGCAAAATGGTACAGCCACTTTGGAAGACAGTTGGTGGTTTCTTACAAAACTAAACACATTTTTACCATACAGTTAAACAATCACACTGCTTGGTAGTTAACCAAAGAAGTTGACAACTTATATCCCAACAAAAACCTACATGCAAATATGTATACTAGGTTTATTTACAATTGCCAAAATTTGAAAGTAATCAAAGTCTTCCATAGGTGAGCAGATAAGTAAACATTCCTATATCTAGGCAATGAAAAGAAATGAACCATCAAGCCATGAAAAGACATTGAAGAAACTTAAATGCACGTTTCTAAGTGAAAGAAACCAATCTGAAAAGGCTACATACTATGCGACTTCAACTATTGGACATTTTAGAAAAGGCAAAATGTGGAGATAGCAAATAGATCATGGTTACCAGGCTCTAGGGGCAGAAGTGGACTATTAAATAAATGTATCACAGAGGCTTTTTGGGGCAGTAAAACCACACTGTATGATGCTATAATGATGAGTCCATGACATTACACATTTGTCCAAACCCGTAAAATGTACAACACAAAGACTGAGCCCTAATGTGAGCTCTAGACTTCAGGCAATGATGTGTTAATGTAGGTTCATGGATTGTAAAAAATAGACCATTTTGGTGGATGATGTTGATAGTGGAGGAGGCTGCTCATGTGTTTGGTAAGGGGTCATATGTGGATTGGCACATTACATGGCATATTAGTTTCATTCACCTGCCATAACTATTACCAAAAAAAGAAATGTGTTCTTTTATAGTGCTAGAGACTGGAAGTCTAAAATCAAGGTATCCACAGAGCCATGCTTCCTCTGATATCTCTAGAGGAGGATCCTTCCTGGCTCTTCCAGCTCTTGGTGGCTCCAGGCATTCCTTGGCTTGTGGCTACATCACTGCAGTCTCTGCCTCTATCTCCATGTGGTTTTCTCCTCTTTTCTCTGCATGTCTCTGCACTGTGCATCTCTTACGAGAACACTTGCCATTGCATTTAGGGTCTACCCTAATGCAGGACAATCTCATCTCAACCCTTACATTAGACCCTCATTCTAAATTAGGTCCCTTTCACAAGTTCTAGGTGGATGTGAATTTTGGGGGGTTGACAGTGTTTAATCCATGACAAATAAAATTTATTCAATAATGTGATTTATACTTCATAGCAATGCAGTAGGCAAAAGAACATTAAAGAGTAGACTTAGCCACTTTGTGAGGTTATGCCTTCAGAGGCAATTGACTCCAAATAGGTTTGTTCATGAGAATCCCCTGGAAATTGTTTTAAAAATACAAATGCCGGCACTCTTCTGTAGGGAGAGTTAAGTGGAAATCCAGGAAATAGTAGAAATGGAGCCAAAGAAATTGGACTTTCAATTAGTAGACATCAAACATCACAGCAAAGCACAGAGCTACAAGGGGATGAGTAGTGGGTGCAGAAATGCTCCCCCCTACCCCCGAGAGCTGTTGTCATAAAAATGGGGCACCTCTGCTAGACCCTAACCTGTTCCCTGGATTCTTCCTCAAGAAAACCCTCAAGGAGCCTCTTTCAATGTTGACCTCTTCCTCTGTGCTATGTAAAATAGAAGAGCTCTGCCTATTTTATATCATGTTGGGTGACACTCACAGCCATTGGAATGCTTTAAAGTGAATAGAAAGTTAAGGGATGGAGGAACAAAATATAAGGGAACTAAACAGTTGTAATTTTTAAATGCCAGATTTTTCAAGAAATAGAGAAAAAAGTGACTTCCAAATCCTTCCAACTCAGTTTATGGGAATCCTTGTACACAAAATATAAAAAGGCATGTTGATATTTACTCTATTTCTTAACGACTTAAATACTGCCCAAGAGATCACAGAACAGCAAGTTGGAAAATGGAGGTTTCCATCCTTCCCAGCAAAATGCACCAAATAACATGTTGGGAAAATTTTGGAAGTTCACTAGTTCTCTGCAAAAGTAAGGAGGGTGGTTTATGGAACCAGAGTCAATCTTGTAGGGTTGTTTACCAGGGTGTCTTTGTGTCTATCTGTGTGTAGTGTCTGCATGGAATGGGAGATACTAAACATAAGGAAGGAAGGTGCCTACCCTGTGTTGATTTTATCATGCAAGCCTTGAATATCTCTCCTCTAATATAAGGGTGCCACATTGGGTTTCATTTTAAAAGAAACGGATTGGTCTACAGCCACATCAAGCAAATGACTGTGATGCATGTTTATAGCAGCATCTTTCACAATAGAAAAAAAATGAAAACCACCCAAATATCCATTAACTATCAATGGATGAATGGGTATACAATAAGTGGTCTATCCGTATAACAGAAAATTTGCACCAATAGGAAAGAATGAAATTCTTTTTTTTTTTTTCCTTTTTTTTTTCTGACAGGGTCTTACTCTGTCACCCAGGCTGGAGTGCACTGATGCCATCATAGCTCACTGCAGCTCCAGGGCTCAAGTGATCCTCCCACCTCAGTCTCCCAAGTAGCTGGGACCACAGATGTGCACCACCACACCTGGCTAATTATCTTTTTTAATTTTAGTAGAAATGAGATCTTGCCGTCTTGCCCAGGCCAGTCTCAAACTCCTGGGCTCAACTGATCTTTCCACCTCGGCCTTCCAAAATGCTGGGATTACAGGTGTGAGCCACCATGACTGACCAGGGAGAAACGAAATTCTGCTACAGAATACAACACGAATGGACCTTGAAATCATTATACTAAGTGAAACAAGCCAGTCATACAAGAGCACATATTGCATGATTCTACCTATGTGAAATGTCCAGAATAGGCAAATCCATAGAGACAATAAGCAACTCAGTGATTGCCAGGGTTTGGGAGGTGAGGGAGCGTTAGGAAGTGATTCCTTAACTGGTAAGGGTTTTCTTTTTGGGTTGATGGAGATGTTTTGGAACTAGGTGAAGGTGATGGTTACACAACATTGCAAATGTACTAAATGCCAACAAATGCATCTCTAAAATGGTTAGTTATATGTTACATAAGATTTACCTCAAAAGAAAACAAAGCCAACAAAAAAAAATTCTGCAAAAAAAAAGAAAGAAAAGAAAAGAAAAAAGAAACCTACGGCGAAATTTATTTCAACTCCAAATGCCTGCAAAGATGTAACTTGAAGATATACTGTGACCACAGCCAAGTCATTTAAATGTACTTTCTTCTCCCATCTCAAAAAAAGATTTTAATAAACATAATACTTTGAAAATTTTTATGTAAGAAACTGACAAAAATAAGACCCCCCCCACCCCCCACCAAGATGCTAGTTTAGTGCCTTGCTACACAAAGTGGAATCACCTGGGAGCAGGTGAGAATTGCAGAAAACTCAAGCTCCCCTCAAGATCTACTGAATCTGAGTCTATATTTCAACAAGATCCTCCAAGACAGTGGGCGCACTTTAAAGTTTGACAAGTGCTGGCCTAAGCATATTTAGTTTTCTAAGCTCTGATAAGGGTTCATAAGAAATCTACTCATGTATATAGTTAATTCACCATTTTAATTATTTTGTGTTCTAATTTAATTTCCTCAACACCTCCTTCTATCACTGTTTTATCATTTCTCTAGTTGTAAATGAGCTCTTTTTGAAGACTCATGGTTATTATTTAAATATGTAAAGCCCCTGACTACGACGGACGCACAGTCAACAAGAGTCACTAGCTTTCATGATAAATGCGTATTGCATTTAAAACAGTGATACTAAAAAACCATCTGATAAAGTGTGTATTTCCCTTAAGGTAGGTGGGTGCACAGATAAACAAACTATATTCTCATGTACAGAATAAGTCTGTTTTATCCCATGTTAATTCATCTTCACCTCATCTTCAGACAATTAAAAGCCGTATTTTCAACTGAAAAAATAATTGAGTTTAGATTGATATAGTTCCTGAAATAATTAATTTTGTGTTGTTTATCTTCTAAGTACTGAAAAAGTAGAGGGTTTTGTATTCACTTGAGAATAAAAGCAATGAATAAACTTTAAGTTTCCTTGCACCAAAATACCAAAAGACAAGAAAACTAGAAACTGATTCAATCTTTAATGCTTAAGAATATGTTTTATGGCTGATTGTGGTGCCTCACACCTGTAATCCCAGCACTTTGGGAGGCTGAGGCAGAAGGATTGCTTGAGCCTAGGAGTTCAAGACCAGCCTGGGCAACACAGCAAAAAGCCATCTCTCCAAAATAATACAAAAATTAGCTGGGCATGCTGGCATGGGCCTGTAGTACCAGCTACTTGGGAGACTGAGGCAGGAGGATCACTTGAGCCCAGGAGGTGGAGGCTGCAGAGAGCTATGATTGCACCACTACACTCCAGCCTGGGCAACAGAGAAAGGAAAGAAAGAAAGAAAGAAAGAAAGAAAGAAAGAAAGAAAGAAAGAAAGAAAGAAAGAAAGAAAGAAAGAAAGAAAGAAAGAAAGAAAGAAAGGAAGGAAGGAAGGAAGGAAGGAAGGAAGGAAGGAAGGAAGGAAGGGAGAGAGAGAGAGAGGAAGAAAGAAAGAAAGAAAGAAAGAAAGAAAGAAAGAAAGAAAGAAAGAAGAAAGAAAGAAAGAGAGAAAGAAAGAAATAGAGAAAGAAAGAAAAAGAAAGAAAGAAAAAGAAAGAAAGAAAGAAAAAAGAAAGAAAGAAAGAAAAAGAAAACAAAGAGAAAGAAAGAAAGGAAGGAAGATGTTTTACTAGAATACTCAGAAAGCATTAAGTAATGAACAATTGGGATAATATGCAGAGCACTTTCATATGTGCTTTTAGAACTAACCATGAAGAGAGTGCAAAATCCCTAACTGGGAAGTAGTTTTATTCAACATGTATAATTAATAAAGGATCAACACTCAGACCCCATGAACAACTTCCATGAACCAAAAAGCAATCCTGTAGAAAATGGACAAAATATTTGAGCAGGCTGTTCACAGAGAAGAAAACCAGAAAAGCTACATTGGGTTTGTAAATGTCTAACAAAGCCAAAAAAAAAAAAAAAAAATGAGTGAGTGTAGTTTTAGAACACCCAACAGAGACTAGTCTCCTTGAATGTATTGATAAAATTCAGCCATATTCCAGATCACAGAGGAAATTTCAATTTATTTCAAAGAATCAATAGCATATATAGTTTCTCTCTGATCACAGGGCAATTGAGACATCAGCGACAAAAATATAACTTTTTAAAAAGCAGATTAAAATATATATTTGGAATGATAAAATATGTAATTTTGATTAATTCATGGTTTACAAAGAAATCAGTCATATATTTTTGTTCAGTGTCCTAAAAATTAAGTTACTCAAAACAATGTTTAGGCTGGATGTGGCAGCTTACACCTATAAGTCCAGCACTTTGGGAGGGCAATGCAGAAGGATTGCTTGAACCAGGAGTTTGAGACCAGCCTGGGCAACATAGCAAGACTTCCTCTCTACAAAAAATACAAAAAATACCTGGGTGTGGTGGTGCACACCTGTAATTCTAGCTACTCGGGAGGCTGAGGTGGAAGGATTGCTTGAGCACAGAAGTTTGAGACTGCAGTGAGCTGTGATCACACAACTGTACTCTGGTCTGAGTGACAGAGCAGGACCCTGTCTCAAGAAAAAAAAAAAAAAAAAAATATATATATATATATATATATATATATATATTGTTCATCATTCTAGTGATAAGCAGCTTGAGTTGGGTTCAGGGGGATGGTTCACCCACCGGGGTTTCTCAAGAGCCTGCAATCATCTGGCAGCCCCACAGGAACAGGATAATTTTCACCCTCCAGGAGCTTGGACCAGGCTCTTTCCCAGTCAGTATCATGTACAAAGGAGGCAAGAGAGGGAGCTAAAAACCCCCTAAGGCGTCAGCCCAGGGATCTCACCTTCAGGGATCTCAACTTGCTGTGTGACTAATAATCCCTTGGTTAAAGAAAATGACAGGACAAGCCCAGATTCAAAGGAGATGAAAAAATAGAATACATCCGTTAATCCCACTGAGATGGAGTGTACCTACAGGGATGAGCAGCAAAATCCCACTGAGATGGGCTGCACCTACAGGGATGGGAAGACTTTGTGGCCAGTTTTTTTGTAATTTACTCCACCAAATAACAGTTCAATTATCACATATTTGTACATCAAAGACGCTCAGCTAACAATGGGCTTTTGGAGTAGACTTAGATATACATAAGTAGAGATAGATAGAGAGATAATAGGTGATAGATGATGATGATGATTGGTAGGTAGATACATAGATGATGGATAGATAGAGATGACAGGTGATTAGATAGATAGATAGATAGATAAATAGATAGATAGATAGATAGATAGATAGATAGATAGATAGATGAATAGATAGGCAGGTAGGCAGGCAGGTAGACAGATATATACATAGATAAATAGAGACAGATGGATAGATAGATTATATAGATAGATGATAGATAGATGAATAGATAGATGAGATAGGTGATAGAGACATACATACATACATGTATACATAGATACATAGATGACACAGGTAGATAGATGGTAGATAGATGAATAGATAGATATACGAGATGGATAATAGATAGATAGATAGATACATACATACATACATACACAGATGAGATAGATACATAGGTAGATAGATTATAGGTAGATAAATAGATAGACAGACAGATAGAAAAATAGATAGATATCCCAAAGGATATATAAATATGCAGTTATAAATGAATTTTTTAAAGTAATTAAAATACTCAAGTATAGAAATCAGTGAAAGTACAGTAGAGGAATCCTTTAATAAGTTTAAATAAAATAATAAATGTCAGAACAAAAATTACTGAAATAGAAAACAAGCATATCATATCATAGGGAAAAATCAATATATCCCATATATCTACTGGTATTATTCATCCTAATGAGGAAGGGATGATACATGAAAATCTTAAGCGTTATCCTGAACATGGCATATTAAGAATGTTGGTGGCATGGCCAGGCAGGGTGGTGAATTTGGCAGGATCTCAGAGAAGAGGTCTGAGCTGGCTGTGTAAATCTGAGAATCATCAACTGAACATGCTGTCGAAAGCCATGGCGGGACATGAGACCATAGAGACTGAACATAGAAAAAAAAAAACTTTATGTAAAAAATGGAGGGAAGGAAGGAAGGAAGGAAGGAAGGAAGGAAGGAAGGAAAGAAGGAAGGAAGGAAGGAAGGAAGGAAGGGGGAAGGAAGGAAGGGGGAAGGAAGGAAGGGGGAAGGAAGGAAGGAAGAGGGAAGGAAGGAACGAAGGAAGGAGAAAATAACTGGTTTTGCAAACAGAGCTTCATGGTAATGTCCTATAAAAACTACTGTGGTTGCAAACAGATCCTATTTGAGATAAAACCTTGACTAATCAGTATTTTATTCCAATATCAGAGTCGGCTACAAGGTAACCTGAAAGATTTCTTCGGGACAAGTGAAATGATATTTTTAAATGGCCATTAAAGTTGTAGCTGATTTAGCAAAATTATCTTCTTTAATTTTGCAAGTCAGCATTTCAGCTGACTAAAGACCTTTACCTTTGCAGCCGCAGTTAAAATGCCTTTTTTACAATGTGCAACTAAATTGAAGGCGTATCTCAAATAAAAGGTAGGAGTCCCTGGGGAAGAGGCAATATTTAAAGTCCTAAAGGGGAAAAAAATTAAAATTCTCAAATCTTATATTCTTAGAAAGAAACTGTCTCAGTATCATTTCTGAATGTCCATAGATAAACAGGATATCCAACAATCCTGATTTCCATTTGAAAATGTGTCTCCCCTAAAACAGATGCAGGACTATTTTGTAATAAATTATGGAAGCTCCAAGAATTTTCCATATTTATTCTCATGATGCAGATGCTTCTTGTGTTGTTTAAGCCTGCAATACTGGAAGTTCTGGATTCAACATATTTTATTTTGATTATTTTTCAAAGTTCATTGTATAAAAAGGAAAATCAAAGAACACCAAAAATGCATAATGCAGCCAGGCGCAGTGGCTCATGCCTGTAATCCCAGCACTTTGGGAGGCCAAGGTGGGCAGTTCACTTCAGGTCAGGAGTTCCAGACCAGTCTGGCCAACATGGTGAAACCCTATCTCTACTAAAAATACAAAACTTAGCCGGGTGTGGTGGCGGATGCCTGTAATCCCAGCTACCAGGAAGGCTGAGGCAGAAGAATCGCTTGAATCCGGGAGGCAGAGGTTGCAGTGAGCCGAGATCGCTCCGCTGCACTCCAGCCTGGGCAACACAGCTGAGACTGTGTTTTTTGAGACTCCATCTCAAAAATAATAATAATAATAATAATGCGTAATGCAAAAACTTAATTTTTTAAAGTAGTGAAGTAAAGATGAAATTCTTTCCAGCTAGTAAATATTTCCAAGTCAATGAGAGTGGTGTTTCTCTCTTAAATAAATAAATAAATAAATAAATAAATAAATAAATAAAAATAAAAGACATTCTGCATTTTAGTTGCATCGATTCCATAGTTTGTCTTAATTTTTTATTGTGGATTTTTTTTCCAACCATCCTCTTGAATGGGATAGAATATTTTAGGCATTTGTCAAGAAAAACAATAATAATGAAGTATACCAGAGAGAACAACCTTGACTCTTTTATCAACTAGTATGAAAAGTGTATCTCCAGTTGAAAAAGAGTCAAGGTTGAGCAAATTGTTTAGCATTTTGGACCCCAATATTTTCATATAGATAATAAATAAAGAGGTTCATATATCAAATCTCTGTGGCTATTTTCATGCTTAATATGTTACAATATTTATCATTTATTTTTGTTCTAGATATCTCACAATAGACATCTATATATCTAGATATCTATATCTATCTATCTATCTAGATATCTAGCTAGATAGATAGATATCTAGATATATAGATATTTACATATATACATTTCTATATTTTAGATATCTAGATATATAGATATTTACATATATAGATTTCTATATTTTAGATATCTAGATAGATACACATAATATATCTAGATATAATATATAGATAGATACCTATATTATGTATAGATATCTATGTTATGTATCAATTATATATATAAAATCTCTATGTAGATATAGATATGGATATATCTATATTTAGATATCTATATTTAGATATATATCTATATTTAGATATATATATATAATTGATACATAATAGATTTACATTTTTTCAGGGTACACGTCATAATTTAATATATTTATATAATTGTAAAGATCACATCAGTGACTTTAGATATCCATCCCCTTAAATATTTGTCTTTTCTTTATGCTATGAACATTTGAATCATTCTCTTCTAGATATTTTGAAATGTACAATGGATTATTCTAAACTATAGTCACCCTACTGGTCCACCAAACACCAGGACTCTTCTATCACACTGTGTGTTTGTACCCATTAATCAATATAACACGCAATGACTTTAATAAAAACTGAAATCTTGGGGGGAGAATCAGAGAAAGAAGAGCCTAAATATCTTTGTATTTAGTGCTTGCGGTGATGTTCCATATAATTCTTGAAAATTTGTTCTCGTTCTGCACTTTTTTTAAATAATGAGATTTAATCGTGTACATGTCCTACTTCTATGATTTAGGTCAATAATTAACAAGGAGTTCTTTCCCCTCCCCCACCTTCCCTCCAGAAGTCTTTAGGTAATGTCTGTAAATATTAGATGGTCATTAATATATTCATCTTAATTGATAAAAATTGTATATATTAATTATGTCGACATAAATAGGGCTAGTTAACATATGCCTTATCTCACATACTTATATTTTCTGTGGTGAGCAAAAAATAAACTCTCTTAGCAATTTTTAAGAATACAGTACATTGTCATTAACTCTAGTCACCATGTTGGACAATGGATTTATTGAGTTTATTCCTCCTAAGTGAAATTTTGTATCCTTTGACCAACATCTCCCTAATTCTACCCTCTGTTCTCAGCCCCTTGGAAACATTTTTGATTACCTGAGATTGTAAGTCTATGATGTGCTACTGAAATCTAGTAGACGGAGGTCAGGGATGATATTAAAGTTTTCAATGCACAGGACAGCCCCATGACAAAGAATTACCCAGCTCTAAATCTCAATAGTGCCACAGTTGAGAAACTCTGGCTTAGTAGAAGATAAAATCATAATAAACTGAAAAGTGTAAAAAATTTCACTCCCAATAGTAGTAAAATAGAGTACTCACTTTGCTTAACATCTTATTTTGCAGATTTTCACAATAATTTCTTAAAGGCTTACAATATTGTCACACATACATGATCACATAATAAAAATGTAAGTTCAAATTAAGCTTAAGAAAATGATCAAACAGCTGGGAGCAGTGGCTCACGCCTGTAATCCCAGCACTTTGAGAGGCCGAGGCGGGCAGATCACTTGAGGTCAGGAGTTGGAGAAACAGCCTGGGCAACAAGGTGAAACCCCATCTAAACTAAAAATACAAAAATCAGCCGGTCGTGGTGATGCGCACCTGTAATCCCCAATACTTGGGAGACTGAGGCAGGAGAATCTTTTGAACCTGGCTGGTGGAGGTTGCAGTGAGCCGAGATTGTGCCACTGCACTCCAGCCTGGGAGACAGTGCAAGACCATCTCAAAAAAAAAAAAAAAAATCAAGGAAAAAAATAGGTAAAAACTGTAATATCAAGACATGACTCAGCATGAAAGTACATTCTAAATATCATGCAGGATTCTAAAAATGGAAGCAGATGTTGATTTGGCCTTATATTCACCTATAAAACAGGGTGTATCTTGAAAATATGATGCTAAGTGAAACAAGCCAGACACAAAACACCACATATTGTTGTCAGAAAAGGCAAATCCACAGAGACAGAAAGCAGACTGGTGGTGGTCAGGGGCTGGAGAGGGGAATGGGGAGTGACTGCTTAATAAATATGAAGCTTACTGTAACTGGAGTGAAGTATACATTTGACACAGAGGCCAGAGATAACTGTCAAGCAATACTGCCAAATAGAAATGTAACACAAGACACACAGTATATAATGTCTTCTAGAAGCCACATTTAAAAAGTAAAAATTACCAGTAAAAATAATTTTAAGAATATATTTTATTCACCCAATATTCCCCAAATATTATCATTTGAAAATAGAATCAGGCCGGCGCGGTGGCTCACGCCTGTAATCCCAACAGTCTGGGAGGCCGAGGCAGGTGGATCACCTGAGGTCAGGAGTTCAAGAGTAGCCTGGCCAACATGGTGAAACCTCTACTAAAAATACAAAAAAGCAGCTGGGCATGGTGGTGCATGACTGTAATCCCAGCTATTCGGGAGGCTGAGGCAGGAGAATCACTTGAACCTGAGAGGCAGAGGTTGCAGTGAGCCTGGGTGTATGTGTTGAAACTCAATCCCCATAGTGGTGGTATGAAGAGGTACAGTCTTTGGAGAAGCAATTAAGTCATGATGACTCTGCTCTCATAAATGGGTTCATTCCCTTCTAAGAGAGGCTTCAGAGAGAGTTCACCCCTTTTAAACTTCTACTTCCCACCTGATGAAGACACAGCACTCACCACCCCAGAAGATGTGTCAACAAGGCTCCATCTCAGAAACTAGAACAGCTTTTGCCTGACACCAAACCTGCTGACACCTTGATCTTGGAGTTTCAGCCTCCAGAACTGGGAGAAATAAATGTCTATTCTTCCTAAGTTACCCAGTCTCTGGTATTTCATTATAACAGCACAAATGGAATAAGACAGCTTTTCTTCTGTCATTCTCTGAAGGCAAGAGTTCCTCAGGTGATGAAGAGCCAGTCTCATGAACAGGAGTGAGCAGTGAGGAGAAGGAACTAATAAGAAGAGGCTGTTGAGAGTGCTTCCCTCCCCAAGTCACCCAAAAGCACAGGCTCACTGTGCACTGGTTACTAACTTATCTAAGTCTGGGAAGACAGAACTCCCACACACCTAAGTCACATGGATCAGGTTTGCTACTTGCAGATAGCAAAGGACAACAGAAGCCTAGGTCTTAGGGGCAGTTGGTCCCCTATGGCTCAGGAAAGCTGCTCAGGGTGGATGCAGTCTCTTCTGCATGTGCCCTAATTTGCACTACATGTGAGGGACCCAAGAATGCAGCCCACCCTGGGTTTTATACCCTGGGGTACAGGAGCCACTGGGTTAAAGTGGTCAAGGAGGTCCTGTTTCTACAGGGAACTGGAACAGAGTCCAGGCTGTTCTAGTCAGTTCCTGTTGCATTCCTAACACATCTTACAGTTATTCTTGTTGAAAAGTACAAGTGAGAAAGTGGGGAGAACCAGGTTGGCCCAAGGCCACTGAGAGAACTTTCCTGCACTCTTCTCCTCCTGGGCCATCCTCAGGAATAATATCCAACCTGGAAGACAGCCTGCTGTTGGAAATTAAAAGCAAGGCAATGAATGGTAGGGCCAAGTCAGCAGGCATACGAGAGGGAAGATGTGGATAGGCCTTGGAGAGCAGTTCAAATAACAAGGTAGGATTAACTCACACCAATGGCAGGTTTTTCTCTTCCCTCTTTATTCAACAGAATAGGAAGCATTTCATCAAAGTCAATGTATTCCTTTATATATTCCATGAGCTCCAGGAAGCTTTGCTTAACAGTTACAACCTACATACTGAAGCATGAAGATGAATTGTTCTTAATAAACCTGCATCTGAGATAATTTAACAATCTGGCTTTCAGCCACTCTACAATTATTTTTAGGACTTAATGGGACTTAATTCTGAATAAACATGTTCTAGAATATATATACATGTATCACAGAGCAACCCTTTTTACAATAATACTTCAGCTAAAATTAATACCTGATTTATTTTTAGAGAATCTATTTATCTTCTGTACTCCATCTATTTCCAAAAGGATTTAAGATGATTCTTTAGCTGGTGAATATCCAAATCTGTTCATGAAGATGTTTTAAATATGTTAACTTCTTGTAAGTTTTTATTTCCTTGAGGTAACATTATTAATGCTCTTCCTTGAGCCAAACTGAATGTCACCTAACAGCACATTGTATGAGAAGTGGGTGAGAAAAAAGGCAAAAAAAATCAGTGAGTATGTTTTCACATTGCAGAACTTAAATTTACATTTGATGTTCCCTTAGAAAGTCAAAATCCTTTGGGGAAATTTCGGCTGTTTCCAACTGAACTAAGAAGAATCAAGGGAAATAGATTTGTCCTGCACTTGGAGTAGTGTTTTCTTTTTTTATTTCTTTTTAAGTTTTTTTGAGATGAGGTCTCACTATGTTGCCCAGGCTAGAATGCAATGGTGCAATCATAGCTCACTGGAGCCTTGAACTCCTGGGCTCAAGCAATCCTCCCACCTCAGGCTCCTGAGTAGCTGGGACTACAGGCATATGCTACTGCACCTGATAGTTTTTTAATTTTTTGTAGAGATTGTATCTTGCTATGTTGCCCAGGCTGGTCTTGAACTCCTGGCCTCCAGTGAACCTCCTGCCTTGGCCTCTCAGAGTACTGATGGAGTAGTATTTTCAAGAAGATGCTACCATTAGCCTTGAGGGACACGCAGTTTGCATAAAGAAAATGAAACCCAAAGGTTAAGGTGAAACTCAGGACATGGCCAGTAACCAGTCAAATTTCCCCATATCTCCATCTTCCTCCTATGCTGCTATATTGCTCAGAATAAGGGAGATGATTCTTTATATTAGGGAAACAAACGTGGGATCCATGAAGTTCTCTGGGAGAGACCTGGGTGAGACAATCTAAGCTCAGTGATTAGAGAAGACATATTGAGTACCCTGAGGAGGCACTGAATGCTATCTCTTTCTACAGCTAATTTTAAACATGGAGAACCTTAAAGCCACATTAAGACAACTCCATCCCCCTTTGCTTCTGTCCTCAGTCACGTTAAAAACCCCAGTTGAAGTACATTGCCCAAGGTCACATAGTCAAGGACTATTAGACTCAGAGGTTGGACTCTGTATGTATATAACTTCAAAGTCTGCTCCTTTTTATTGTTCCATATTCTTTCCCCAGCTGCCAATGACCAGACATTGTCGAGAATCTAATAACAGTAAGGGAAGAATGAGGAAGAGGCTGCACCTGTGGAATCTGAAGAGGTGTGAAAGAGATGGAAAGATACCAAAACAAACTCACTTGACAAGGTTGCTGCTGGGGTTTGCATGTTTGTCCTCTCCAAACATGTTGAAATGTAATCCCTAATGTCAGAAGTAGGGTGGAATGGGAGGTGTGGAGTCATGGAGGTGGATCCCTGGTGAATAGATTAATACCTCAGAGGGTGTGAGTAAATTCTTTATTAGTTCCTGCAAGTGCTGGTTGTTAAAAAGGACCTGGTACCGCCCCATCTCTTTCTCTCTCTCTCTCTCTCTCTCTCTCTCTCTCTCTCTCTCTCTTGCTTTCTCTCTCCTATGTGATCTCTAAGCAGATGCTCAGCCTTGAACTTTCCAGCCATCAGAATCATGAGCCAAATACAACCTTGTTTTTTAATAAAATTACCCAGCCTCAAGTATTCCTTTATAGCAACACAAAACGGACTAAGGCAGTTACTCAGGGCAGATTTGGCCTGAAAAGTCTGCCTTTTCCTTTTCCCCATGTAGGCAAGAAAAATTGGCAGCAGACTGTCTGTCTGACATACATCAAGTCCACTCCTACCAAGATAACAACTTTTATGCAAAATTGCCCATTTGTCTTCATTTCCACATTTAAAAGTATATTAACAGAGCAGATGTGTTCATAGCTTTAAAAATTGATGCACAGTGACATGGATAGAAAACCATAATCTCTCATTTAATTAGCAAAGAAATTAATTCAGGAATGTGCAAGAACAAAGCTAAACCATTTCTGAAGTGAAGTGTCCAAATTTTCTTTTTTTAACACCATACATAAATCCATCTTTTATCAAACATTTTAATTAGGATGCATTCTCCCCACTGGAGCCAGACTTCTGCACAACTGTCAAATGAATCATTGTCCACACAAAGTCTTATACAGAAAATGGCCACTAAATCTTAAACATGGTGTCAAATACTTTGGAAAGTATAGAGAATTATTGGGTACATTATAAATCACAATATTGCAAACACACTCCCAGGTGATCTTGATGCTGCTAGTTGAGGGACCACACTTTGAAAACCACTGTGCTAAATCAAATTAGGGCTGGAATTCTTCTGTGGATGTTATAGAGAGGAAAAAATGGAAGATGCTTTATTTTTTCTTCCCATCAGCGATGTGAACAACGCCTCCATGTGGCCATTACAATGAGAAACTCCTTGTGCATAATGAAACAAACTAGGAAAGTACACAGAGCTGAGGGATGAAGAGAGTCAGCATTGGCCATACTGTTTGAAGTCTTCTATCTAGATATGTCTGAGACAAACCTAAAGAAGCTGAAGTCAATTTGCTTCCATTTTTGCTCAAGCTGGTTTAAGTTTGCTTTTTGTCACTTTTAACAAAAAGACAACTGACAAACACAGACCAAAAAAAAGAAAGAGAGACAGACAGAAAAGTTATTTAGACAGTGTAGTGTAAAATAAGATATTCTAAGCATGCAACTTCTTTAAGATAATTGGCTCAAAAATCACTCCAGTGGAACAATACTGAAACATTGAGTTGATATAGGCATAGGGTTTGTACGAGATGAATATACCACCTCATAATCTAATTGTGTCATGTGGTTGACTGCTGTCTGTTGGAAGTGGATAAAATGAAAAAATTATATAAGAGAGGTAAGACCAAAACACAAGTAATTTCTTTTTACAGAGCCTGAAATTTCCCCACTACATTTTACTAGATGTAAATAAAAGAACATTAATGGTCAGCAGATATTTACTACCTTCTTTCTCTTAATTCAATCGTGCATCAAAATAACAAGACAAGAAAAATGAAGTATGCCCCAAAAATGCTGTAAATAAAAGCAAAAACACTACATGACACATTGAGTTTGATAGACTGGATTAAGAAAATGTGGCACATATACACCATGGAATACTATGCAGCCATAAAAAATGATGAGTTCATGTCCTTTGTAGGGACATGGATGAAATTGGAAATCATCATTCTCAGTAAACTATCACAAGAACAAAAAACCAAACACCGCGTATTCTCACTCATAGGTGGGAATTGAACAATGAGATCACATGGACACAGGAAGGGGAATATCACACTCTGGGGACTGTTGTGGGGTGGGGGGAGGGGGGAGGGATAGCATCGGGAGATATACCTAATGCTAGATGACGAGTTAGTGGGTGCAGCGCACCAGCATGGCACATGTATACATATGTAACTCACCTGCACAATGTGCACATGTACCCTAAAACTTAAAGTATAATTAAAAAAAAAAACTCTATTAAAAAAAATCAATTCTATTTGAAGTGATTACACACACATTCATTTGCTGTGTAAATTTTAAAATGAAACATTACCTTTTTACTTTATTAGCAAAAGAAATGCTAAATACTGAATTTTGATACAAAACAAAGTTCAACACGCATTCTGTACTTTTTTTCATATAGTAATTGAGATATAGGGTTTGGAGTTATTAAATTTTGAGCTTCCTTTCCTATTCAGGCACTTAATAGATAGGTGACTTTATTTTACTTGCTTAAGTTCCCTGGGCTTTGATTTTCTTAGCTATAAAGTGGAAAAAAATAATACCAACCCGACAGAGTTGTGCTAACGAGTTAGATAATGTGTACAAAGCTCTTAAAACAAGGAACTTCCAGATAATGTAACGTTCACACACACACACACACACACACACACACACAGAGTAATACTTCGGTCTGGCAAAACAACCAAATTTTATTGCAAATTGTATAAGACAATTTGAATTGTTTATAATTCTCAGGGAGAATTCTCACACTGGGCTTTGGAAAATGTACCCAGCCCTGAGAATTGCAAGAAGTTTCCCTTAACTAGGAGGTAGTCTAAACATCTATTTGTGTAAGAATCTCTTGTCACCTGCTGATTCAAACAATCGAAGCATTTATCCAAATAATATAGTTTTTTGCAATGGTGTGAACAGTCTATACAGTTGTCATGGAATTCCAATCAGCTGCTCTACACCAAGCAGTCAGCATCCAGGAATCCTTGTTGCATGAATGAATTGACAGGCATAGAAAAATGTTCCACTGAATCTTCTTACAGATTCAGCAGCATTGGAGTGGGAAGAAAACTGAACATAAAAACCGAAGACTGGTTTGTATCTAAGTCCACCCTTTTCTCACTAAGTCATCTTAGGTGCTCCATTTAACTCTGCATCCACATCCTCTCATGCTGGTTTTAACTATTAGCCCAGGAAGACACTTCCACTGCTTTGGGGCACGAATAAAGGTTGTCACAACTTTTAGGAAGGGGATAGTAGATATCGATTAAATTATACTTATGACCAAAGTCAACATCATAGTCACATGCCACCTTCAGATTTTGAGAGTGGGTAGTATAATAAGGTGTTTATTGTTCCTATTCTGGAATGAGGCTTTATACGGTCACATTCTGGCTTTGCCCATTGCTGGCTCTGGAGCCTCATTATTTAACTTCCCTGTATGTCAGTTTTCCAATCTGTAAAATTGAAGTGATAATATCATTGACCTAAAAAGTTCTTATGAAGATAAAATTAACTGTTGTATGAGAAGTGCTTGGAGTAAGGATTGGCACATATTAAACACTCAAGATCATTGAAGTAAGCAATGTTCTGAAGGGTTAATATGTGCCAGTCATTGTTGAATATAATTATTTTGCCACACTTTGCTGAATTGCTCACTACAATTACTTAGAATGGAGGTGTGTGGCAGAGAAAAACAGGTGAGTCACTACAGCTGTGAATAGACACGGGGGGCCATGCAGGTTACTATTTTGAATAGTACAACTCTTTATTCTTTCCTGGTATGAGTATTAGTTTTCTATAGCTGCTATTAGGTTGGTGCAAAAGCAATTGCGTTTTTTGCCATTAAAAGTAACAAAAATAAAAATTGCACCAACCTGATATAACAAATTACCATAAACTTGGTGTCTTCAAAGAACACTCATTTATTGCCTTTTCATTCTGGAGGTCAGAAGTCATAAATGTATCTTGTCGGACTGAAATGAAGGTGTCAGCAGGGCTGCTTCCTTCTGGAGGCTCCAGCAGAAAGTCTATTCTCTTGCCTTTTCCAGCTTCTACAAGCAGTCATGTTCCTGGCTCTAAGCCCATTCCCCCACCTTCAAAGTCAGGAATGTCTGGTTGAGTCCTTCTCACACGGCATCACCCTGATTTTTTCTACCTCCATTTGTAAGGACCCTTGCAATTATGGTTAGGAATCAACCAGAAAATTCATGATCATCTTGTCATCTCAGAGTTTTAATCATATCTGCAAAGTCCCCTTTGTTACATAAGGTCACATATTCACAGGTTCTGGGGATTATGATGTAGACATCTAAGGAGGCCTTTATTCTGCCTAAGACATAAGGATTAAGATGTGGACATCTTTGGGGGCCAATTATTTCGTCTACCATGTGGGGATTAAGATGTGGGCATCTTTGGGGGCCATTATTTCGTCTACCATGTGGGGATTAAGATGTGGGCATCTTTGGGGTCATTATTCTGTCTACCACATGGGGATTAGGACATGGCCATCTTTGAAGGGCATTATTCTATATACCACGTAATTAGAATATAGACATCTTTACACCATTCTGTCTACTACATGGTAATTAGGATGTGGACATCTTTGGGGCCATTATTTGGTCTGCCACATAGGGATTAGGACGTGGGCATCTCTGGGGGGCATTATTTTCTGCACTACAACACCAAATCAAATGGTCATCACATCAAATAGTCAACCCCAAGATCAAATAGTCATCACAGGCACAATTGCCATTTATTCAGTGTTTACCATATATTACATGCTGTGCTGGGACATATATCATTTCATTTAATCTTCTGATAGTCATAGGAGGAGTTCGAGGCTAGATCAAATTCCCCAAGTTCAAAAGGAAGTGCAAGACAGTCCCAAACTTCACTCTGGTCTGTTTATTCAAAAAGAAGGTGGTCTGAGCTACTCAGCTGCCATCCCTCTAATTTACAGATGTCGAGTTTCAAGAGGTTTTTTCACTGCTACAAAGTCTTCCTAGGGAGTTTTTGTTCCATCTCGCCTCCCACAAAATTATATGCTGAGAGTTTATCAGGTCTGGGTGATCAGTCAGAGCCTGGAAGGAGCTCACGATCAAGGTTTTCTAAAAAATCTGAATAGACAATTTTCAAAACAAGACATGTAAATGGCCAAGAGATATAAAAAATGGTGCTTAACATCACTAATCATCAAGGAAATGCAAATCACAACCACAACGTGATATCACCTCACATCTGTTAGGATGGCGATTATCAAAAGTTAAAGCATAACAAGTGTTTGTGAGGGTGTAGAGAAAGGTGAACCCTTGGTGGAAATGTAAATTGGTACAGTCCTTACGAAAAATAGCATGGAAGTTTCTCAAAAAAATAAAAATGGAACTACCATACAGCGTAGCAATTCCACTGTGGGTATATACCCAAAATCTTTGAAAGCAGCTACCTGAAAAGATATTTGTGCACCCATGTGTGTAGCAGCATTATACACAATAGCCAAATGGTAGAAGCAACCCAAGTACTCGCTGACGGATGAATACTTAAGCAAAATGTGGTCTATACCAATGACAGAACATTAATCCGCCTTAAAACAGGAGGTTCTTCCATTTGCAATAACATGGATGAAACTGGAGGACATTGCCAGGCACACAAAGAAAAAATACTGCATGATCTCAGTCACATGTAGAATCTTAAAAAGCTGAATCCATAGAAACAGAGTAGAATGGTGGTAATCAGGGATGGGGAGGTGGGGGAAATGGAGAGATGTTGGTTAAAGTACAAAGTTGCAATTATGTAGAATGAATAAACCTAGAGATCTAAGGCACAGCATGGTGACTATAGCTAATTATACTGTATAGTAAACTAGAAATTTGCTAACAGAGTAGATTTGTGTGCTCTTATGACACACAGAGGTAATTATGTAAGGTGATGGATATGTTAATTTGCTAGATTATAGTAATCATTTTACTGTGGAAATAGGTTTCAAAACATCACACTGTACAACTCAAATACATAAAATTTTTGTTAGTTTTTTAAAAATAGGTACCAAATACATTTTAGCAGCATTGCTTTTACACTTGTTTTTTGAAAAGCAGGTTTGCCCATACCAGAGGTTTCCAGCTAAAGACCTTCCAAAGAAAGTAAAACATTTCACTTTATTTAATTAAGATGCACCACTTGATTACTGTCTAGTCATTTAATAATTTTGTTTTTACCATTAAAAGGGTTTTTACTTCCATTTAATTACTTTACTTTGTTTTACAATACACTTTCAGAGACATCAATAACGCCTGCAGCCAGATCAAACACTTGGACTCCTAAATCAAGTCAACTCAAACCTAATGGGATAACGCTTTTCCCTCACTACCAAAAGATGAAAGGAACTTTGGGGAAAATTTGTCAAGGCCATAAATAAGTATTTATAAAGAAAAAAAAAGCAGCAAGAGGAGTAATAAATTTCCAACATGCTTTCATAGTTTCAGTCTACACATTCTAATATACCCTTAGGTAATAGAAACATTGTTTCTTGTTTGATGGCTGTGGTTAAGAAAAAAAAAAAATGGCTGAGTGAAAATGATTCTATCCCATCCTGAATTACAGCGATTGTTCAGATAATAACTACAGAAAGACACCAGTTTTTTATTCCTTCTTTGTGCTGAAAAGCTACTCATTGAGAACAATTTATTCTCACTCTTCTGGCAAAAACCATAGCGGATAATAAGTACTTTGAGTCTGAAAACCTTTAAAATGCCAATAAAGGATATGCACATTTATTTGTTGATTGAAATACAAACTAATGATAATGGAGAATTTACTTTGTTCCAAGCCCTTTTTGGGGGAAGAAATCTGGAATTAATCAAGCTCATGGCTTCAAGGAACTTAGTTTGTACTTTGAGGGTCAGTGTGTGAGTGTTGGGAAAGTGATTTATAAACAAATGTGTAAAAAAAAGAACATGTTACATAGACAAGCCAGTAACAAAACAGGGAAACAAGATTACTCAGGATAGGGATCGTTCGCTAGGTCGGGTGCTGAGAGAGGCTGAAACCGAGCTATACATCTCTGCCTTTAGTCTTTCCTCCTATAGTTACTCTTTCAATTCCGTTTGACTTATTCCCCAGGTTTCTTACACAAGATTTTACATTCAGAAGTGAAAATCCAAACAACAGAAACCAAAGTCCTTTAAATATCTTTTTGCTCTCTTCAAATTCTAAACACTCCCCCGTTCCTTTAATAAAACAAAATATTCACATCCTTCCTGTTCTTTCTCTCATGTTTTTCCCTGCATTCATTTCCCCCTCTCCTCTCTTCTTCCATTTTCCTCTCCTTCCCATCTCCTCTTCTCTCTCCTATTTTCCTCCTCCTCACACATATGCATTGGTATTAGACAATCATCTATATGTATCTATTTTTTAATAACCATTGTGGAGGTGGCCTTCTAAATGTATCTCTTTCAACTTTCCACTGGAGACAGGTAAATGATGCTTTCTCCCCTGCTACCTCGTGCAGAATTGGGCTCTAGAGAAATGAACAGACTTCATTGACACCACAGAACTAAAAAGTATACAGTGAGGACTGACACCTATTCTTCCCATCAAGTGGTGTCTTACAGAGAGTTTTACCAAGTATCTATTAGCAAGACAGTGTGAAAGCCACTAACCAACTCACTTATTCATGCATGCATCCAAAGGTGAATGCTTCCAGATTTTAAGCACTTGCATTAGGCAGTAACTCAACTTATATTCATGATGTGTATTTTAAATGCTTAATTTGCTGCCCATGAGCTAAATACCATCTGAAAGGAAAGTAAACTATCTATGGGATCCCAATGACGAGTGATATAAGATAATCCTCTTATTTATAAAATAACCCTGCTCTGGGGAAGTAACAAAAAAGAAAAATAAAGAAAGAAAATGAAGCCACAGTAGATAGAGAAAAATCATTCATCCTGAATCCTTCTATAAATAGTGTGGGACCATCCTGGTCTTCTTCCTTCATTCTTTTTCATTTTTATACAGAAGAGGATTCGTTTTCTGGGGCTCACATGGCAAAGTGCCACAAACTGGGTGGCTTATAACAGCAAAAAATATATTCTCTCAATGTTTCTTAGTCTAAAAGTTCACAATTAAGGTGTTTGCAGGGCAGTCCTCCCCCTGAAGGCAGTAGGGAAGAATCTTTCCTTGCTCCTGCAGCTTCTGGTGTATATTGTCAAGTTCTCCAGAATAACAGAACCAATAGGCGATATAGAAATAGAAGAGGGGATTTGTTAGAAGAATTGGCTCCCATGATTATGGAAGCCAAGAAGTCCCCCATAGGCTCTCTGCAAGGTAGAGAACCAGGGAAGCCAATAATGTCAATCTTCACCCCGAGGCCAAACGCCTAAGAACTGGAGGAAGCCACTGACGTAGTCTTAGACTCTGAAGGACCAAGAATCTAGAGTTCTGATGTCCAAGGGCAGGAGAAGATGGATGTCTCAGCTTTCCTCTGCAGCAGAGAGAATAAAGTCACCTTTCCTCTGCAATTTTGTTCTCTCTGGGCCTTCAACTGATTGTATGATGCCTACTCCCATTAGAGATGGCAATCTGCTTTCTTCAATCTACTGATTTAAATGCTAATCTCTTCCAGAAACAGCACATCCCCAGATATAATGCTTGGCCAGCTATCTAGGCATCTCTTTACCTCATCAAGTTGACACCTAAAAGTAACCATCTTGTAGTGGCTCCATGCTTTTCTTAGCTTATGGCCCCATCACTTCAACTTCTGCCTCTGTCTTCACATAGCCCTCTCCTCTGTGTGTGTCTGTGTCCTAATCTCCTCTTCTTATAAGGAAATCAGTCTTCTTGGATTAGGGTCCACCCTACCGACCTCATCTTTACTTGATTGCATCCGCAAAGACCTTATTTCAAATATGTCACATTCAGAAGTAGCACATACTAGAAGTTCAACATAGCTTTTGCAGAAATACCATTCGACCCATAAGAAAAGATAAAAAAAGAAATTGAAAAACCCACATATTTTTAGTATGGATGATTCATTGTAAAGGGCCTAGACTTAAAAAAGAAAAATAGAAAATAAACAAGTGCACAGTTTAAATCTTTAGCTCTGTAGATGGGGGTTGCATGGCAAACTCAATGCACTCAGTGTGAGAAGGTGGTCCCAGCCAGATCTTACGGATTGTGTAGACCCAGAAAGAGCAAAGAAGGAACCCAAACAGCAGGGGGAGATGGCCATGGCTTTTTGGAGCACCTACTAGAATGAGAAAATAGTCTTCAGAAGCAAATGTGGACCACATGGGTGGAACCAGCAGGTCCTCAGAGGTCTCCAGATTAATGAAAGCTCAGAAAAGCTCCCTATAGAGCAGAAACCAGGGAGCAACCTGACAACTTTGTGTCCTCCCCCTACTTAAGCCCCAGCCCTCTAACATTCACAGAAAAGCAACCGTGAAAAAGAACACAAAGAGTTTTAAACACAAAACTTGGAACAAAGGTTGTCTTTACCTACAGAACAGGTGTTTTTTTTTTTTTTTTTAATGAGACCAAGATGACAGCATTGCACTAAAATGTTGTTTTATTAATTGGAACTAAATAAGCTAAAGTCATACAGAAGAAGACAAAATAGTTCTGGAATCATAAGGAAGTTACATTCCCTTTCTACCTGCATGCAGTCTCCATGAATATCCTATTCTGCTATAAACGTATAATTAATAGATGTCAGAATACACTCTTCTTGCTGTCTCTCAAATGATTCAGTAGCTCTTATTCCTTGAATTTTATCTTGCTTCTATTTTTAACCATGTTGTACAGATTTTCTACAAACTATGATCTGTTTAAAGACCTATTGATAATGTATATTTTGACATGGATACTCTGACACGAATAAAATTCAATCATTTACACTCTTGAACCTCAAAGAGAAATTATGATGATAGTAATTTGGGTTTTACATAAGTGTGGTGCAGCACAAGTCCCCAGATGGCTTCAGCTACCCAACTGTTCACCCCTCCTCCTCTTTCTCACTTGTAGTTCTCAAAATAATTGTAGAATGTGCTGAGAATTCAATATCCTGAGATAGGAAGAAACTGGCCAAGACAACCAGGCTCTGTTCCACTTCCTCCTAGAACGGGATGTCTTACAAGACTTTATCCCAGCAAATCATGTTCCCCTGGGGTATAAAACACAGAGTAAGCTATTTTCAGGGATCTCTCAGCCATTGTGCAAATGGGGTACATGCCACTGAGATTCCGTTCACCCCAGGCAGCTTTCCCAAGCTTTGGGGATCTGGCTTATTATAAATCCTAGGTTTCTGTTGTCTCATTCTACCTATCTGTAAGTAACAAATCCACTTTATGTAATTTTGTGTGTGCTGGGCAAGGAGGGGGTGCATTCTTTCTTACCAAACCCAAGCAAGTAACCAGTACGCTGTCAACCTGCTTCACAGGTAGGGATTATGAACCAACTAGGATCCATATCATCGATTTATCAATTCCTCAGTATTGCTTCCTTTGAAAGATGGCCAAACTAACAAGTACTCCAAGAAGGTTTTATATCTGCAATCTTACAATTTTGAAACATTGTATCACATACTAAACTTCCAAAACATTTTACAATTTCATCTCCTCATATAAGCATACAAAAGAGTAAGCTTATTTTAATTTTTGAACTTTTAATGTGCCTATCATCATACTAAAATATCTTTTAAGTAATATACTTCATTCTTAGATACCATAGACACCATGCATAGAAACATTTTAATGTATCTAAAATCATTGTGTATTTTATTTTTGTATTCAATAATATTATCAAACAATATGCGTTTTAGTACTGTAGAAAAGAAGGCCTTGATGCATTTATTAACAAACATAAGTTCATTAAAATGATCTTGTGACTACATAATTTATGAACTAATTAATTCTGACTTAAACAATTATTTACCTGAAACTCAAATTTGCTCTGAAACTCAAAGTAATGTTTCCTCAGCACTACATAATAAAGAGCTTAAGTAATTACTAATTAGTTTCAGGCATGACAAATGTTTTAATTAAAATCACTGAAACAGTTAAGCATTTATAACTCTTTTTCATCTTTTCTCATTACTCACTTTAGATTGACTGTTTGCCAGTCACTGAATGCCCATACATAACAAAGAAACCCATTCGCCAGTTGCAAGATTTTTCTGCTAATTATGCCAATGGGAATGAGGCATAACCCCCTTATTTCAAATATTCTACAACATGTTTTTGAAGTTCATAAAAAGTTCTGAGTTTCTCACCCCATTTAAGAAAGACATCACATATCTAAACTACTATAATTGGTTGGTACCCAACACAAACTCTCTATCTAGCACAGTTGACCTTTGAACAACGTGGGTCTGAACGATGCAGATCTAGTCACACTCAGATATTCTTCCACCTCTGCAACCCCTGAGCCAGAAAAACCAACCCCTCTTGTTTCTCCTCCTCCTTAACCTACTCATCCTGAAGACAATGAGGTGAAGATCTTTATGATGGTCCATTTCCACTTAACCAACTGTGAATACATTTTCTCTTCCTTATAATTCTCTTAATAGCATTTTTTCCCCACAGCTTGCTTTATTGTAACAATACAGTATATAATACACATAATATATAAAATACATGTTGATCAAGTGTTTAGTGATAAGGCTTCCAGACAACAATAGGCTATTAGTAGTTGAGTTATGGAGGACACGAAAGGCTTGTACATATTTTTGACTGTGCAGGGAGTCAGTTCCCCTAACCCCTGCATTGTCCAAAGGTTAACTGTATAGTAAAACAGAAAAGGGCCCTGAGAAGTTGTCTTGGGTGATATCCCTGTATTAAAGGTCTCCTTTCATGCAATCAGGAGTTGAACTGTTTATTTGGTAATTTCGCAAAGAACTCAAAACGAAACTACCACTTGACCAGCAATGCCATTACTGGGTATATACCCAAAGGAATATAAATTGTTCTACCATAAAGATACACGCACATATATGTTTATTGCCACACTATTCAGAATAGCAAAGACATGGAATCAACCTAAATGCCCATCGATGTTAGACTGATAAGGGAAATGTGGTACATATACACCATGGAACACTACACAGCCATAAAAAGAATGGGATCATGGCCTCTGCAGCAACATGAATGGAGATGATGGAAGTTATTATCCTGAGCTAACTAATGCAGGAACAGAAAACCAAATACTGCATGTTTTCATTTATAAGTGGGAGCTAAACATTGGGTACACATGGACACAAAGGAGGAAACAATAGACATCAGGGCCTACTTGAGGATGAAGGGTGGGAGGAGGGTGAGGATCAAAAAACTACCTATCAGATACTATGCTTATTACTCAGGTGATGAAATAATCTGTATACCGAACCCTTATAACACACAATTTACCTATATAACAAACCTGCACATGTACACCTAAACCTAAAATAAAAGTTTAAAAAAATAGAGTTGGACTGCTGCACACAGTCTAGCATGGTATGAAATTTCTCTGGTTACTACCTTTTCCCTACCTGAGGAATGAGTGACCCATCAATGGTTTTCAGCTCTTAAACGGTGTTTGTGCCCATAAGGTATGTCTATTATGAGATAAGCAAAGATTCAGAACACCCATGACAACCTCCCAATGACAGAGATTGCCTAGTGAAATTTTCATTGAACACCAACAGAGAACAGACATCCATACAGCTCCCAAACACCTCTCTCTTGTTGACCTAGTCTTCTTTTCTCTCTCCAAGTATGTGTAGACAACTTTCAGTTTATGTCTAAACCAATGGCTTTTCAACTTCATAGTAAACTATCTTTTATTAGTCAGTACTCTTCAGAGAAACAGAACCTAGAGGAGATAGACAGGTAGATAGATAGATAATAGATAAATAGGTAGATGAAAGATGATAGGTAGATACATACATAGATACATAGAATGGATAGGATGGATAGATAGATGATAGATACATGATAGATAGATAGATAATAGATAGATAGATAGATAGATAGATAGATAGATAGATAGATAGATACAGATTTATTATGGAGAATTGGCTCACATGATTATGAAGACTGAGAAGTCCCTCAATCTGCTATCTTCAAAAGGGAGATCCAGAAAAAGCCAGTAGTCTATTTTTAATGGAAACCCAAGCCCTGAGGACCAGAGGAGTTAATCATGTAAGTCCCAGTTTGAGTCCAAAGGCCTAAGAAAAAGGGGCTCTGATGTCTGAGGGTAGGAGATGATGGATGTCCCAGCTCCAGAAGAGAGAAGGGATTCTCCATTCTTCAGCCTTTTTGTTCTATCCAGGCCTTTGACTAATCAGATACTACTCACTCACATTGAGGAGGACAATCTTGTTTACTGGGTTTATTGATTCAAATACTAATCTCTTCTGGAAACACACTCACAAACACACCCAGAAATAATGTTTCACTAGTTTTCTGGACATCCCAAGTTGACACATAAAATTAACCGTCACATAACTATAGCTTGGACAGTCTCATTCACAATGGTCAGAGGCTGATGCATGTGTCTTTGTTTCAGTAAAATCTTGTAAACCAGTGGCTCTCAACTGAGGTGACCTCTCCCCTTAGGAGACACTAAGTGATGTCTTCACACATTTTTTGTCATCATGACTTGGTGGGCAGGTGCTAATGGCATCCATTTTGTAGAAGTCAGTGATGCTGCTTAACACCCTACAGTGCACACGGCAGCACAACCCCTGTCCCCAAAACACACACACACACACAGACACACACACACAGACACACACACACAGACACACACACATACAGAGAGAGCGAGAGAGAGAGAGAGAGAGAGCAAAGACTAATCCTGTCCAAAATGCCAACCTTCCCCAAATATCAATAGCTTCAAGATTGAAAAACCTTGGTGGAAACATGTCTGGGGTACGAGTAAAGAAATTCAGTAATCCACTCCTAGAATGGGAGTTAGAGTACATGCTATGAAAAATTCTTCCAAATAATATTCTTTCACAGAAAAAAAAATCGAGGCAGAAATGTGAAGAAATCAAGACCAAGGACTCATGGTAATTTTGATTCATCACATCATACGGTAGTCAGGATAATGTTCCTCCAACTTCCAAAGATGTGACAACACAGTTCAACATCACTAGCTTTAACAGTGGAGGAAGAGGTCATGGAGCCAAGAAATGGAAGTGGCCTCTAGGAGATAAAATAGAGCAAGGAAATGAATGTTTCCCTAGAGTTTCCAGAAGAGAACCAGCCCCATTAACCTTTCCTTCTTAGCCTAGAGAGATCCATGTTGGACTTCTCACCTCTTAAATAATAAGATCATTAAGTGTTGCTTTAAGATGCTAAGTTTGCAGTTATTTTTTACACTAACCATAAGAAACTCACACACTTCCAGAAAAAGATGTTGCTCTCTTGGCAATCACTGAGCTGTGACTGTCAGTTTACTTGTGGAATGTAAAGGCACTATAAGGTACTTGTTCTAGAATTAATTGTTGGATAGATAAAACATAAATGCATTAAAAAAATAATAATCAAGCAAGAAATTCTGGTGTGTGAATGACTCAAGCCAGTGTTTGTCCATGGAACATGTCATGCTGGGTGGAGTAGCATCAGTAATTCCCAATTCAAAGAGGTTGAAAAGTTTGATTTGTATAGAACTTAAAACAAAATGGACTTCTGGGTGTCAAAACACAGGATTGCACATGTATTTTTCTCTAATTTTTCTGGACACGCCGCTAGGGAAAAAAATAGGAGTATGCACATTGAAAGAGGATCCAGGTGCTGTTGCATGCATTCAGTGAAGAGGTCTGGTCTGGTCACCTCCTAGGACAATAAGGGCAGGTGGAACCATGGCCACTCAGATATGTCACAGTTACATGTCATGAAGACTCTTTTCTTATTCTGAACTTATTCCCCCTGCCCTAGCTTTGGTATTCCTGCACCTCAAGAGACTCAAAATCCTTTCCTTGGATCTTCCAAATTAATACTCATTTAGCTCAATCTTTTCTTTGAAAGTTGGTGTCTTAGTTCATTTCATGTTGCTATAAAGTAGTATCTAATACGGGTAATGTATAAGGAAAAGAGGTTTATTTGACTCATGGTCCTGCTGACTACACAAGAAGCATGGGTACCAGCATCTGCTTCCAGTAAGGACCTCAGGAAGCTTCCACTCATGGTGGAAGGTGAAGGGGGAACTGGCATCACATCACCTGGCAAGAGAGGAGGAAAGAGAGGTGAAAAGGTGCTGGGCTCTCTCTCTTTCTTTCTCTTTCTTTCCTTCTTTCTTTTTCTTTCTTTCTTCTTTCTTTTTCTTTCCTTCTTTATTTCTCTCTCTCTCCCTCTCTCTCTCTCTCTCTCCCCCCCCTTTCTTTTCTTTCTTTCTTTTTTTTTTTTTTTTTTTTTTTGGCAGGGTCTTACTCCATCACCCAGGCTGGAGTGCTGGAGTGCAGTGGTGCAATCATGGCTCACTGCAGTCTCAAACTCCCAGGCTCAGGTGATCCTCATATCTCAGCCTCTCAAGGTACCTGGGACTACAGACGTGTACCACCACGCCCAGCTAATTTTTTTCATTTTTTGTAGAGGCAGGGTTTTGTCATGTTGCCCAGGCTGGTCTCAAACTCCTGGGCCCAAGTAATCCACTTGCCTTGGCCTCCCAAAGTCCTGGGATTACAAGCATGAGCCACTACCCCTGGCCACCAGGCCCTTTTTAACAATCAGATCTCACAGGAACTAATACAGCAATAATTCACTCATTATCACAAGGATGTCACCAAATCTTTCATAAGTGATCCATCTTCATGACCCAAACACTCCTTTTTAGGGGCCATATCAAATATTGGGGATCAAATTTCAACGTGAGATTGGAGGGGACAAATATCCAAACTATATCAAGCAAAGTTATCATGAATTCACTTTTCTGTGATTTACAACCTCCTCAGTGCAGACAGAACTGGTTTATAAACCACTGCATCCCACATGGGCTTGAGTTCTTATAAAGAAAGATAAGCATTTATTTATGATGCTGCGGCAAATACTGGACCAAAATAAAATTTTAAATAGATTAAAGAAGTTTCAGCATTATGTATATACCATCAATGCATATCTCAGGACCATCTTTGTATAATCGCCATCCTTTCCTGGGGTTAGATGGCACCTCTGGTCCCCATTGGTGTCACCTTTTGTTCAAAGTCATGCAGATGAAAATTGCGAATCAGATCTTGCCAGAACTTTTAGAAGCCAGTTCCCCATGTTATCCTTTCCTTCTACGCCAAGAACCAGCAATATTCCAGAGTGGGTCTTCCACTTTATCCTGGATATGGGAACAAAACACAACTTTGCAATTATTGGTTAAAAGCTCAATAATTAAGCCATGAAAAGCAAAATCCAGTCTATTTAAATAACGTTTTTTTTTTTTTTTTTTTTTTTTTTTTTTTTTTTTGAGAAGGAGTCTTGCTCAGTCACCCAGGCTGGAGTGCAGTGGTGCAATCTCGGCTCACTGCAACCTCCGCCTCCCGGGTTCACGCAGTTCTCCTGCCTCAGCCTCCCGAGTAGCTGAGACTACAGGCACACGCCACCACGCCCAGCTAATTTTTGTATTTTTAGTAGAGACGGGGTTTCACCATGTCGGCCAGGATGGTCTCGATCTCTTGACCTCGTGATCTGCCTGCCTCGGCCTCCCAAAGTGCTGGGATTATAGGCGTGAGCCACCGTGCCCGGCCATACAACGTATACATGTAAAAGATAGTCTTGAAAACAAAATGTGTGTAAGCTATTAATTTTTTCTTTTTTAAAAAGTAAGAAAGATTTAGCTGAGGTTCTTGCTTTACTCCTTTTCCTTTTTCCTTTTATTTCCTTTTAGAGTTTTTCCTCTGACTTGAAAATGGGTAGCATAGGCACTAGTTTCTGGTCTGTCTTATCTCACTGTGTTTATCAGGACACCTGTCAGCCATCACACAAAACACATGAAAAGAGGAGGGTGGTAAGCAGATATCTAAATTGCAGTATTCATGGGGAAAATACTAGCGTTTGCTTTGCGTTTGTGTTGTTTGGAGTTTTCTTTTGGTTTTTTAACTAGGTTGCAGAAACACTGCTTCCAAATGACTCTCTCAGCATCGAGTTTCACATTCTGGAGAATTTGCTATACACAGCAAAACTGTTTTGCATGACTTTTTTCCTATCCTTTCTCCTGAATAGCTCCCTGGGTACATACGTAATTTCCTTGAATAACCTGTGCCAGTTCATGACATGCAAACATGCTTTTTTGTTATTGTTGCAGTAGACAGGGCAGCACTGCAGTCCATGAGAAATTGGGTATATTCAGGAATTAGCCACATTGCACGTTTAACTCTTCATGCGCTGTTTTTAACTTTTACCAGTTTCTACTTTACATCCTTGAGTTCCCATGGTATATGTAGCCATTTTAATGTTTTTAAAGTACTTTATTTCTTGGAAATTTATGTCTATATGGATGATTAATAACAAAGAAGAAATTTAAAGTATTCCACAGGTCAGATTTCACAATTTGGCCATTATCTGTTGAAATATAAATGATCAATAAAGCAGATAACTCACATTTTCGGTGCACAAAAGAAACAGCCCAAAGCCAGAAATCCTTACTTAAAACCACTGATTTTAAATTCTATGTATATTTTCGGAGTCTAACTTAATCATAATTGATTCTTCCTGTGGTTGGACTCCATTACTGGTTTATTTGTTTATTCTCTTCCATATTTACTGTTTATAGAATTTAAGGGTCATGGACATTTAATTCTGCCTCGACTCATTGATCTTTGCTCTTATTGTATTGGTTCAACAAATTTGTTCTGCTCCCTACACATCCAAGACTTTCCCAAGGATGAAATGAGAAGCTCCCATGGTCTTTTTTTTTTTTTTTTTTCTGGAACTTATTTAGGAGTCCTTTACAATTACAGCGTGAGAAAATAAGGAACTGCCTCCTCTTGCTACTTGGTGGTAACTAGTATTTAAGTTATTTCTGATGAGTGGTATAAATGTTAGATTTGACAAATTATGCCTATGAATTTTAATTGTCCTTTTAATCAGAAAGATATAAGTATGTAAGGGTAAAAATTGATGAATTATATAAAAGAAAAATAAATGGGGAATATATATATGTTCAAAATGTTCAATTATGTGAATTGTCTGCAAAAGGCACAGCGAAAACAATTAAATATAACTTGAGACTATTACTTTCCAAATTAAAGAAAACAGAAAAGGTAATACTATTGAGAATGGTTCCAAGAAATGTGCGCTTTTTTTTTTTTTTTTTTTTTTGAGATGGAGTCTCGCCCTGTTGGAGTGCAATGGCGCGATCTGAGCTCCCTGCAACCTTTGCCTGTCAGGTTCAAGCGATTCTCCTGCCTCAGCCCCCCGAGTAGCTGGGATTACAGGCAGGTGGCACCACACCCAGCTAAATTTTTTCTATCTTAAGTAGAGAGGGGGGTTTCACCATGTTGGTCAGGCTGGTCTCGAGCTCCTGACCTCATGATCCGTCTGCCTCAGCCTCCCAAAGTGCTGGGATTACAGGCGTGAGCCACCAGGCCCGGCCATGTGCGCTTTTTACTGACATTTATTCTGGCAATCATAACCACACAATTGGTTGTAAAATAAAATGTAAAATATGATTTAAATAGTTCAATTCCTGTGAAAGAGCTTTCTGCATGTAACAGACATATAGTTAGAGAACAAAGCAGAGTACAAAATTTGCAGGAACCTTTTTGGAACCAACAGAAAAATGTCACCTTTCCTTTGACATCCTGTATATCAGTTTTACCAGTTACTTCTAAGTTTGCATATTATTTTGTAAGGAAAAACAGAAAACTCAAAGCTTGTCTAACATAGTACAGAAGGTGTGTGTTGGGCTTAGGATGGATAGCTCTGTCTTATTGAGCTGTGTTATCTAACTTGTATATAAAAATTGTAATCAAAAGTTTGGGTTCACCTGTTTCTCCAAGTTTAAAGTAATGAGTAATGGCGAACTCTGGAAATGTGAGTAGTGTATCATATAAGGCTGCAGAAGCAAGGAAGCTCATTCAAGTGCTAAAACTAAAGACTTCTAGTTTTTGGCTCAAATTCAATAAATACTGTTTGTATACAAGGATATGTGACATAAAAATGTTGTAGGTTACTTTTCACCCTTGTAGCTATAAAATATAAAATTTGTAGAACAGAAATAGCTTGTACTACTGTATTAGCAAAAGTTATACTAAGGTATATATATTACATATATATACTTAATATATTATATATACACACACACACACACACACACACACATCTAAAATATCCTAAAGCAGGCAGTCATATAATTACAGTTGCAAAATGTTTCATTGCAAAATGAAAAATTTTTGAAAGAACATTGTATCATAGTTCATTTATTTGCAGTGAATCTTTGTTCTTTCTTCCTGTGGTAATTTTGGAAAGAGTGCCAAGTTCGAATATGCTAAGTTGAGGCTATGCCACTTGAACTCTGCCCTGGGTCCTCACTGATGTGAATGTAGTTTTGTCCCCTTGTGTGATGAAGCAGCCATATCCCAACAATAGGAGAAAAAAAAATCTAGAACTATTTCAAGTTTAATTTTTTGCATATAAAAATAAAATAATAGTGATAAAAAAGAAAAAGGGTAAAGTCACCATTATTTGAAGATGTTCTCACTGTGAGCCTAAAAAAATCAGAAGTAAAAATGGGTCAAGTGCAGTGGCTCACACGTGTAATCCCAGCACTTTGGGAGGCTGAGGTGTCCAGATGGATCACTTGAGGCCAGCAGTTCGAGACCAGCCTGGCCAACATACCAAAAGCCAATCTCTACTAAAAAATACAAAAGTGAGCTAGGTGTAGTGGCACATGCCTATAATCCCAGCTACTAGGGAGGCTGAGGCACTAGAACAGCTTGAACTTGGGAGGCAGAGGCTGCAGTGAGCCGAGATCGCACCACTGCATTCCAACCTCAGTGACAGAGGGAGACCCTGTCTAAAAAAAAAAAAAAAAAAAAAGGAAAACAAAATTATGACTCAAACATCAGAAAAATCAAGAAGAGGCAGATGGCAAAATTAATCTGCAAAAGTAAGTGTCTATTATTCAAACAATAGTAATATGTTAGAAAAGGTTAATTGAGAGAGTAAATTTATAGTAACATCATGAGACACCAACTACTTCCAAAATATAACTCTTAGAGATGATCATTTCAATTGACCTTTAATTTAGTCAAAACAAGTTACTAAATAGATTTTTAGATTCTTTTTTAAGCCACAGTTAATGGGAACAATGTACCCTCAGCATTTGCACAATTCAGAAATTTTTATCAATTTTATTCTTGAGTGGCCTGTTGATTAAATATAAAACACGTGTATTTTACCTCTTATCCCAGTTCCACTGTTTTCTGACACATTACATAACTCAGAAGTTTGAGGAGCGTTTTGGTTTTTTGTTGTTTTTTTTTTTAACTTGAAGGAGAATTTCTGTTTCTGTCTGAATCTCTGTTGGTTTTTGTCTAATATTCAACAGCACCATAAGAATATGTGTTTACACTTAATAGAAAATAGAAAAGCATTGTGATATATACTCAAAGTATCCTTCATCTTAAGAAGATTTTCTTTTATGGTGTTTTTACATATGTTTCATTACATTTGTTTGCGTTGTAACTCCCCAGTCACATTTGCTTTGCAAAGGCATTTCTGCCATCTTTCATTGGTGGTGTAATTGTGGTTGGCCACTGCATTCCGTATGCCTGACTCCAGCTGTCTTTGATCATGGAATGATTCTGCCCTTGGACACGTCTGCTGTAGTATCCTCCAGCCTGAGGCATCCCCACTTCCTCATCACCTTCTCCAACTTGGTTTTTATCTCAATTCTGGTCATATCCTCTTGTCCTTTATTTCTTCTCTCTTTTCTTTTGTCCCCACTCACTTTTACAGAAATAACACTTTATAAAATTTGTTTTCCATCTACTTTTCTTATTTGGGGATAACGTTTCCCCAGAATAGATTTCTTACAGGTCTACAGTTTTTATCTCTCATCTGTTTGGCATTTGTTTTTGTTGACACACACCATGTGCTGACTCACTGCCCTTTGTGCTATAAATAAGGGAATCATCCCATCAGCATGACAAGAGAAGCATGATCCATACTGTTATTGGTCGTGGGAGAAAACAATTTTGATTAGGATCTATAACTTATCTAGATCACACAGCTCTAATGGTGGAACACGGTTTCAAATCTGATTGTGTCTGACTGCAGAGACCATCACCTTAATTTCCATGATTCCTCCAACTGTGAGAAATAGGTTAAGCCAAAAGAAAAAAAAAGTCTCTCTTTCATAGCTTAAACCTTAGAGATCCTTAGTATAGTGAGTTTGACTGTCCCTAGAGCCATTTAATATGTACTAATTAAGCCACTACCATGGTATGCAGTTGCGGAATATTTCAGTGTTTCTTTGAAAGTCTATAGTCACCTTCATCTGCTTTTTTAAAAGAAGGTTCTTCCTAATAGTATTGTTTCTGGCAATGTCTTAGCCATCTTGGGCTGCCATAACAAATGTACCATAAACTGCATGACTTAAACAATGTATGTCTCTCATTTCTAGAGGCTGGGAAGTTCAAGATCAAGTTACCAGTAGATCCAACATCTGGTTAGGGCTCTCTTCCTGGTTTGCAGACAGCTATCTTCTGGTTGTTTCTCCACACAATGAAGAGAAAAAGAATCAAACTCTCTCACAGCTTTTCTTGTTGTTGTTGTTGTTGTTGTTTTTAGAGACAAGGTCTTGCTCTGTCACCCAACCTGGAGCACAGTGGCACAATCGTAGCTCACTGCAGCCTCGAACTTCTGGACTCAAGCAGTCCTCTGGCCTTAGCCACCCAACTAGCTAGGACTACAAGCATACAAGAACATGCCCAGTTAATTTTTAAAATTTTTTTGCAAACATGGGATCTCACTATGTTGCCCAGGCTTGTCTCAAACTCCTGGCCTCAAGTGAAAAGCTTTTTTTTATAAGGGTACTAATTCCATCTTGAGGGTTCTAACCTCATAATCTAATAGCCTCTCAAAAACTCCACCTCCTAATACCATCCCACTGAGAATCAGGGCTTCAACATATGAATTTTGGGGAGACACACACATTCAGCACATTGTAGGTAGTACAGATATTTTTTGGTTTAGTCCTACATGTTAAGGCTCTGGTCGACCCAGTTCAGCTCGAGCTATTATGAGAACACTTTTCCTTAAGTTTCATGGTTGCTTATGAGACAACACCACAGAGGAAGTTCACATTTCTCTCCGTTCTTATGTCTTTAGCCACGGTGATGACTCCTGGTGAAACCCTAGAAATGAATCTAATGAAATGTTCACTGGATTACTGGGTAAGATGTTACTCTATATACCTGAAGGAGTGGATAAGATAAACCAGCTGCCAGCGTGCTGAAATGAGACACAGAGATTCATGATATGTTCACCTGCTACCTGCTTTGGGTCTGAACCATGGTTGGCTACAGGGCAGGTATGTGCATATGTGGCAAGCTCCCTTTAAGAACTTTGGTCTCTAAGTCTCAAATGGGCTTTCCCGCATAAGGAAATATCCCTGCAGTTCACAGACAGAAAAAAAACCACAAATCCATGTGATTTTTGCAGAGGAAAAACAAGAAAGTGTGACTTTGACCTCTCTAGGCTCCACCTATGTAAATCTTCCCCCTGCTGTTTCTGCACAGTATTCTTCACTTAATAAGTTGTAGCTACATATATAATCTTACATTGAACTGTTTAAGTCCTTCCAGCAAATCACACAACCAGTGGGTGTTCGAATACTCCAGATAAAATGCTTCATGAGGTTTTACTGCATTTCTCTATTTTTGTTTTGTTTTGTTTCCATCTGGTTTTAGGACGAGAAAGTTTCTGCAAATATGGTTCTTTATGTCAATTCTAAAAGCTTCCTGGATTACCTGTTAGAATTTGCCTCGCTTTCCTTGTATGTTCACGATTCTGTGTTTTTTTATAGCCAGAAAAGAAGAGAAAAGTAAAGGAGAAAGAGAAGAAGAGGAGGAGAAGGAGAAGAGGAGGAAGAGAAAGAAGAGGAGAAGCAGGAGTAGGAAAAAAAGATGAAATTAACTAGATATTATAATGGTAGAAAATAGCAGATGTCAAACGTAACTTGCAAGAATTAATAAAAGTGGAATTAATCTAAATTCTCTCTGAACTCCTGGAGAGGAACATCTTTTTTGTTCTGCTGTTGTGCACATTTGTTTTAAACTCTGATCCCCACAACTCTGGAAAGAGTCATTATACTTTTTTTCCTAAATATATTCACTGGAGTTTTTCAGTCCTTGCCCAACAAGTGCATCTACATTTCCCAGAAGAAATTAGAGCTTTAATTAAGCTTGCAGGAGCCCTCAGTCCTATAAAAACTAAATAATTAAAAGATATTCAGAACCAGAGGCAGCAAGGATGCAATTTTATGAACACACACACCTGTCTATTTTCCAGTGCCAACATAAGGTGTTTATGTCCTAAAGGGAAAAGGTCTAAGCTAGGAAAGAAGGACAGAAAAGAGAAGCAACTAGATAATGGCCATCACTAATTGCTAAGACCTTTTAAAATAAATCTTTTTCATCAATTAATCCCATTAATCACCTAGTAATGTTTCTGGTGCTGACCCAGAGCAGCTCTGAAGAAAGAAACACAGATTCAGCGTTTTAGCCTCTCCTTTGCTTTGTCCGTAAGTTTTCTTTCCTCTGCCAAGGCAGAATATTTGCTGAGCCACACGGGGTTTCCTGACTTTCAATAACAGTGGGTAAAACACCAGCTGGCTTTCAACATATAATGTGTATCCTCATCTTTCCATAACTTTGGTTCCACAATTTTATACCAAAACAATTTCTCAGTTTAACCTCTTCTTGCAGAAAAACATATGCTCACTTGTTTTCAATGAAGCACTCTCAGGAATTCACAATTAGGATCTAGAACTGTTTCCAAACTCTGAAACACACATGCATTCTCAACAGGTCTCTCCAGGGCCTTCGAAAACACAGAATCAGATCAGGTAAGAATACAAAGTTCTACTTTAGAAAATATAATTCAAGAACCTATTTCTTAAGAAAGTGTTCTCATTTACAGGAGGAGGAAAACACATGAAAGACACTTTGGGAGGCCAAGTTGGGGTCAGAAGTTCAAGACCAGCCTGGCCAACATGGTGAAACTTCATCTCTACTAAACAATGCAAAAATTCGCCTGGCATGGTGGCGCACACCTGTAGTCCCAGGTACTCGGGAGGCTGAGGTGGGAGAATCTCTTGAACCCGGGAGGTGGAGGTTGCAGTCAGCCGAGATCGCGCCACTGCATTCCAGCCTGGGCGTTAAAGTGAGACTCCGCCCTGGAAAAAAAAAAAAAGGAAGAAAAGAAAACACATGGAAGAGAATGAGCTAGATCATTTTATGCCAGTGCAACTACAAATGCACTTGCATGTACCCATGACCTTGGCCAGACCCAGCCCATTCTGATAATTAGTCTCTGACACACTTAATTACCATGCATCAATTTCCAAGGATTTATTTACTGAGAATCCCCTTCAGTACTGAGACTGACACCTAGAAATAATGATTTGCAGGGTGCCTGTCACAGTATTCAAATGTTAAGAACTGCACCTCAAATCCAAACTGCCATATACAGAATGTGTGAACAGTATAGCAGTTTAGCTATACAAACACACACTTTTAAAATAGAATATGGCCGAGTGCAGTGACTCATGCCTGTAATCCCAGCACTTTGGGAGGCCGAGACAGGCGGATCACCTGAGGTCAGGAGTTTGAGACCAGCCTGGCCAACATAGTTTGTACAAACCCCATCTCTACAAAAATACAAAAATTAGCCAGGCATGCTGGCACGGGCCTGTAGTCCCAGCTACTCCGGAGGCTGAGGCGGGAGAATCACTTGAACCCCAGAGGCGGAGGTTACAATGAGCCGAGATCATGCCACTGCACTCCAGCCTGGGCAATAAAGCGAGACTCCATCTCAAAAAAATAAAAATTAAAAATAAATAAATAAAATAGAATATGGACAATGAAACAAAAACTCAACAAAATATCCTTTTATTTATGTATCCTTTTACTGTGAATTCCAGGTAGTGAAGGAAAAAGACAGTGAGTATTGATGGAATTTGGCCCCAGAGGGTTTTATTATGATAATATCTTAAAAGAGAATGTTTTCTGAAGACTAAGATTTTTATCTGCCTAGCGGTATATCTTAGTTAATTTTGTGCTGCTAACAAAATACCACAGACTGGGTAATTTATAATGAGTAGAAATTCACTGGCTTATGATTCTAGAGGTTGGAAAGACCTAGATCAAAATATTGGCATCTTGCAAGAACCTTCTTCCTATACCATGACATGACAAAAGGCATCACTTGGCAAGAGAGAGGGCAAGTGGGAACTAAACTCTTTCTTTTCTAAGAAACCCACTCCTGCAATTCCCATGAGGCCCCACCTCCCAACATTGCCACAATGGGGATCAAGGTTTCAACATATGAATTTTGCGGAAGACATTTAAACCATAGCATGTTAGAATACAGTGCATACATTCAGCTAAAGTTGCCACTTTGGAAAAAAAGATATTCCTTTTATAGAAAGGGCACTAACTCTGATAGGTGAGTTATGAACTGAGAAACAACCAGTTTTCCTATCAGTAAATAGCATTTAGTTAATGCTCACAAAAAATTGCAAAATTCATAAGAAACTTCAGGAAAGGTCACCAAAATAAAAAAGATTGTACTTATGTTCCATATACAAGCTTAAATCCTTTGCAACATGGAATCTTTCTGCATTTAAAATTATCGAATTTGATCTTCCTTGAGGGAAAAAAATCAATGTTTTTGATCAATGTTGTTTGAGACAGCAATGAGTAAAATTGAAGCAAAAATAATGATGTCAGTGCAGATTTTGAAGTTGGTTTTCAAACATGATGTCTGATGGTTAAATTTTAAAATATTTAAAGCCCAGTATCTGACTATGGAAAATGAAAAAAAAAAAAAACAAAAACAGGCACTATAAAAACAGTATGGGGCTTCACACAAAAATGAAAAGTAGAACTTCCATGTGATCAGTAATGCCACTGCTGGGTATATATCCAAAAGAAAAGAAATATACATATATATATATATGTATATCTCCAATAAATATATAAATATATATAATAAATATATAAATACAAATAAATATATACAATATATATAATAAATAGACATATAAATATGTATAAATAGAAATGAATACATATATCCAGAAGAAAAGAAATATAAGTATATTAAAGAGACAGCTGCACTCCTGTGTTTATTGCGGCACTATTCACGGTAGCCAAGCTATGGAATCAACCTAAGTGTCCATCAACAGATGACTGGATAAAGAAAATGTGGTATATTTGTGGGGTACATGACCTACTATGTACCCACAAATAATTAAAATGAAAATTTTTAAAAAATTAAAAATAAAATAAGTAATTTTAAAAAAGAAACTGGCACAAATACATGATGGAATATTATTCAGTCATAAAAATAGAACAAAATCTTGTTTTTTGCAGCAACATGGGTGAAACTAGAGATCACTATATTAAGAGAAATAAACCAGGCACAGAAATATAGATAGCTCGTGTTCTCACTCATATGTGGAGCTAAAAAAAAGAAAGTGGTAAATATCATGGAGGTAGAGAGTTGATTGGTGCTTACCAGAGCTGGGAAGGGGAAAGGGAGGAGAAATCAAAAGAAGTTTGCTAAAAGGTACAAACACAGAGTAAAACAGAAGGAATAAGTTCTATCGTTTGATAATACAATAAGGCAACTATAGTTAACAATAATTTATTGTAGATTTCAAAATAGCTAGAAAAGAAGCTTTGAAATGATCATAACACATGCACACACGAGTAAAAATGTTCGATATGACGGTTATTCCAGTTATGCTGATCTGACCATTATACTTTCTATGCATGTAGCAAAATATCACATGCATCCCATAAAAATAAAAATAAATTAAAAATTAAGTCGATTAAAAATAAAACAAAACAAGAAGCAATCCAAACAAAGTATATGTAAAATATGATTTAAAAATTGGATGAAATATGACTAGCATGTAAAAAAATATTTAATAAGAGAGGAATCTAGGGAAGGGGATGAACAACCTGCTATGTATCCACAAAACTTAGAATTAAAAATTAAAATAAAATAATTGTAAAAAGAAAATGTCATATGGGAACTGTGTACTTTCCCTTCTATGGGAGTATATGGGAGCTCTCCATACACTTCATTCTCTGCTTCTATAAATCTAAAACTGCTCTAAAAATTAAAGTTTGTTTATTTAAAAATAATAATAATTTTCAGACCTCTCATTATGGTAGTAGACTGGATGCAGAGAACAACTTGCACTTTGAACCACAGTCTTGACTTACGATAATATCTAAGCTACAATTGCGTACAAAATTTACAATACTACCTAAAGCCATCTGCACTGTCTGAAATTCTAACATATTATTTCATGCATTGCACTGACCATAACTGCAAGCCAACACTAATTAGTGTAATTGTTTATTAATATCCATCTCCCTCTATATCCATCTCCCTCTATATGTATATTAGCTATTTGTTCTGGACATCCACTGGTGACCTCAGAGGTCCAGGCACTGCTTATGGCATCTCTGGGGTGAGCCTCCCTCTGAGTTATCACTGGAAAGATTAATAAATGGATGTACTGAAGTCTAGAAGAAGAGGTGGATTGAGAATTTCATCCCCAAGTCTTCCTGGCTCCCATGCGATGTTAAATCGCAAAAGTTGCAACTCTTCATGACCACGTAAAGAAGTTTAAATTTTTCTCTTGGAGGTTCTTTTGGGGCTCATGAATCCAATACCCCAAAATATGGTGCTTTGATATGTTGAACTGCAGAAGAAGCCTCAAGGTCTCTGTGATGCTCCATCGCCCCTGTCTCTCAATCCTCTCTCTCGATGCACAGGATGAAGTTGTTCTCTGAGTTCCCTTATCTGCCAGAGTCTAGATGCACCAAAGAAGAAAGCAATGACCTCTGTCCCTTCTCTGAATTTTCATTAACTGAACTCATATCTCAGGAAGAAAGACTGAAGTCGGTCAACATGCCTGAATAGACTTATAAACCATTGTTTGCTCTGCGGGCTCAACGGACTTTGTGCCAGGCCACTGTATGTTCTTCAAGCCCATTGACTTTCCCGAAAAATAATGTACTACCCTCCTAAAATCATCCCTACCTCCCCATCTTCCTTTCCCTTAAGAAGAAGGGCATATAAACATCTGTACCCTCTTGCGTGGTACAGATATCCCTCTGTAATTCTCCCCCATGCTTGTTAATAAATGTGTGTGCCTTTTCTCTGATTAATCTGCCTTTTGTGAGCTGATTTACAGCAAACCTTCAGAGCGCCAAGGGGAAGATTTTGCTTAGTCCCTAGAATTCAATAATCAGTCTATAAACAAATGGATAGTACACAGATTAACAGGAAAAAGAAGCCTTACAAAATGTATTATGTGCACACATATGCACAGGAGTCACACAAAATACTTTAAAACTCAAAAAAATGAGCTGATGGCCAATACTTTTATATCATCGTGTGGCTACAGAAAGCATGGCCAAAAACAGGTTAAGGCAGGGTGATGGTTAACATTAGGTGTCAAGTTGATTGGATTGAAGGATGCCTAGATAGCTGGTAAAGTATTGTTTCTGGGTGTGTCTGAGAGGGTGTTGCCAGAGGAGACTGACATTGGAGTCGGTGGACTGGAGGAGGAAGATCCACCCTCAGTGTGGGTGTGCACCATCCAACTGGCTGCCAGCATAGCTAGAACAAAGCAGATGGAAGAAGATGGGATAAGCTGGCTTGCTGAGTCTTCTGCCTTTCATCTTTCTCCCGTGTTGGATGCTTCCCACCCTTGGACATCAGACTCAAAGTTCTTCAATCTTTGGACTCTTGGACTTACACCAGTGGTTTCCTGGGGGCTCTGGCCTTCGGCCACAGACTAAAGCCTGCACTGTTGGCTTCCCTGCTTTTGCGGCTTTTGGACTTGGACTGAGCCACTGCTGGCTTCCTACCTCCCCAGTTTGCAGACAGCCTATCGCAGGAGTTCACCTTGTGATCATGTCAGTCAATTCTCCTTAATAAACCCCCTTTCATGTAGACATCTATCCTATCAGTTCTGTCCCTCCTGGGAACCCTGAGTAATACAGGCAGCAAGTCAGGTTATTGTGACAAGTCAGGATATTCATAATGTTGTGCAGCCAACACCACGTAGTTCTTGAACATTTTCGCCACCACAAAAGGAAAGCCTGTACGCATTAAGCAGTAGCTTCCCATCTCTTTTCCTCCTTCCCTGGTAACCAGACATGACACTTGTAAGCTTATCCCATTATCATGTTATTTTTTGCTTAATTTTAATTTGATGTTCATTTTAACTTGAAATATGTTTAATTTGAAATTGTAATTTGAATATGATAACCCTTCTTGTGGATTTTCAATATACCTTTATTTATTCAACATTCTACGACTGGAGCATTAAAAAAAAAGGCTTCAAAGGAAATGTTGTAACTTTGTCAGGCCCATTGTTCTCCAAACCTATTCATTCAAAGACTCACCCACTTTTTCTCCCTGTAGTTTCTATTACCAATCTGTTGAGTTCAATTTCTATTTCTTGCAACTCAATAAATTAGAGCGAGAAAGCCAATGTTTGTTTGTCCTTTTTAATTACACAACATGTCAAGTAACTTTCCAAGAAGGGTGTTAGGGTTTCCTTTCGTAATGGTAAACTGGTCTTTTAATCTTTTGAGCGAAACAGAAAGTTATGCAGAAAATGCTGGAAAGGTTGTAGTCCATGAACTGTGAAATAACACTCTAAAAACTCCAGGAAAAACAAGAGTAGAAAGTGTAAAAAACGCATTGGAGTTAGAGCCCACACTCACTAACTTTCATGGGAAATGGTGATTTAAAATGTTAGATTTAATGGACCCTAATTAAGTAAAGAGCTTCTGCACAGCAAAAGAAACTCAGCAGAATAAACAGACAACCTAGAGACGGAGAAAATTTTTGCAAACTATGCATCTGATAAAGGTCTCATATCCAGTATCTATAAGGAACTTCAACAAATTTACCAGAAACAAAAAACGAACAACCCCATTAAAAAGTGGGCAAAAGACATAACAGACACTTTTTTTTTTTTTTTTTTTTTTGAGACAGAGTCTTGCTCCGTTGCCCAGGCTAGAGTGCAGTGACGTGATCTCGGCTCACTGCAACCTCCACCTCCCGGGTTCAAGCAATTCTCCTGCCTCAGCCTCCCAAGTAGCTGGGATTACAGGTGTGAGCCACCATGCCTGAGCAACAGACGCTTTTTAAAAAAAGACATATACGCGGTCAATAAGCATATTTTAAAAAGCTCAGTATCACTGATCATTAGAGAAATGCAAATCAAAACCACAATGAGACAACATCTCACACCAGTCAGAAAGGCTATTACTAAAAAGTCAAAACATAGCAGACGCTGGCGAGGTTGCAGAGAAAAAGGAATGCTTATACACTGTTGGTGGGAGTGTGAATTAGTTCAGCCATTGTGGAAAGCAGCGTACTGATTCCTCAAAGATCTAAAAACAGAGCTACCATTCGACCCAGCAATCCCATTAGTGGGTATACATCCAAAGAAATATAAATCATTTAGTCATAAAGACACCTCTACATGTACGTTCACTATTCACAATAGCAAAGACATGGAATGAACCTAAATGCCTATCAATGGTACACTTGATAACGAAAATGTGGTACATATAAACTATGGATCACCACTCAGCCATAAAAAAGAACAAGATGATGTTATTTGCAGGGACATGGATGGAGCTGGAGGCCATTATCCTTAGCAAACTAATGCAGGAACAGAAAACCAAATGCCGCATGCTCTCTAAGTGGAAGCCAAATGATGAAAACACATGGACATATAGAGGGTAACGACACACACTGGGGCCTACTGGAGGGTGGGGGGTGGGAGAAGGGAGAGAATCAGTAAAAATAACTAATGGGCACAAGGTTTAATATCTGGAGGATGAAATAATCTGTACAACAAACCCCCATGACACAAGTTTACCTATATAACGAACCTGCACGTGTACCCCTGAATTTAAAAGAAAAGTTAAAATAAGTAAATAAATAAGTAAATAAATAAACAAAATGTTGGATGTAATATGACTAGCTTGGGCCAGGCATGTTGGCTCAAGCCTATAGTCCCAGTGCTTTGGGAGGCCAAGGCAGGAGTATCACTTGAGCCCAGGAGTTCAAGTAACCACCCCTCACCATCGAGTAGGCCCCAGTGTGTGTCTTTCCCCTCTATATGTCTATGTGTTCTCATCATTTGGCTCCACTTATAAGAGAGAACATGCGGGATTTGGTTTTCTGTACCTGCAGAACAGCCTGTGCAAAACAGCGAGATCTTGTCTCGATAAAAAATAATTAAATTAAATTAGCCAGTCATGGTAGCACTCATCTGTAGTCCTAGCTACTCAGGAGGCTGAGAGGGGAGGATCTCTTGAGCCCAGGAAGTCGAGGCTGCAGTGAGCTATGATCGCACCATTGCACTCCAGCCTACGCAACAGAGCAAGACCCTGTCTCAAAAAAAAAAAAAAAAAAAAAAAAAAAAAGCGAAAAAAGTGGCTAACTTGAAAGAATGGGGGGGAAAGAAATAAAGGAGGAAAGAAAAAAAGAGGAAAAAAAGAAAGAAGAAAGGTGGAAAACACAAAGAGGATGTGTGCCCAGAGAAACGACCACTGAAATGCTGAGCAGGTGCACCCTGGAAAAGTCAGTAGTTGCTCCTGGTGAGCTTATTTGGGGTGGCTCAGCATAGGGTGTTGTGTGCAATGGAGAATAAGATGTGGACCTGGTTTCCATGGCACTTGCAACATCTTCCACCTCCTCTTAAAGCTCATGACAGAGAGCTGCATGAATCAGGGAGCAGCTATCACCAACACTATCTCAAGTTTAGCAGCCAAAATTTTTTTTGACTTCAAACAAAGGCTTATATGGCTATGTAAAGTTAAAATGGTATTATTTATATACTACGAATTAAATTAATGAGAACAATGCAATTATTTTAAACAACAAAACAAAATTGCAGTAGGGCATTAAGGAGGAGAAGTGCAGGCTTGTACCAAATGCAGCCTGCACCTTCCTCCCCTTTGTTGAGAGGGTTGGTTGAGAGCGTTAAATGCTGTTAAGAAGATTTGATTTGATGATGCGCTAGGAGACTTCATAATGGGATTTGTAAAAGCATATTAGATTTCCATTTGCAAGCAACTCCCTGAATATCACTTATCTCATACACTAAGTCGGATAATGTCCTCAAGTTCTTTTTAATTCTTTGCTGTCAGCATACACCGCGAAATAAATAAATACGTATATATGCATATATATAATACATGCATACATATATGCATACATGCACACACACACGAATAAATATTTTTGTTGCAATTTTTCTCTGACTTTCAAGGTTATATTTTCTTTAAAAATTAAGAAAGAATATAATTATATATTAAAGTATATAATATGTATTCTTTAAAAATTAAGAAAGAATATATATATTATATCAAAGTCTATTATATATTTTCTTCAAAAATTAGGACAGAATATATATATATTATATATTAAGGTATATGTTCTTTAAAAGTTAAGAAAGAATATATAATACCTATTAAAATACATAATATAAATATATAATACCTATTAAAATATACCATATACAAATATGTAATATCTATTAAAATATATAATATATCAATATATTAAAATATACAATATACAAATATATAATATGTATTAAAATATATAATATATAAATATATAATTGCTATTAAAATATACAATATACAAATATATCTATTAATATAGAATATATAAATATATAATATCTATTAATATATAATATATAAACATATATGAAAATATATAATATGCAAATATATTATATACTAAATATATAATACATAATATATATTAAAATATACTATATACAAATATATAATATATATTAAAATATACAATATACAAATATATAATATATATTAAAATATACAGTATACAAATATATAACACATACTAGACATTAAGAAAGAATATAAAGAATATATATTTATCTATAAAGGATATATATTTGTATATGTGTTTATATATAAAATATATTCGTGCTACACAGAACCACCTGGGAAAGACACCATCATGGGGCAGGAGGCAGAAGCCAGAAGCCAAGGGAATGTTTAAGGCACTGCCTTTATTGGGGTTTCTGTGGGAAAGGCAGGAGAGGATAGGGTGAACGGTTTAGGAGTGACTTGCTTGAATAATTCTGCAGACTGTGGGCTGTAGGGATGGCCTCTAGTTTCGTGGCCCCTGGCCCCAGGATGATTAAGGCAGAGGAATAATGCGCTCTGGGGTGTATGGGCTCCCTAGGGGAGGTGTGGTTCTGGACCGGTTAGTCTGCACATCAAAGCCATGCCCTTGACTGGTCTCTCTGTTATCTCTAAGAGTTGGCTCACCCCAGGAGGGGCCATCCCTCCCTAGCCAGAGAAGCAATTGAAGATATCAAAACATCATAATATACAGAAACAATTAATTATAATACACTTGAGCTGCATTTATATCGTTCATCTCTTAATGAGACCCTTTGGATAAAGGGTAACATGTGTTGACCTAAAAGGAAAAAGTGTAGGCAAAATTAATATAAGTAGAGAGTGTATGTGGGCCAAGCTTGAAGATTGCAAACCAGGAGAAAAAATTCAGACTGCTCTGAATGTACACTCTCATGGTTAGCAGTTATGACTGGATTTCAAAGGCCAAAAAGATGGACAAGGAGTGAGCTGATACAAAGTTTTTTGTCAGAAATTCTCATTTGTTTACAGAAATAACATTGATTTGTGATTGACTATATGTTGTCAAGCTATAGGCTGTGGGTTATAGTGTGAGGTGCAGCATTATTAGGTTAATTTATAGCTCCCATGGCAATAGACAGTAGTTTCAAGAGATAAATACATTGCTCCTGGGAGAAGCAAGATGCAATTGCTGTCTCATTTTAATGGCTGATCATTTAAAAGGACTTGTATTCCTCAGATAAAAATTCTTTTCATTCTCACCTGGAACCAACTTTTATTTCTTCCCACTGGAAGTCAGTTATGTTATTGGAAAGGAGTCTCCCACCATCTGTGTCTAAAACCTATCAGACATGGCCAGACGCTTCTTCCTGCAATAAAACCATGGATCTTGCCATGAGATGGCTGGCTTGGTTCCTCTCCCACGCAGACCTTCTACAGACAGATGGACAAATGGGAGAGAGCGGGGTGTCAGATTCGGATGTAAAGCGAAATGCTGAGTAAGTGAGAGGAAAAACACCAATTAAGCAGAAATCAGCCTGCACCTAACACACACTCCATCCTGGTCCTCAGGGATTGAGGAGTGTAACACAACAGTCTTTCCATCAATATGCCAAAAAATCAATTATCTGTATGCACCCTTATTCTCTTGGCTCACATACACCAGAACTGATAGTTCAGTGGCACAGTTTGTGGTTTGGTGAGGGGTCCTAACAAATGGGGAATAATGAGCTTTCCCTAAGGTGAATGCTGAATGGTATTTGACTCATCTCTGGCAAAACTCCTAAAAACAAAAATAAAAAATCAATGAAAGGAAGTATAATCCTGTGATTATTGCATCAGAAAAAGCCTAGGTTGCCTAGGCTTTTTAGTTCAAAAAGAAAACATGGATACAAGTCACTATTTCCAAACATTTGAAAGAATTTTTAAATCGAGCACGATTTTGCTCTGTGTTACCCCAGGAGAAAGAATTAAAAGCAGCCAAAAAATAAATAGCACTAAAAATTATTGAGAAGCGTAAACATTGAGCTCACAGCGTTGAGCTAAAACTTATGTTGTAATGATATATACATACTTTTAAATCTCTAATCCCAAATGTCATTACCCCTGATTTAATATATGTGCATGTATTAACATGGTCTTGTGATTCTCATTGATTGACTTTTCAAGAAAATATGAAGACAGTTAGAGTAAGCATACTTTGGGAAAATATATAACTTTCTAAGTCCAAACGGGAGAGAGTTTGGGCCCTGGATATCAAGCAGAAGAGAGACTTCCTTAATGGTAATGGTGTGACACACGAGTTCAATGAATTAGTCCAATAACTATTTCAGAATCATTCTATTAAGGGAATACACTCAGTGCCTGGATGTTAAAAGCAAAACAGCCACCCAAAACGATCCATGTGGAGTGAGAGAAACAATGTGGACTCTGTAGAACGGTCAGGAGAATCTTGGCCTTCTTCTAGCATTGTGGGATGAACTATCAGCATGAAAACTTTCCATATTGGTTGGTGCTTCCTAGATTAAAAGCTTTTTATTTTTTACTCCTCACTTTATTTTGTGACACACGTGATAAATGCTTTACATTCCCATATTTCAGATCAGTAGCTTTTGATACTGACAGTAGAGAAATAACTAAATCATCTCAGGTTTTCCATATACCGTGGGACTTTCCAGATTTTGTTAATCTGTTATTACTTCTGTACAACATAAACTCTATGAATGCTTGTTAAATGGATTCATGAATGGGGAGATCCTATCTCAGTCCAGCCCTGAATCTTCTTTCTGCCTTCCTCTGTCATACTCAGAAGCAAAACAAAACTCCTGTCAATCCCACAAAAAGATCTTTTGAGAAATCATATGCTCCTTGAAGGCATGTTGAATTTCTTATGTTATTTGGAACCAGTAACCCTCCAGACACCTCACTCTAGCACTTACACAATAAAGACAATTAGTAGCTATTCCATGCTTAATTACTTAATCAACCCCTCAATATTATATACCAATAATTTAATTTAAAGCAGGGATTCTCACCTTTGGCCATACTGACATTTGAGGCTTGAAGTTTCTTTGTCGTGGGCAGCTACATTTGCTTTTTCTTACTTACACAGCTGACATTTGGTTGCTATAAATATCCCAGTCCATAAATATACAAAGATTTACCACAAATCTAAAGTTTTGCCAAACTATTAGAAAAACTGAGTATCTTTGATTTTGTTTTCATTATGATACCACATATGCTAAAAATATTGGACTGGTGTTAGAAGTCTATTAAACACACATTAAATAAACGTGTATGCTGAAAAACTGGTATTTCAGATATACAAGTGCTATAATAAAGACAAAACCTTCTGCTTTTGAGGCATTCTGCAGTGTACAAATGTATCTTATTTCTCTCATCTCATTGAATCTTTACTGTTATCCTGTTGGGCAGGTGTTGCTATTTCAGAGATGATGGAATGGAAGCCAAGAGCAGTTAAACACCATGTCCAAATTCACAGATAGTAAGAGATGAAACCAGGCCCTGAATTGAACTATTTTTTACTTAAAACTTTATGTTCTTTCTCCTCTAGGAAATGTGTTTATTTGAATCACAGTAATTCAATTTAAAAACAATTGATGGATACAGCAAATACTGAACTAGGAAGCATTTTAAAGTAGATTTTTACAGCCTTGGCTCAAATGCCAACAGCATTACTGCTTTGCAAATTTAAGGATATGCTCTCTCTTAATCACTGGTATTCCCTTTGCTTCCTTTAAAATTTGTAAGGCTTTCATTGTGTTGAGTTAAGAAAAAGAAAAATAAAAGCAGTGAGGTATGGAAGTACCAAGTCGAAACTGAATAATAAATGACATTGTGGGAATACCAAATCCCTCTCTTACAATTCCTTCAGCCCAAGTTTAGAAAGTGCTGCAGTTATTTTAAAAGTTTGGAGTCTCAATTAGTCAACTAATTTATGAAAAGATGCACCTTAAAGGAATTCAACCAATTTCTACTATTTTAATACCACTAGAACTTAATAGGCTTCCCAGGATGATAACATTAAAAGTCTCCATTTATTGCTGTCTGTCATTCTTGCTGTAGTGAGTAAAGAAGAAGCACAACCTTGATAAAGTTGTTGATCTCTGATGATCTATTATTTTTTAACAAGTCTTCATACTTTGTAATATCAGAGCATCTCCCTTACTTCTTCACACATCCAGCCCTTAAAGCTCAGTGACCACAACATACCATCTGCTCCAATAAAATACTGTGCCTTTTATACTTGGGAGGTGAAAGAATTGACTCCTTTAAGACACTCCAGCATCTGACATGAGGTCTCCCATGATACCTCTGATCTTCATTCTGAGGACCGGTGGAAACTATTGCACAAGGGGTGAGAGAGTAGAAAGGAAGTGTAGCAGTTAGATATCACAAAATCCATATCTTGTTTGGGTGGTGTCTTAGTCTACTTTCTGCTGTTATAATGGAATACTACAGACTGGGGAATGTATTAAAAAGAGGTTATTTGGCTTATGATTCTGGAGTCTGGGAAGTCCAAGAGCATAGTGTCAGCATCTGGCAAGGGTTATCTCAAAACAGAAGGCAAAAGGTGGAAGTGAACACACAAGACAGGGAGAAAAAAATGAACTGAACTCATTAGGAACTCACTTCCTCAATAACCACCCGCTCCTGCAATAATGGTATTAATCCATTTATGATGACACAGCCCTCATGATCTAATCACTTCTTTTTAATTTTTTTAATTTTTAAAATTTATTTGATATATTTATTTTTGAGATAGGGTCTCACCCTGTTGCCCAGGCTGGAATGCAGAGGCATGATCACAGCTCACTGCAGCCTTGACCCCCTGGACTCAAGCAATTCTCCTGCCTTGGCCTCTCAACTATCTGGGACTACAGGCACACACCATCACACCTGGTTGATTTTTTTTTTAAAGACAGGGTCTTGCTATGTTGCTCAGGCTGGTCTCAAACTCCTGGGCTCAAGTAATCCTCTCATCTCAGCCTCCCAATATATTGGGATTATAGGTACAAGCCACTAAGACTGGCTCTAATAACCTCTTAAAGTCAACCTATTAGTAACATAATAATGGAAGTGACATTGCATTATGATCACAGGTTTTATTCGCACTCAAAGAGAGGAGACAGTAAGAGGTCATATCAGGGGAAAAGCTTCGGATCCTGTTTTCATGGACCTCAAGACAGATTTTAACAGGCAAAGCAATTAATGTGCGTGTGTATATATATGTATATGTATGTATCTGTGTGTATACACACATATGTGTATATTTGATATATATGTATTCATTCATATATATATATTATATATATATAGTCTACCAATTCACTCACTAGGAGAAACAACACCAAAATACATCATATTGACTAAGAAATGGACTTGGAGATGAAACTCACATTGGTAATAGTTTTTAAAAGCATGTGAATCAGATGCCTGAATTAAGTGCACAAATGCACTACATTTTCCCAGAAAGGAATGAATACTCCATACCGGCACACTAAAGATGGTCAAATTTTAAAAGTGCCTTAGACTCCAATGATATGTTTATAAATCAACACGGGACAACTGACCCATTTCACCCAACAATAACAATAGCCAGAAGACTAAAAAATGAAGTAAAAGCAAAGGGTCTGATTAACAATGAATGCTGTTAAGCATAAAAATTAATAAGAGGAGTAAAAGCAACAATCACAGAGTTTCAAGGGGTTGGCCCACAATCCAATATATGGTATGCCTGTATTTTAAAGTCAGATCAATTTCATTCCACAATTGTATTTTTCTTTCTGCTGTGCAACGCCATCTCCTTAAATGCTTTCACATCCTCTCTAATTATATAAGAACGTGTAGGTATTATTGTGTGATCCTTATTTTATAAGAAGACTCAGGTTAACAAAATTAAAATCATGCCTAATGCCACTTACAACTGGCATAGAACTGGAACACAGAACTACCTGACAATGAAGTCCATCTATTCTCTGTTCAATGCCACTGCCATACTCAAAATCAAGAACATTTTATGTAAAACAACAGATAATCAAAACATGAACCTTGCACCACTTTTTGTACAATATGGTAGAATCCTAGAACCTCAAAGCTGGAGAGTTTTATTATTTCCCCACTAACTCAGCCCTCTACTCAATTCAATAACCGATTAAGAAAACACATTAGCTATTGCTAATTTACTTGAGTGTCTAACCTGGTTGTGGTTACATAGAAGAAAGATCTTATTTCTGAAGTATGCTGAATTATAATATGTGGGAAAACTGTTGTGTTGAATGCAACTTAATTTCAAAAGGTTTAGCAAAAGTGGTACATACACTCACACCAACACACACAGACACACACACACACACACACACACACAGAGACAGGGGAAACAGAGAAAATATTAGTTGTTGAATATCAGTGTTGCGCATCCCAATGTTCATGGTGGTTGTTTTAATTTTGTTAGTATATCACATATTTTCCTAATAGCTCTTTGAGGAAGAATGCTCCAGATATCTTCAATATTTTCACCGAATGTTTTAAAGAGAAACAAATCCCATAGAATGAGAGATAGTTTATTAATGTCAGCATGGGTATTTTGTTGTGGCTTATTTTAAATAAAAGGAGGAAATAGTTTATGTTTCAACCTAATAAGTTATGAGACGTTTCCTGAAACAATATTTATAAAGTCATTTTCTTTTCCAAATGGGAAGACACCCAAAATAAAAAATATTTTGAAAAATATTTTGAAAAGTAATGAATGAAATTATGATGTTTTATAACTTTTTCAGAAGGTACTAACATGTTTTTAGTTTAAAAAGATGATCCCTAAATAACATGGTATGGTCCGAAATGATGTTTCTTTTGTAACCATTCCATTACCTTCTCACTGAAATTTTTATTTTTGCAAATTTTGCCAAGAGTATTATGCAGAACCACTTATTTCATATAAATATTTCCACAGTCTCATTGTAATTTGCAGATAATCTATACAATCATTCAGTGTCTATATACGTTTTATGTTTGATAGTATCACATATTTTACATTTTTATACTGCACTTATGATAAATTTTTCTCTTCTAATATGAGAAGAAATCCAGTCTAATAAAAATGAGACAGAAATAATGGAAGTTAATGAAATCACTTAATGCAGAAGAGGTCAATCGATCGTGCTCAGAGCTTCATCTGAAAGGTCACAATTGTACCTGAAGCTACAATTACCAACTCTATCAATCATCTAATTATTCCTAGAGGAAGTTGCAATTAAAGTATCAAAGATGTTGCAAAACACTTAAAATGTTAAATTTTTATAGTAATTTTCCAGCACACAAGAAAAAGCCACATTTTTAGTACATGCATGGTGGCATGTACATTTTGCACCAGCAATGGTTGCAATTGTATCACTTCTTCCTAGCAAACAGCTGCGTCATTCTTCACAAGATCTTAATCACCAACCCAAGTGCCTTAATCATCCGAAATATTTTTGGACCAGTAAACTGAGTATTTCTACACCTGGTATCTTTTTTATTTTTGCCTGATCAATAGGCTGTGAAGCTGCAGTTCATAAGTTTGTTGCAGATAATACCAAGTTTTCAGTGGTAAAGATGTCTGCAGATTTTCAAAAATGTAAATATAAAACTCCAAGTAGAAAATGGACTATGGATCAGCCATCTGTATAACTAGCTATAAACCAGTATTTCACTTAATTAGTTACCCTCAATTTCCTCATCAATAAGCATGGCTATGAGCATTTGTAATTTTTAAGTGTTTACAAGAATGTGCTTATGTCTTCTGTACATTTCATATTGAAAAAATTTTTTCAAAATGTACTTTTTAAAAATCTTATATTCATGTTTTCATTTTTGATTAGTGATTGTCCCTTCCTGGTGCTTAGAATTTAGTCCTATATAACAATTTCAACATATTTTCATGATGAATTTATTTCAATACTTAGAATGCCACATTTTGAACAATTTTTCTATGACCTAAATACCATCTATGAGTAAAATTTTCTTTCTTTTTGAGGCAGAGTCTTCCTCTGTCACCCAGGCTGGAGTGCAGTGGTGTGATCTCAGCTCAATGCAACCTCTTCCTCCCGGGTTAAAGTGATTCTCATGCCTCAGCCCGCCGAGTAGCTGCGATTACAGGTGCGTGCCACCATGTCTGGCTAATTTTTGTAATTTTAGTAGACACAGAGTTTCACCATGTTGGCCAGGCTGGTCTCAAACTCCCGATCTCAAGTGATTCTCTTGCCTCAGCCTCCCAAAGTGCTGAGATTACAGGCATGAGCCACCATGCCGGGTCCATGAGTAAACTTCTTTTGGAAGAGATACCAGCATTGCATATGTTAAAATATCTTCCTGTTGCCTTGACATACATATGACACTCTAGCTGGGTATAGAATTCCTTAGTCATGCACTATTTCTGCTGAGCTCTAGGTAAGAAGCAGAGTTACCTCATGGTAAGAATGCACCCTCTGGCATCAGAACAACCTGTTTCATATGGCATCTCAGGTTTGTCTCTTCCAATAATAGCTTCATAGAGCCAAGTTCCCATTCAGATATTGAGGCTGTGAAGTTGATATTTTCTAAAGCATTCTTGCATTTCAGAATGTTGCCATATTTTCTTGGGAGCATGAATCCTTTGTTTAGGAGTCTGCATTTTGTGTTTGTTTGTGTTGGCTCATTTTTTCTGTGCATTTGGTTTCACATTAAAAGAACCCTTTCTTGCATGTGGACCTAAGATACATACCTCTGAGTACAGTCATTGATATAGGTTTTGTAACCAGCTGAATAAAACCTTCATGTAATATTGCTCCACTGGACTGAGCAGGGAGATCTTTTTTCTCCCTGCCTTATATTCAAAGAAGAGAAACAGAGGGCACAGTCTCAGGAAGACTATATCCTATACTCATCTCTTTTTAAAGAAAAGAATATACTCCAACTCTCCTCATAGAAGATTTCACATCCAACATTCCTTGAGTCTCTACTGAAGTTTATCTCTGTCTGAAGTTTCTTCATATAACAAATGTGGTCTAGGAACTACCATTCCACATGACACCAGGCAGGGTAGTGCATTGTGAGCTAAGCTTAAGGAAATAAAAAAAAAAAAATCACATTGAACAGGGGGATGCCACCCTCCTTTGCTGACGACAGAGTGAAAAACATAGCTATTTGCATCTTGATTTGTGTTGTTTTCACTTCTCTAGGGAAGGCAAGGCTTTGGGCTTCCCCTAAAACCTTTTCCTGTCTCTCTTGTGATCAGTTTGTGATAACTTATTACAGCAACCCTAGGGAGGGAATACAGATGCCTTTACCCTTTTGCCTTTATTATTCTCTCTTTCTAGACAATTGACTCAGAGAGAGTTCAAGAATCAGTTAAAACATTACTTCTGCTGCAACCACATTTAGCCCCATTGTCAAGGCTTCTCCTTCCTATGTGCTGCTGCAGTTCCTGTCACATAGTCTTATGATTCTTTTTTAACATGGTTGTCACTTTTATCAAAGCATGCAGCCTGTATTCTGGCCCTGTAGAGCTCTTCCTTCCTCATTAAAAAGTGTTTGCAGTCACGTAGAACAGCTGCAATGCTCCTGCACTGCAAAACGGTGTAACCACTTGGGAAGACAGTTTGTCAGTTTCTTATAAAGTGAAATATATATTTGCCATACAACCTAACAATCCCACTCCTACAGGGTTACCAAAGCAAAATGAAAATCTGCACTCCCACAAAAACATGTACACAAATATGGATACCAGCATTAACCACAATTGCCAAAAACTGGAAACAAGCCAAACTTCCATCAACTGGTGAGTGGATAAGAAAACCATGTCATCTCCATACAATAATAAACCACTCAGCAATAAAAAAGAAACAAAAACATAAATGCACACAAAAATATAAACTGCAAATGCACTAAGCTTAGTGAGAGAAATAAAACACTAAAAAATGTATACTATCTAAATTCCATTTATATAAAATTCTGGTAATGAAGAAATCAAACAGGCAAAAATCACAGAGGTAAGAAATGATGAAAGTCAATATTCTTTTTTTGTTTGTTTTTTGTTTTGTTTTTGAGACAGAGTCTCACTGTGTTGCCCAGGCTGGAGTGCAGTGGCTCGACGTTGGCTCACTGCAACCTCCGCCTCCCAGGTTCAAGCTATTCTCGTGCCTCAGTCTCCTGAGTAGCTGCAATTACAGGCGCCTGCCACCACGCCTGGCCAATTTTTTTCTTTTTGTATTTTTAGTAGAGACGGGGTTTCAGCATGTTGGCCAGGTTGGTCTCGAACTCCTGACCTCAGGTGATCCACCTGCCTCAGCCTCCCAGAGTGCTGGGATTACATGTATGAGCCACCGCGCCCGGCTGAGGGTCAATATTCTTCACACCAAAGTGAAAACATGAGATCCAACTCTGAGTTCACCCTGTTGCCAGATGGATAGCACCAGCACACTCACATTGAAGGTATTACCAGAGCAAGGGATGTAGTTCTGATTAAAAAAAAGGAAAAAAGAAATCACAGATGTAGTTTCCTGGGACTGGCGATTGGGGATGGAGATTGGCTGCAAAGAGGATTTGAGTACACAAATACTTTAGGGAATAAAGACCGCTTAACATCTTAACTGTGGTGGTCTTGAAATGATTACAGGCAATTGCCAAAATCACTGCACAACACACTTAAAATGGGTGAATCTTATTGCAAATGAATTTGACTTCAACATAGCTGGAAGAGAAAAACCAAAAGAAAAAGTATCCAGGAAGCATTTTCTTCCTTCAAAATCATCTTATTCTCTACTGGTTTAAAGTTACTATGATAAGCCTATTTTCTGCCTGATAAACATCAGATTGTTTTTTACCTTTTCAAACTTTTATTTTAGGTTCAGGAGTACATGTGAAGGTTTGTTACATAACTGAACTCATGTCATGGGGGTTTAATGTACAGATTATTATCACATCACCCAGGTATACCCAATAGTTATCTTTTCTGGTCCTCTCCATCCTCCCACCCTCCACCTTCAAGTAGATACCACTGTCTGTTGTTCCCTTCTTTTTGTTCATGAGTTCTCATCACTTAGCTCCCACTTATAAGTGAGAACATGAGGTATTTGGTTTTCTGTTCCTGTATTAGTTTGCTAAGGATTATGGCCTCCATCTCCATCCATGTTTCTGCAAAAAAAAAAAAAAAAAAAAAAAAAAAAAAAAATCTTGTTCTTTTTTATGGCTGCATAATATTTCATCATGTAGCCTATTTTTATTAATAAGTTGTATGCTAGCTGATAGATAATTTTAAAAGAGGCTTCTTGTATCAGTCTGTTTTCACACTGCTATGAAAAAATACCTGAGACTGGGTAATTTATAAAGGAAAGAGGTTTAATTGGTTCACAGTTCTGCATAGCTGGGAAGGCCTCAGGAAGCTTGCAATCATTGCAGAAGATGAACAGGCATGTCTTACATGGCAGCAGATGAGATAGAGAATGCATGCATAGGAGGAACTGTCAAACACTTATAAAACCATCAGACCGTATGAGAACCCCCTCACTATCATGAGAACAGCATGGGGAAAACCACTCCCATGATTAAATTACCTCCTGCCAGGTCCCACCCTTGACACATGGAGATTATGGGGATTACAATTCAGGATGAGATTTGGGTGGAGACACAGAGCATAGCCATATCACTTCTGGAAATGCTTTTCTTTCATTTATATAAGGTTTCCTAAATGAACCAAACTGCAACCAGACAGCCACGTAACATAGGCTATGCCCTCTGACACTCGGAATCACATCCTCTGCAATGATGTTGTGTCTAATCTGAGGCAGAAAGCATTTCGTCTCAACATCAACTATGATGTCAGCTTTGGGTTTTTAATAAATGCCTTAAAGCAGGTTGAGAAAATTAAAAATAATTATAGAAGGAAGGAAGGAAGGAAGGAAATAATCAAAAGAGAAAGAAAGAAGAAGAAAGAAAGAAAGAAAAAGAAAAAGAAAGAAAGAAAGAAAAAGAAAGAAAGAAAAAGAAGAAAGAAAGAAAGAGAGAGAGAAAGAAAGAAGAAAGAAAGAAAGAAAGAAAGAAAGAAAGAAAAGAAAGAAAGAAAGAAAGAAAGAAAGAAAGAAAGAAAGAAAGAAAGAAAGAAAGAAAGAAGAGAGAAAGAGAGAGGGGGGAGGGAGGGAGGGAGGGAGGAAGGAAGGGAGGAGAAAGACTATCCAAAGATAACTTCTGCTAATACTTTAGTCTGTTATATACTTCCAGTAATTTTTCACTGTCTATGTATATAGTGACGTGTTCTATACATCCCAAGTGTACAAACTTGAGAAAGTTTTTGGTTTTTAAACTTTTATTATAGGTTCAGGGGGTACATGTGCACGTTTGTTATATAGGTAATTTGCATGTCATGAGGGTTTGGTGTACAAATTATTTTATCACCCAGGTAGTAAGCGTAGTACCCAATAGGCAGTTTTTTTATTCTCCCCCTCCTCCCACCCTCCACCCTCAAGTAGTCCCCTGTGTCTATTGTTCCCTTCTTTGTGTCCACGTGTACTCAATTTCTAGCTCCCACAGATAAGTGAGAACAATGCGGTATTTGGTTTTCTGATCCTGCATTAGTTTCGAAAACATTTTAAATCACGTCATGACTTGGTTTTCACATCTGTTAGATGGAAATGGTATTAGGACTTGCTGTACCATTAACAAGGGTAGGAAAGGTTTATGGCCATGCCCTCTTGAATGTTGTTTCTGCGTCTATGCTTAGATTTGGGAGATCTCAGGCAGCTGGAACACAGGAGATAATTTTTCCATTGTAAAGTAGGACAGAAATTACGGATGAATGAACCAGAACGTCAAATGCCTCCTCATAAATAATAGTTTAGGGCATCTGATGCCAGTCAAGGCTGACAGAAAAAATTAAGTAAATGTAAAAGTGGAGTTCATTTCAAATCCTGAGGGATTGTAAGATGAAAGGCAACACACTAATCTCCATTCTTTTGAAACCAGACTCAAAAAACCTTTTGTAAAATGAAAATAATTAAGCCAGTAGAAAGATGTTTTTCTCCGCTCCAAAAACAGGCCTCCCATTCCCACTGGGTAGTAAACCTGGTCACATTTCAGCCACCTGACACACAGCTTCAAACGGGAAAGAAAGAAAAATCGCCTGCCGTTCTAGGCACTAAGGAGGGGAGCTTTCTTCTGACTGAAAAGATAACACCTGTCTTCATCAAGTTTTAATCAAGTTGCAGAAATAGCATGGCAGGCTCCTAAGATGTTCAAAGGAAATGAAGAAGAAAGCATACACAATTGTCTATTAGGTTGGTGCAAAAGTAATGGCAAAAGCCGCTATTACTTTTGCACCAACCTAATAGTTAGAGGTCAGAATCTCTTTTTAGAAAGCCATCAGCAGGTCTATCTTCAAGTATTTATCCTCTAAGTGGAATTAGATCAGCTTGAAAGAGTTCTGCATCCTCAAGGCCATGTGATTGAGTCCAGGCATGTCCAAAACCTGACTGTCATTCTGCAAAAGTAGGCAGGTGTCTGTCAGTGGACAAGAGTGAACTCTAACCGTCATGTTTAACACTGTCCCACACACTCTGAGGAGGCTCTTCTGGGAACTTGTGGCAGTGCAGAATGACAAACACACTGAGATGAAAACCTTTCAGAAGCATGGGACAAGGCAGATTGGAGTCAGTTTGTCAGAGGCACAAAGATAAAAGCAATAAGCAAAGAAATGGCTAATAAATAGGTTTCTAAGAAATATACAGCTTCTTTTTATAATTTCAACTTTTATTTTAGATTCAGGGAGGGTACATGTGCAGGTTTGTCACATGAGTATATTGCATGACACTAATGTTTGGAGTACAATTAATCCCGTTACCAAGGTAGTGAGCATAGTACCCAATAGGTGGTTTTTCAGCCCTCACCCTTCTCCCTCTGTCCCATTTCTTGCAGTCCCCGGTGTCTAATATTCTCATCTTTGTTTCCATGTGTACTCAATGATTAGCTCCCACTTATAAATGAGAATGTGCAGTGTTTGGTTTTCTGTTCCTGCACTAATTCACTTAGGATAATGACCTCCAGCTGCATCCATGTTGATGCAAATGACATGATCTCTTTCTTTTTTATGGCTGTGTAGTATTCCATGGTAATATGCAACCATTTTTAATAGTGAAAGGAAATTATATCAAAGCAATGACTTGTTGTTTTGTCCTATCTGACAAAAACAAATGAAAAGAGACTAACAATCTGTTTTGGTCAGGAGTTAGAGAAATGGTGATTCGAGCACCAATTTAAATTATTTTTAATGAAAACGACATTATCTGTTAAACTTTGATAAGTAAACCTGTGAACCAGCGGTCTAGCCTCTAAGACTTGTTCTGTAAGATCAGAAGAATAGTTTTATGCCATAACATATGGATGAGAAAAGGTCTTAATATGTGCAACATGCTTGACACATTATGGAAGCCCAATAAATATCTATCCCATATCCCTTTTACACCTTTCTCTTAATCTATATGATGCTTAGCTATCCTTAGAGTCAGGTTTAGATGTATGACATCCAAGGAGGAGTGTCCCTCAAATACCTCAGGGTCAAGGGAGGCCATGAACAAGTACTGCATATTTATAGCCTCTTATTTCCTTTGTTGGGTGTCTTATAAAAGCTCATATCTTGGAGTATGGACCAGATTATCAAATGTGTGGCATTTTATGGCATGCATTTTGTGGTTTTTGTCCCCATATCGAACATTCCTAAACTTATTTTCCTGTTTTATCTTTTGTACTTATTTAATATCTATTGCTAGAGTTGCCCCAAAATTATCCACTGAGAAAAGGAGTCTGTATATTACTTAAGTCTCAAAAACACTGACATTAGAAATTTATTGATGAGATACCTATAAGTATCTTTGATACCTTTGTTTTTTAACTAATCCAAACTAGTAGAGATGTTAAGACTTGAACCTCTATATTTTAAAGTTAGCATTTTTAAACCATCGTTTTAAAAGGTGCAATTAATTTATCCAACTTTGTCATGGTTTAGACACCTCCATAATAAAAGAAAAAAATTCACAATTTTGACGTCTTCTATATCCTATGAAAAATGGTGACTTACTGACCTTTTCAAACAGCTATATTTTGATTGCACTAACATATTTCAAAGAGGCAGTTTGCAGCAAACAGCAGATTCCCTGTAATATCCTACCTCCAAGAAGTTTTTTTTTTTAATGTCTTAATCTCAGGTTTGCAATAAATGAAAGGTCCCAGCCACAATGCAACAGGCTACTGGAAAAGTCAGGAAAGCACATTATCATATCTCAAAAGCTAAGTGCTTGGAGCATTTCCGTTATCATTTTAAGAAAACACAACATCACATTGATGATTCCAAACTGCCAAACTTATGGCTGAAAATGTAGAAACATCGACCTGAATTTACTTGTTTAAATAAATGTCTTTCTTCTGCAGGAAGTTCCATGGTCTGAACCCAAGAGCACACAACCAATCTGCAAAGGGCACAGTTGAGAAATCACAGATTACAGTTAGGCACAGCTTTGGGGCACAGTCCTTCCTCAAGACTCTGTTACTCAGGGACATCATCACAGGTGTCACAAGTGCCTGGCACATGGTGGGAGAAAGTCACCTGGGCAGACGCATTGTATATCACTCTGGGAACCACGTAAAATAAAAGAACCTAACATAGCCTGTATTGGTTTCCTGGGTTTGCTGAAAAAAAGTAGGGGGCTTATAACAAAAGAGATGGATTTTCTCCCAATTCTGGCGTCCAGAAGTCTGAAATGAAGATGTCGGCAGGGCCACACTCCCTCCAGGGGTTCCAGGGGAGGACCTTTCTTGCCTCTCCCAGCTCCTGATGGCTCCAGGAATCCCTGGGCTTGTGGCTGCATCACTCCAGTGTCTGCCTCCATCTCCATGGAGATGGCCTTCTCCTCTGCGTCTGTGTCTCCTCTTCTGTCTCTTATAAGAATAATTTTCACTGGATTTATGACCTACATGAATAATTCAGGATGATCTCATCTCAAGATCCTTCCCTTAGCTACATCTGCAAACATGTTGTTTTCAAATAAGATCCCATTCACTGGTTCTGGGGATGAGGACATCCACAGTTCCTTTGGGAGCCACAGTTCAATCCATTAAAGTTGTGTCCACTTCCTTCTTGTGGCTCTAGGGGAGGATCCTTCCTGCCTCTCCCAGCTCCTGGTGGTTCCAGGCATCCCTGGGCTTGTAGCTGTAACACTCCAGTCTCTGTCTCTGTCTCCACCTGGCCTTCTCCTCTGTGTCTGCATATCCTCTTCTGTCTTTGAGAAGGATACTTCTTGCATTTAGGGCCTTCCTTCCTCCAAGATAATCTCATCTCGAGAGCCTTAACTAATTATATCTGCAAAGACTCTATTTCCAAATAAGGTCCCATGCACAGATTCTGCGGTTTAGATGTGAACCCATCTTTTGGAGGTCACCATTCAATCTCTTACGATTGTATCCAGTTCTCTCTGGAGGCTCTAGGGAGGAATCCTTCCTGCCTCTCCCAGCTCCTGGTGGCTCCAGGCATCCCTGGGCTTGTGGAGGCATCATTTCAGTCTCTGTCTGTCTCCACGTGGCCTTCTCCTCTGTGTCTGTGTCTCCTTTTCTGTCTCTTAGAAGGATACCTGTCATTGCATTTAGGGCCCTTCCTCCTCCAGGATGATCTCATCTTGAGATCCTTATCTTAATTATATCTGCAAAGACCCTTTTTCCAAATATAAGGCCCTGTTCCCAAGTTCCAAGATGTGGATATATTCTGGGGAGCCATCGTTCAGCCAACTACATGGACCAAGATCAAGGCCACCTGGGCATAGTGGCACATGCCTGTAATCCCAACAACTTGGAAGGCTGAGGTGGGAGAATCACTTGAGTCCAGGAGTTTGAGGCCAGCCTGGATAACACAGTGAGATACCATCTCTACAAAAAAATTAGCCAGGCATGGTCACGCATGCCTGTGGTCCCAGCTACCTGGAAGGCTGAGGTGGGAGGATTGCTTGAGCCTAGGAGATAGAGGCTGCAGTGAGCTATGATCATACCACTGCATTCCAGCCTGGGTGATAAAGCGAGACCCGGTGTCCAAAAAAAAAAAAAAGAAAAAGAAAAAGAAAAACAAACAAACAAAAAAATCAAAGCCAAATTACTAGAACTTTCTCTCCCCTTAACCTCCCCTGTGAGCGTGAGCTTGGTTTCACCATGGCCACATGGCCATATTATCTATCCATCTATTATATATTCTATCCATTCATCTATCCAAGCCTCATTTTCCTCTATAAAATAGGAGGCTTGGGCCAACCAATGACAATGGCTCTTTCTAGCTCCAGGTTTAGTTTTTTTCTGTTTCCACATTGCCTTCACAGAATCTTTATAACTAGAATTGCCATATAAGCAATGGTCATTGGCAGTGATTGATTATACACTTAACTCAGTGATAGATGCTCGTATATACCACACTTGTTCAGATGTGCAACTGTAGAAGTCTGAACATTCATCAACACAGATGCATCATCATTTAAAACAAACACCAAATTTCTGGAAAGATAAATTAATCAACAACAAATGTCGAATTAGAAGTCTACTTACTCATTGACTTTAGGTATGAAACTCTTGTTTCAGCTTACCCATCTATGCAATGAAACCAACTCTCCTATGTTCATTATAGGAATGTTCTGAGGAACAAGGCAGAATTTCTTTGCAAAGCAATATATTGTCTTTACATATTTATACTGTCTACATGTGTATGTATATACATCTTCACATTGGTTTTGGTGAATTTTATCTGTTTACTTGACTGGACTAGGTGGTGTCGATATGAAACATTATTTCTGGGTGTGTCTGTGAGAGTGTTTCCAGATGTGATACGCATCTGAATTTGTGAGCTCAGCAAAGCTGACTGTCCTCCCCAAAGTGAGCAGGCATTATTAAATCCACCGAGTGCCTGAATAGAACAAAAAGGTAGAGAAGAAAGAGAAACTTGCCCCCATTTTTTCTGGTCTCACTGTTGGAGCTGGGACAGTTCATCTTATCTCTGGGTCTTCAGCTTCCAGACAAACATCATGGGACTACTCAGCCTTCATAATCTCTTGAGCTCATTCCTCATAATATCCCTCGACAGATAGATAGACAGACACATGGTTAAGAAATAGATAGAAAACAAGATAGATGATAGATAGATAGATAGATAGATAGATAGATAGATAGATAGACAGACAGATGATAGAGACATAGATGGATATAACAGAGATAGAGATATTCCTTGATGTATAAAGAAGATATCTATCCATCTATCATCCTCTCACCCTGTCTATCATCTAATATCTATCACCCGTGTGTCATCTATCAATCTATCTATTATCGATTATCTAACCGTTATCTATGTATCTATCATCTATCTATTATGCATCCATTTATTATCTATTGTCTATTATCTATCTATCTATCCAGACAACAACCATTTTTTATCCATATCCATCCAGCCAACAACCATATCTATCCAGCCAACAACCCATTTTTTATCTATTTAACATCTATCATCTATCTATCTATCATCTATTATCTCCTAGGCATGGACACATCTCCTAGTTACATGAGCCTTGATATATCTACTTAATGCTATAGATATTGTCAGTTATGATGACAGTGATGAGGACGATGATGGAATTGGAGTGAAGAAATTAAACCTCAGCCATGAGTATGGTTTTCAAAGAATATTATTTATCTATTTATTATATATTATATCCATTCATCTATTGAATTTATTCATCATCTATCTATTTGTCTATCACCTATCTATTTATCTATCTATCTATCTATCTATCTAACTATCCATCTCCTATTGGTTCTGTTTCTCTGAAAAACTCTGTCTAATGCAACATTCCTAATACTATCTTTACTTTGTGTAGACTTTTCCTTTTTTACTCATATGTGTAAGTGGTATTTTAACAGTAGATAATGCAAGGATTCAATGAGTCAGTAAATCAAGGAGTTTTGAGGGGAGTACAGAGAAGGGGAATGATTCTCTCATCATGAGTTCCACCAAGTCACAGACATCATCACTTGGCTGATTATAAATGAATGTCAAGATGCAGAGAAGTGATATGACCACTTCTGAGGTTGGCTGGAAATAGCTTGTTACTAATCAGGAAATGTCAAATTCTGTGAAAAAATTTGTTTCAATAAATTCAAGTGGGCTTCAGGTTTTATCCCTCATTATGCCATTCCCACTCATGTGCTTTCTCCCAGGCTTTTCTGAACAGGAGAGAAATCTCATTGAATATAGCACACATATGCGTGCTGCAGCCCAGATGGTTTGGGAGGCCTCTCCCATAATTATGGGTTGCAACAAAAACAAGAATAAGTATCGTGATGAGGATATGGAAAATGACTGAACAGTCAAGTATGAATGAATCAACAGTCACAAATCTGTGGCACCCTAAGTAATCTATCTATCTTTAGTATCATCAATCTACTATGTATCAATCTATCATCTATCTATAATTTATATATCTATATATTATCTATCATCTATATATGGATAGATGGATAAGGGGTAAGTGACCCCTCCTCTTCCTGTCACTAAACCCCAAAATTATTTTGGGGTTCATATAATGTAGATATAATTTAACCAAAACATTGGCTTGTAAACCTAATAATAGAAGCCCACAACTTCTTATTAACCCAGAAAGTATGCAAGAACTGCTCATTCATGCCCCCATATTTAACAATCTGACTCCTTCAACTTGTAAAAAAAAAAAAATAGAAGTAATTCATTGGCCTTAGGAGTCAAAGGTATTGGTGCAACTGCAAATAAAAGTAATAAATATATTTTCCTCCTTTACATTAATTTTATGCTTACCAGCACAACTTTTAAGAAAACAGGGAGCCATGTCATCCTAGCAAGGTGGATTAATTACCTGAAGAACTTGGGGAAAAAAAAACTTCTTGATGCCAATCCATAAATATTGACTCATTGTTTTGGAAACCACACTCACGGTTGAGGTTTGATTTCTTCAGTTTAATTCCATCATCATCCTCATCACTGTCATCATAGCTGAGAATTTCTACAGCATTAAATAGATCTACCAAGGCTCATGTAACTAGGAGATGTGTCCATGCCTTAGCAGTCAGCTCTGGCAAAGTTTGAAGCCCTCAACAGAATCCCAACCAACCATCACTTAATAAAATCATTTCCTGTAAATGCTAATTTTTCTTTGCCATTGATTTTGTCTCTTTGTTTTATCTGTTCTTAAATTGAGAAGTGCTAACATTGGGTCTAACATCCCATGAACCTATGATTCTAAAGCTATAATATTTTGGGGGCATCCTCTTGCTGCTGTTCTATTGTCTGGGTACTCAGCAATCCCTGCCTTAGAAATGGCAGTATTGCTGCTGTTTTTCTACCTTTGCATTACTTTGATCCTTAAGATGTTTAATAACTCAGCAACACCATTCTCTACCTTTACTTTCTCAAGTGGACATATTTCTCTCTCTCTCCCTCTATCCCTTTGTTCCTCCCTCCCTCTCTTCCTCCCACCCTCCCTTCATTCTTCTTTCTCTTTTTTTTTCTTTCTTTCCTCTCTCTCATTCTCGTTACCTTCTTCCCTCTGTCACTCCCTCTCCCCCTGCCCCTGTTCTCCTCTCTGCTCTCTCTCCCTCTCCTATCTTCCTCCCTCTTTCTTCCTCCCACCCTCCTATCTTCCCTCTTTCTTTCTCCCTCTCTTTCTCTTTCCACTCTCTCTTTCTTCCACCCATGTATATAGCCTTACTAATATAAATTATGTCCATCTCATACTCACAAAGCTTACAATGACAGCCTTCCTAAATTGAAGCCATGACCATCATAGAACTTCTCCTAAAATCCTTCTTCATGTGCCCAGGGTCACCCTGGCATAAACCTTCACTAGAAGCTAACCATGGACACCTTCAGGCTTTATTTTCCACTGTGTTTCCTGCACTGTATTCACTTTTTAACTCAACTTGGTGCTCAGACATATTTTCTTGTGTTATTCTCAGGCCTTTGCTGAAAACATTAGGCCAGATCATCTCTTCCTCATGCAAATACATATATTTGCAGCATTCAATTATCACATAAACATACATTGTGTTGCTCAGTTATTTAAGTAATGCTTCTGCTCATATTTTACTCCTTTTAATGGCAGATCAGAATCTTATTGTTCACTCCATAAGACATCAAAGAGTACTGAGGCTATAGTGAAACTCAACACATAATTTAGAAATCAAATTGAATGGCAATTAGGTATGAAAAATAATTTTTAAGGTGACCAACTCCCTTGTTTTTAAACACAAATTTCAAATCATCTGTTTTGTGCACGCTTTGTCACTCCACTGAAAACATTCCCATGGGAAATTAACTAAGCCTGTTTATTATGAAATTAGAGTCTTGGAAAACCTAAAGAGTTATATTTTTCATGCTACTAATGATCTATAATTAAAGTTCTCCCTGCTTACATAAAAAAATTCCTTATAATTACAACAGTGTCTGCCTCATTATCTTATTATTCTCTTCCATTTCTTCTATGATAAATCATGTCTCAATATACTTACATACCTCTGATCACCAATTAAGCCTTCCCCAATTCTATGGAATTAACCCAGAACCTAAAATAATAGCCTACTAATGATAAAAACATAAAAGTTTTACATTAATTATAAAATACTGCTTTCTGTAACGATCCATTAAACAAGGAAGAAAATTAAAAATATCCTATGTGATTCCATCATGGCATTTAAATCTAGATTCAGAGTTCAATAGCATTTAAGGTAACCCATGAGAGAAGCAATATTCAAAGGGATACCTTATTTATTCAACATTTGTTGAACCCTAAGATGAGGGAGATATGACATCCCCTTAAATTACTAAAAGCAGCTAACATGGCATTTGCTGACCTGCGCTAAGTGAATGAACCCTCTTGTTAAGGTAAGTATCCCAAGGAAAATCAGAAAGATTTTTGGGTGGATAATTGTTCCAGGATTATTCTGTAAAACTGCAGGGAAAAATGAAGACAGGATCATCTATAAAAAATAAAATGAGATAAATAAAATGTGTCTGTCAACACGCACATGCATGTTTATAGCAACACATTTACAATTTCAAAGATATGGAACCAACCTAAGTGCCCATTGACCAACAAGTGGATAAAGAAAATGTGGTATACATACACCATGGAATACTAAGCACCCATAAAAAAGAATGAAATCATGTAATTTTGATTGAGCAATTTGGATGGAGCCAGAGGCCATTATTCTAAGGGAGGTAACTCCAAAATGGAAAACCAAATATTATATGTTCTCACTTATAAATGAGAGGTAAGTGACAAGGATGGAGCCACCAACTAATCTAAGATTATTTGTAACTCAATATTTTGTGGAGCACTAGCTGACAATTTTGTTTTCCTGTCATGAGAAAGATTTTCACCCAGACTCATGGTAGAATCGTTTCCATTGTCTCCCTGGAACTATTGTTGGGGATACCCATTAGATCAGGGAAACTGAGGAACGAAGATGCCTCAAGAAGGTGAAGTGGTCCAGGCACGGTGGCTCACGCCTGTAATCCCAACACTTCGGGAGGCCGAGGTGGGTGGATCATTTGAGTTCAGGAGTTCGAGACCAGCCTGACCAACATGGTGAAACCCTGTCTCTACTAAAAATACAAAAATTAGCCAGACTTGGTGGCACATACCTGTGGTCCCAGATACTCAACAGGCTGAGGCAGGAGAATTGCTTGAACCTGGGAGGCAGAGATTGCAGTGAGCTGAGATCCTGCCACTGCACTCCAGCCTGGGCAACAGATTGAGACTCCACCTCAAAAAAAAAAAAAAGTGAAGTGGATTACAAGGTCAAAGGCTACATTGGGGCCAAGCAAGATGAGGATGGAGAACCATGGTCCTTTGACTTGGCCACCTTTAGGTCATTCTTTGACTTAGCCACAGAGATTCCCTTTCAGGGGCTGGAATTCAGGCTGAACAGGGCTAAAGAATGATTAAGACATCATCTTTAGCCTGAACTGAGGTCAGGGAACACGTATATTGCTATTCCTAGGAGTGGATCAGGGGAACAGAGATGCACCAAGACCCTGGTGCATTCTTCAGTGTCATCATGAAGAGACTTCCAAGCCCAGAACATCTAGCTGAGAGCATCCAGGCTTAGGGTTGAATTTTAGAAACATTTGTGGTCAGTAGATTTCATCTGAAACACTGAAGTTCTGTGGTTTATTCATGTCTTACTACAAGCATACATCTTTTTTTAACATTGTACAAGTGTGAAATATTCTGATTTCAAGTATTTGGTTTTTTAAAAGAACGTTCTTATTTTTTTTAAAGAAATCTGAAATATTTAGGAGTAGAAGGGTACAATTATCTGACTTATTCTCAGATGGTTGTGAAGAAATTGCGTGTGTGTGTGTGTGTGTGTGTGTGTGTGTGTGTGTGTGTGTGGGGTGCAGAGAGAGAATGAATTATAAAACAACCCAGACAAAATATAGACATGGACAAATCTGCAGAAAAGCATGTAGCGTTTCCCCATACTGTTCTTGCCACTCTTACTGTCAGTTTAAAATTTTATCCAGATCAACAGTTACAACAAAACCCTAGCAACTGTTTTGTGAGCATCCACCTCATTTAAAAGTTTCAGTACATTTCATTTATTGGGAACGCCACAGAGAGAATGATTGCATTGTGTGAATGCCTTGATTTATCGGAATATTTTGGGCTTCAAAAATGTAGGATTCTGTAAGCATCAAAGCCAAAGTGTGCTTTAAAATCTGTGCTTTGTGATATCTTAGTCTACATTTCAGGAAGAAATATTTGCAGAAATATACAGGTTTATCTCCAAAGAATATTTATCCCATATCTTAAAACAAACTACTGCTCTTAAAATGAGCAATAGACATTTTGGTAATTCAGTATTATAAAAAAGGGAAATACTTACTAGAGATGTGAAGGACCTCTCCAAGGAAAACTACAAACCACTGCTCAAGGAAATAAGAGAGGACACAAACAAATGGAAAAATATTTCATGCTCATGGACAGGAAGAAGCAATGTCGCGAAAATAGTCATACTGCCCAAAGTAATTTATAGATTCACTGCTATTCCCATCAAGCTACCATTGACTTTCTTCACAGAACTAGAAAACACTACTTTAAATTTCATATGGAACCAAAAAAGAGCCCATATAGCCAAGACAATCCTAAGCAAAAAGAACAAAGCTGGAGGTATCACGTTACCTGACTTCAAACTATACTACAAGGCTACAGTAACCAAAACAGCATGGTACTGGTACCAAAACAGATATATAGACCAATGGAACAGAACAGAGTCCTCAGAAATAACACCACACATCTACAATAATCCGATCTTTGACAAACCTGACAAAAACAAGCAATGGGGAAAGGATTCCCTTTTTAATAAATGAGGTTGGGAAAACTGGCTAGCCATAGGCAGAAAACTGAAACTGGACCCCTTCCTTACACCTTATTCAAAAATTAACTCAAGATGGATTAAGGACTTAACTGTAAGACCTAAAACTATAAGAACCCTAGAAAAACCTAGGCAAGACCAATCAGGACATAGGCATGGGCAAAGACTTCATGACTAAAACACCAAAAGCAATTGCAACATAAGTCAAAATTGACAAACAGGATCTATTAGACTAAAGAGTTTCTGCACAGCAAAAGAAACTATCATCAGAGTGAACCGACAACCTACAGAATGGGAGAAAATTTTTGCAATCTATCCATCTGACAAAGGGCTAATATCCAGAATCTATAAGTAACTTAAACAAATTTACAAGAAAAAAACAACTCCATGAAAAAGTGGGCGAAGGACATGAACAGACATTTCTCAAAAGAAGACATTTATGTGGCCAACAAACATATGAAAAAAAGCTCATCATCACTGGTCATTAGAGAAATGCAAATCAAAACCACAATGAGATATCATCTCATGTCAGTTAGAATGGCGATCATTAAAAAGTCAGGAATCAACAGATGCTGGAGAGGATGTGGAGAAATAAGAAGCTTTTACACTGTGGGAGTGTAAATTAGTTCAACCATTGTGGAAGACAGTGTGGTGATTCCTCAAGGATCTAGAACTAGAAATACCATTTGACCCAGTAATCCCATTACTGGGTATATACCCAAAGGATTATAAATCATTCTACTACAAAGACACACGCACACATATGTTTATGCAGCACATTTACAATAGCAAAGACTAGGAACTAACCCAAATGCCCATTAATGACAGACTGGATAAAGAAAATGTGGCACATAGACACCATGGAATACTATGCAGCCATAAAAAAAGAATGAGTTCATGTTCTTTTCAGGGACATGGATGAAGCTGGAAATCATCATTCTCAGCAAAGTAACACAGGAACAGAAAACCAAACACTGCATGTTCTCACTCATAAGTGGGAGTTGAACAATGAGAACACATGGACACAGAGAGGGGAACAGCACACACCGGGGCCTGTCAGGGGGTGGAGGGCAAAGGGCAGGATAGCATTAGGAGAAATACCTAACGTAGATGACGGGTTGATGGGTGCAGCAAACCACCATGGCACGTGTATACCTATGTAACAAACTTGCACGTTCTGCACATGTATCCCAGAACTTAAAGTATAATTTAAAAAGGGAAATAAATATAAAAAGAACTCTATGAAACTGCCCATTAATAATAAATGCCATTTTCCTAAAAAGAGAAGTTTCATTTTATTTCCATTAAGACCATTTAAAGAGAAATAATTTTCAATATAAATTTCTAATTTCCCCAAGGTTCAGTTTTCTTATATTTTTCTTTCCATGTGAAATATTCTTGTGCTATGTTCTTTCCTCCTCCTCCTCTTCTTCTTCTTTTCCTCTTCCTCCTCCTCTTCCCCATCCTCTTCCTCCTGCTTCTCCTCTTCCTCTTTCTCCTTCTTCTTTTAATTCTGTGAGTAGAAGTAGCCGTTCTAACCCAGAGAAACTTACAGTGCCTATATAATGACTTTGTAGCTTTTACCATACACCAAATAATATAGCCTATAACTAATTTTCTTTTTTTTCCAAGTGCAGCTTACTTTTCTGATGTAGAAAATACTTTTTGGAGAGAGTTTCAAAGAGCATTTTAACACATTAAAAATTTCAAATCCAGTTTCCACATTCAGAAGAGCCTAGGCAACTGTAATACACTAAATCATGCTCTCTTATTTTGGGCAATAGCCAGCTTGCCCCCCTCCAAAAAAAAGTGGAAGGGGGTAATACTTTTGATATCTAAGTGTCTAAATTCCAGTAAATAGAGTACAATTTGCCAAACTTTTGCTGTCCAGAAATTTTCTTTTTGTTCAGAGCTTCAGCCTATAGATAAAGTAATGTTTTATGCCTTTTCTCACCTATAAAATTCTAGAAATTAGCCTTTCTCGGTTATTTCCCGCTATATCTGTGCAAGTTGTCACTGATAAAATATCCATCTGACTTTGAAATTTGGCCCTAGGTCCTGGAGTCACTGGGAGAACTGAGGCATCATATTAATAACCAGACGCACATTCAATATAAGATGGTAAGTCTCAGGCCAAGTCTTTCCTGCTCAATTCTCTGGCATTGCCTGAAGCCAAAGTGTCTTTAATGCTGACAACTGCACTCAGATTTACTTTTTCATCCTTCCAATTCTCTAGCAAGTCTTGCAAAAAAGCCTTGCTCAGATACATGCATATTTTTTCCAGCCTATATGTGACATTTAGGCAATTGGAACTGGCTGAACGTGAGACACCAATTGTACATTTAGAAAAACATACATGTCCAGAAAGTTAGAAACTAATTCTTTGGAGACAGTTTCTCTTGAGCAAATTCCATTCCTTTCCTTTCCTGGACCCAGATTTCTTCATTACAGATATAGGTTGCTACAAGGTAGCATCAGTTGGAGCTGTTCTGCTTATAAAGGGTGAAACACTGTGTCCTACACAGGAGCATGGTGTGACTTCCTGGGAAGGAGTCTTCCATGACCAACAGAACTATCTCACAACTACACAAACGTGAAGAGCTACTAAAAACTACACCAGTCAGCATTAGACTAGTAAGAGAATCACAGCTTGTTTTCAAAAGAAAAGGAGAAAAAGATGGCTTTGCTCATCTGAAGACATTAGGGGATCCAGAAGCGAAGTTCTTTCGAAAAATATTTCCATTTCTCTTTTTTTTTTTTTAATTCCCCAAAAGTTTCAGCCTAGGTTTCTGAGAAAAGACCTCAGACCTCTGAGAACAGAACTCTGTCTTTAGGAAAATAGCATGTATTGTGAAAGGGCAATTGAATAGAATTATTTTCATATTTATTGCCATTTTTTGTCAGTGGTGATGAGGGTGTGATCATAACTGCTCCATTCCCATGCTGCCAAAAACTACACAGTCAAAGAAAGTGAGTTAAGACACAAATACAGAATCCTAGAGAAACAAAACCTCTTCCTCTTTCTGCAGCAAGAAAATATGCATTGTGAAAATTAAATGAGGAAAAGCGTGTTACAAGCCAGCACTGGGCTATGAATGCTGTCCTGCCTGGATCCTACTTAATGCCAACAGCTAGATTTGTTACGGAAACACCAGGGGTTTGGTCTAGGTCCTGCTGCTTGCCACACAGAAAGCCACAAGGAGTATTGCCAGGGACGAAGGCTTTAATTGGGTGCTGCAGCTGAGGAGATGCGGGCTCAGTCTCAAATCCACCTCCCTGACTGACTAAAACTAGGGGGTTACACAGCTGGGAAGAAATGTAACCGTGTGCAGGAAAACAGAAACTAGGGAAGGGCAAGGAAGCAATCATGGTGAATGAGGGCTCTGCCATGTCACTGTCAGCATGCAGTGATCTGGTGAGTTTCAGTTCTTTGATGCTTTTTGAGAGGTCTAAAGGTCCTTTCCTGGGAAGGAACTCAGATAAAACTTATATAAGTTTCAAGAGCTAAAACCAGTAGGATCAATTTCTATGTTTATCAAAAAGAACAGTCTATGGGACAATTGGCTCAGTTTCAGGTTGTGTGATGCTACTGGAAAATTATCTAAGAAGAACACTACATACTGGCTTGTCATACTATTAGAAACATTCTCTTTTATTCTATTCATCCTATCATGACTTTATTGGGATTAGAAATCACATTACCTATATATTTCACCAGTAATAGCAAAGAACATTGAGGCTTCCAAAGTAATTTGAGGCAATTAACCTGATTTGCCAGTAAAATAAAAACTTCAATTTTTTTGTTTAATAATATTCTATATTTCAAAATCAACACAATGTTTATGGAAAATAAGTTTTGTTATTCAAATAATTAATCTTATAATTTTATTTCTGAGATTACTGTGATTTGGTATCCCATGCTAGTTTCCCTCCAATTTTAACAAAATACTGTAATGAGACAAGATATTTTCATTCATTGTTAAACTGCACATTTAAATGAGTTTATAATAGCCACTTTGTTTTTCTAGCTTTCTGTTTATTCAAATGGTTTTTTAAATTTAAATGGGCTTTTAGAGGCTACAGTGTCAGGCATTTTATCCCATAATATATATATAATTTTATATTATACATAATAATATTAACTAATTCATTATAATTTATATATTATATATTATATGTATATTATATATTTCATGTATATCTACACATCTATATGTGTATGTATACATGTATGTGTATATATGTGTGGGTATAATATGTTTATAAAAACATTTATATATTTTATATGTAAATATATAAAACCCAAGGCTCCGTTTTTTGAACACATATATGTGCGTGTGTGTGTGTGTGTGTGTATATATTTGAACTGAAGGAACTACATCTTCCAAACCCAATAAGAACACAAAATCCAATTCAATATTGATAAGATTAGTAGTAAGAAATTAAACACCAGAGGCTCCAAAACCTTAGTATTTGGGGAAGGTAAAAAACTCAAGTTAAATAAGCAAGAAACTGCAACAAAATCAGAAAAAAAATTCAGCTTTATGAAGAAAATATGGGAGAGAAACAAAAATCCTTTTACTGGAATTAAATAGACAATTCATACAGCTTTCTTTTTATTTGGCTATGTAGATAGCCAGCCTATTACTTTTTTTGAATTTTCAGCTTTTTTAAATGTAAATTGAAGCTCCCCTGGATGTATTAATAGTCAGAAGTATGTAATACATACAATATGTTCGGTCTCACTATTTGCAGAATTTGAATTGAAATCTCTTTTAATATTCTTGGAAGACTAATGAGAATGAGAGTATAGAGTTTACTGAAAGTGGGGTTTTATGACCTGGTTCAGAATTTCAGTCCCCATGGAAAATGGAAACTCAGTATTAGATTTTACTCCCTTTTGAAATTTGCAGAGTCATGCTACCCACTAGAAAAAGTCCAGGAAAAATAAAATGGCATTTGTCTGATGGCAGTATGCCATCGGACGCCCTCTGATCACTATTATCCCCACACCTCTGGAATTACGGTTGATCAGATTCTCCTGGGTCAAGTTCCAGAGGAGCTTTTAGAATTTCAGAAACTGAAACCCAAGGCCCAGGTTTTGAATTTGAGACAGCGCGTCGAAAACTCTCTCCAGTCTGTTCCACGGATGTTTTACCAGAAATTCTACTTTGTGTTGGGGCAAGAGGTAGCTATTTCATACAAGTCATCCCAACTCTGATTTTAACTCAGAATCCTATGAGTGGTGCTTGCTGCATCCTTAATGTTTAAAACCATGGAGTTGGTCTGAGGACCTGAGACCAACACAGGTTAAGAGAAGGTGAACAAGACAGCTGTCCCTGGGAGGTGTGGATCCTAGCCATTGTCCTCAGTTCATCACTGCTGCTACGTAGGTAAAAGGAAATTTAAAACCCTGGTCAGGGGTCCTGCCACTGTCAGTCCACTCCCTAATGATACCTCTGTATCTCTTTCCTTACTGGTGTGTAAGCTGCTCCAACCAGCCTGGGGCTCAGAGCTCCCACTGAAAAGGCCACTTGCGGGTCCATAATCAGGGATGTCCCCCTTCAGCTGGCCCAAGACCCTTACCAAGTCATAGAAGACCTCATGGTGCTGACAATATCATCAGGTAAGCCAGCAAGCCTTTGTGGCCATGCTGTTTAATTGAGTGCATCTGATTTGTTCGCAAGCGTACGTACTCACCCTACATTTGAACAAACCATTATATCTATAAAGGAAAATAAAAACATCTCAGGACCCCCAAACTTGTTATGGCGAAAGTAAAGTGAAGCCTCAGTCAGGCAACGCCAATATCTTTTTTCCAAATAAAATAACAGATACTTCACAATCTTTTGTTAAAACATTATACAGTAGCCAGACCCCAGATGTTTTGTTGGATTTGATGCCTATCCTCCCATAAACAAGGACATGGCAATTGTAACTTTAGGTCTGCAATCTAAGTCTAGCTTCTAAAAAACTAAAGTCTGTTAGATTTCTCACTGATAACGGTTATTTTCCCAGGAACAGAACAAAGACAACATGAAATCAATCATTCTTCTACCCATTCCTCTTGTCCCCCTTTAAGAAAATGTATAAATGCGAACCATCCTGAAAAGCTCTTTGGAAAACACTGATCTGTGAAAGTAAAATAAATCTTGAGACCCTCAAATCACTAAGCCAATGGAAAAGTCAAGCTGGGAACTATGTCAGGCAGCAAACCTGCCTCCCATTTTATTCCTGTATAGAATAGCTACAAAGATTTTAATAAGCTACATACCTCCCTCAATTGTGAGGCCTCAATTGTGAGGGAGGTATGGAGCTTTTTTAAAACCTTTGTCATCCCTCTGAGGCTCCCTTGAGAAAAATGCATATCTGATTGCTTCCTCTGCCCTACTGCTTAAGTAAAAATGTAGATTCAATGAGCCAGAATAAATTATGTATTCAGTGAAAGGCTGATCAAGGACTCTAAAGAATACAACATTTTTTTGTCTCTTATCTACCTATGACCTGGAAGCCCTGTTGAAAGTTGTCCCACCTTTCTGGACTTAACTAATGTACATCTTACACATATTCATTGATGTCTCATGTCTCCCTAAAATGTATAAAAGCAAACTGTGTCCCGGCCACCTTGGGCACATGTCGTCAGGACCTCCTGAGGCTGTGTTGCAGGCGTGTCCATAACCATGGCAAAATAAGCTTTCTAAATCAATTGAGACCTGTCTCAGATACTTTGGGCTCATAGACCACAGACCCTCTATCACTGGTGTTTTTCCTGGGTGGACCCTCAAGCTCTGGCTTCATAAACCTCTAATGAGTGAGACTCTTGCCTCAGTCAGTAATTTTGGTTAACATACCCCAGAAATGCATCATCTCCTCCAACCTTTACAGCCATGGAAACTTGATATGATTATTCTTGTGTGCAAAGAAGAATTAACCTAGCAGGCTGCAGAAGGTTTTCTTTATAGCAAGGCCAGCTTGCATGATTGGCCACTGGCTGGTGTCTTAGTCAGCTTGGCTTCCATAACAAAATCCATAGGTTGCTTGGCTTAAATAACAGACATTTATTTTTTCACAGTTCTGGGGGCTGGAAAGTCTGAGATTAAGGTGCTGGGTCTATTTGGTTCCTGGTGACTCTCTCCTCCCGGCTTGCAGAATAGGGCTCCCTTCTCTCTGTGCCCTCATTTGACACAGAGAGAGAGAGAGAGAGCTGTCAGGTCTGTTCTTATAAGAACACCAGTCTTATCTATTGGATCAGGATCCTACCCTATGGCGTCACTTAACCTCCTTAATTAATTCCATAAAGGCCTCATTTCCAAATACAGTCACAGCGCATATCGGCATTTCAACATATGAATTTGGACCAAGGGGACACCATTCAATTTCTATCCACTGGCATATGGGAACTTAGATTTCAGAAGGGTTCCCACTATTCTCAAAATGGAGAAAATGGCTCATTCTGTCTAAACTGTTTATATAAACAGTATCACTTATGCTGCACACCTGCTTTTCTTCCTGGAGTCTGGAATTTTGGAATGTCCTAAGCAGAGGGTGTCTACACAAACAGACTGAATACAAACCCCAGGTTTCCAGGCTCAGGAGAGCTTCCCCAGTGGCCAGCATTTCACGGGCCTTGTTGCCATCACTGGATGGATTAAGCACGCCCTGTTTCATTCCACAGGGAGAGGACTCTTGGAAATTTGTGCCCAGTGGCCTTCAGACTTTTACCCATACACCACTTCTCTTTGTTGATTTTGTTTTGGGTCTTTTGGCTGTGATAAATCATGTCTGCGAGGACAACTACATGCTGAGTTCAGTGAGTCCTTCTAGAAAATCACCAAACCTGGGGGTGGTCTCTGGGACCCCCGAGATACCCCTTGTAACATATTTAATACTTAGAGCCATTAAAGGGCCCATCGGCTCCCACCCATCTAATAAGCAGAAGAGGCAGAATTAAAATGTTGACCATTCTCCATATCCCATTGCTCGGGAAGCAGGAAGCCTAGGAGAGCCAGGGTGACATCATTTTAAAATCAACTTCATCATAAAACTAGCAAGACACACTCGTTGCCAGTCACATGGTCATAAGATGTTTATAGTTGAGGAAATAGCTTAAACATATCTACAAGGACACACTTCTACAAAAACAGAAAGTCTAGATGTCCCCATACCCATAAAAAATATATGCTTTCAGAATAATTATAGTCATGCTTTGATGTACTTACACACTAAAATGTTAAAGCATCATACATTGAGCAGACCCCAGATGTTTTGCTGGCTTTCAAATCAAGATTTCAAGTTGACCTCGAAGCCAAGGATAGTTGTATTTAAATCAATAAAATAATAAATTTTGTCATGCTGTCCACCCACCCACATGTAGGCACAGCTTAGCTTAGTCTTTACATAAACAAGACCCCTATCTAAGAAAAACCTAAAACAAAGATGGGACGTTCCTTCTCTTGCTATCTGAGGACACCCTACTCTGTAATGGAATAGTTTCTGATAAACTTGCTTCTTTCACTGTGCTGTGTGACTCACCTTAAATTCCTTCCTCTACAAGATCTAAGAACCCTCTCCTGGGATCTACATCAAAACCCCTTTTCTGGCAACACCACAACTTCTAACTCCATGTTCTTTTTTTCCCAAAGTCAAATAAACATTCTCTATCAAAGTTTTTGCTGAACTTGAAGAAAATGGCCTGTTCTGGCCACATACATGATGTTGGAGTCCAAGTGTCTGTTACAAGACATTTTGTAAATCTGTAAGCATGCTGTTCTTTCATAGAAATAAGAAAATAAAAGCCTCGAGGCAAAAACATTCTTACAAAACAGCTCCCCTATTAGCTATTTTAGAGGGAAAGAGGGGTTACCATATTTACTAAAATTGAATGCATAGTTGAAGTCTTCTAGAAATTGTTCATAATTCCATCTACTGGTTAAAACTGTAACCGCAGTTTAATCTATATTCATATCCAGTCAAAAAGGTTCATGATCCTATTATTCTCACAAGTGGGAAATTGAAAGTCATTTGTCAATAAATTCTATTTTAATGTTCTTCTCATCCGAGAATTGAGAAATAACATACTGTGTACACATAAGGGTTACAAGTGCAAAAGATCATTTTCAGGAAAACAACAACAACAACAACAAAAAATCACCCAAAATGATGGAACAACATGTAATATTATGTTCAAACCTTTATTTGAATAATAAAACATCTTAATATAATGCAGCACAACAATAACTTGAGAAAATAAGAGCACAAAGGCTTTGATCAATCCTTTTATCAAAATGATTGATAAGTTATGATATGCAGTGTTTAAGATATGTGGATAGGCCAGGCGCGGTGGCGCATGCCTGTAATCCCAGCACTTTGGGAGGCCGAGATGGGCAGATCACCTGAGGTCAAGAGTTCGAGACCAGCCTGGCCAACATGGTGAAACCCCGTCTCTACTAAAAATACAAAAATTAGCTGGGTGTGGTGGCAGGTGCCTGTAATCCCAGCTACTCAGGAGGCTGAGGCAGAAAAATCACTTGAACCCAGGAGGTGGAGGTTTGTAGTGAGCCAAGATGGCACCCAAGCTGGGAGACAGAGCGAGACTCCATCTCAAAAAATAAAAATAATAAAAAATGAAATATGGATAATAATAAAAAATGAAATGTGGATAGACCTAAAGATAAATATTTTTGCATTTGTGAAGAAGTTGCAAATATTGAAAATGATGTAAGATGGCTGGTGATGGAAAGAGGGAATCAGTACAATTGCATTGATTAAAAGCCAGTAGCACTGACACACGCACACATACTGAGTTCAGATCAATGATCACTGATTTTCCGGGGGATACTATACTGACATAAAAAAGAACAAATCATGTTCTTTGCAGCAACATGGCTGGAGCTGGAGGTTATTATCCTAAGTGAACTAAGTCAGACACAGAAAACCAAACACTGCATGCTTTCACTTATAAGTGGGAGCTAAACGATAGGTACACACAGACACAAAGCTGGGAACACTAGACTCCGGGGATTCCAAAAGAAGGGAGGATGTGAAGGAGGTGAGGGTTGAAAAATTATCAAACTGGTACAAAGCTCACTATTTGAGTTTTGGGGTACACTAGGAATCCAAACCCTACCCGTATGTAATATACCGTGTAACAAACAAGCACACGTACCTCTTGAATCTAAATTTTCTTTTAATGGAAAAGAAAAAAGTTATCAGTGATTTTAGGAAACATACAGATCTGTAATGTGACATGCATTGGGTAACTTCACAAAAGGAAGACCTTCAATTCAACGTCCATTCAACATTTAATGAATATTTATTAGGCACCTACGTTTTAAAAATGCCACATGCCAGATAAGCTTCAAGGGATACATTATGTCCATGCAATAAAGTTTGAATTGAAGACTGTATCATCTGCTTGGGGAATGCAATGTACTAAAACATTGTAAATATGTAGCCAAAAAGTGATTCCTGATCAGAGTGATGCTGGCATACCTCTGTGGAATGAAAATAGATTCACATTATGCCCCAGTATCAGAATCAGTGCAGATTATTCCCTGTGGCACATTGTCCCAATGAGTCTCTGCAAAACACGGTGAAACTCAAGATCATCCACTTCTAGGCTGATTTACATGCCTCTTATTCTCAATACTGCCATTAATAGGCTGCCGCTCACAGAATATGGAATGCGGTGGTGCTATGAATTTTGCTGGCACTGCACTCAGGCACTGTATTCAACGAGGCTCCTGTTTTAAAGGAACTAAAAATTCTCCCATTACCAAATGCCAACTGGGTCAGAGAACAGGCAGGTGTTAAGGGAAGTGCAAACATTTGCTACTCATGTGAGACCACATAAAGTGTCACAGCATTCTCGTTAAAGCCAGTGTTTTACAGCAGGGACTGCAGAAACCAAAGCCTTCCTGAGACTTCCTTGAAAAGGACTTGCATTCAAGACCTTTCTTTGGGTCTTTAAATTTGCAATGCCTCTACGAAAGCGTCTTCAGAAGGGTTTGAATGATCTTCTGCAACCCTGTACCCAGGTCCTAAAGAAGCCTTCACAAAAGGACATCAGTCATCTTCTAGTTTTTCTACTTTTTTTTTTTTTAGCAGTTTTAAAAATTGTTTATTGTTGGCCAGGCACAGGGGCTCACACCTGTAATCCTAGCACTTTGGGAGCTCAGGTGGGAGGATCACTTGAGCCCAGGAGTTTAAGATCAGCCTGGGTAACAAAGTGAGCCCCCATCTCTACAAAAAAATTAAAACAATTAGCTGGGCATGGTGGCATGCACCTGTGGTCCCAGCTGCATGGGGGACTGATACAGGAGGATCACTTGAGCCCAGGAGTTTGAGGCTGCAGTGAACCATGGTTGTGCCACTGCACTCCAGTCTAAGTGACAGAGTGAGACCATGTCAAAAAAAAAAGGTGTATTGTGTTTCTGATTAAAATAGTAAAATATACACAGTGCAGCACATTGGAGAAGAAGAAAATAGCAATTACCCATGGTCTTATCACTGAGAAATAACCAACTGTAACATCTTTCAGTTTTTCCTTCCAGTTTTTGTTAATGCTTATATTTTTCAAAGTTACTCTCAAAACATTACACTATAAGTGTTTCCATTTTTTTGCAGTATTAACTTTTTTCTTTTTCAATTTTTATTTTAGAATCGGGGTACACAGGTTTGTTACAAAGATACATTGCATAAAGAAAATATGGTACATATACATCATGAAATACTATGCAGCCATGAAAAAGAATGAAATCATGTCCTTTGCAGGAACATGTATGCAGCTGGAGGTCATTATCCTAAGTGAACTAATGCAGGAACAGAAAACCAAATACTGCACGTTCTCACTTGTGAGTGGGACCTAAGCATCGAGTACACAGCGACACAAAGATGGAAACAATAGACACTGGGGACTACTAGAGCAGGGAGGGAGGTGAGGACTAAAAGACTACCTATCAGGTGTTATGCTCACTACCTGGTTGATGGGACCAATTATACCCTAAACCTGAGCATTATCTACCTTTCTCTAAAGCTGGAGAATGTCCCAAGTGGATCCGTCATACAGAGGCTACTTTCAGCCACTAGTGTTTTATTGAACTTTCAGATTCCATTTCTAAGTCACTGAAGGAGTGGGGGTCCAGTGTGGGATCCCTTGAATGCCTAATGGGGTCTTCAGCGCCAGATACATAATTAGTGGGGCTCAGTGCAAAAGAAAATGTAGGCCTTTTGTGAAAAAAAAAAAAGCAAGAAAGTGATATATTTTTTCTGTGATCTCAATCTCTCCACCTCTCATAGTGTTTTTATTTGCCTTTTTAAAATTTGTTATTCTAAACTATTTAGTACATAAAGGTTGTATCAAGGTGTATAACAGCATGACTTTATACCTGTATACATTGTGTGATGATGACCACAAGCTAATTGCTTAACACATTCATCACTACCATGCTGTACTTTCGATTCCCAGATTTTGTTCATCCCATAACTTCAGGTTTTTACCTTTGACCAAAATATCCTTATTTCACCTGCCCCTCAGCTCCCGGTAATCATACTCTATGCATTTATGATTTAAACTTTTTTAGATTCCACATGTAAATGGACATGCAGTATTTATCTTTCTGTGCCTATTTTATTTCACTTAATGTAACATCCTCCAGTTTCATGTGTGTTGTTGCAAAGAACCAAATTTCCTTCTTTGTAGATTCTGAAGAGTATGACACGGTGTACATACACTGCATTTTCTTTATCCATTTGTTCACTGATGAACACTTAGGTTATTTCTACACCTAGGCTATTGTAAATAATGCTGCCATGAACATGGGAGATGCAGATGTTTCTTTGAGATATTTATTTCATTTTCTTTAGATATATCCCCAGTAGTGAGGTTGCTGGATTTTATAGTAGTTCTGTCTTAATTTTTTGAGGAAACTTCATACTGTTTTTCCTAATGGCTGGGCCAATTTACATTCCCACCAACAGTGTGTAAGGATTCCGCTTCCTCCACCTCATCACTGGCACTTGTCATCTTTTGTCTTTTACTTCCATAACATTGCTCTTGGCAATAATTTTTTGGATGGGCAACAAAAGCAAAAAGAATACAAATAAGATTGCATCAAAGTAAAAAGGTACAGCACAACCAAAGAAGCCATCAACACAGTGAAAATGCAGCATTATAGCAAAGGAGAAGATATTTGCAATCTATATATCTGATTAAGGAGTTAATACACACATTATAAAAGGAACTCATATTCGTCCATTCTAGTATACCTGAGACTGGGTAATTTATAAAGAAAAGAGATTAATTGGCTCATGGTTCCACAGGCTGTACAGTAATCATGGCTGGGGAGACCTCAGGAAACTTTCAATCATGGCAGAAGGTGAAGGCGATGCAGGCACATCTTACATGGCCCGAGGAGGAAGAGAGAAAAGGGAGGTGCTACACACTTTCAGACAACCAGATCTCATGAGAACTCACTCACTATCATAAGAATAGCAAGGAGAACATCTACCCCATGATCCAGTCACCTCCCACCAGGCCCCTCCTCCAACATTGGAGATTACGATTTGACATGAGATTTGGATGGGGACACAAATCCAAACCATATCAGAACTCATGCAACTCAATAGCAAAAGAAAAAAAAATCACCAGATTAACAGACAGATAAAGGGCCATTTTTCCAAAGAAGACAAATGGCAAACAGGTATATGAAAAGGTGCTTGCTAGAATTTGGATGTCTGTCCCCTCCAAATCTCATGTTTTCATTGCATGTCAGTGTTGCAGGTGGGGTTCAATGGGATGCTTCTGTGTCACGCAGGCAGACCCTCATAAATAAATAGGTTAATGCCCTTGGAGGGGGTGAGTTCCTACTATTAGTCTTCATGAGAGCTGATTGTTAAAAAGAGCCTGGCTCCTCCCTCTCTTTTCCTTCCCCTCTCGTCATGTGATCTCTGCACACACCAGCTCCCCTTCGTCTTCCACCATGCATGGAAGCTCCTTGAAGCTCTCACAGAAGTGAATGCTGGCACCACGCTTCTTCTACAGCCTGAAGCATGGTGAGCCACATAAACCTCTTTTCTTTATAAACTACCCAGCCTTAGGTATTCCTTTATAGCAATGCAAAAATGGACTAAGACAGTGCTCCACATAACTAATCATCAGGGAAATGCAAATGAAAACTACAATGAGATACCACCTCATTCCTGTTAGAATAGCTTTTATTTGCTATCTATTGCTGTGCTCTCTCTCGGGCATGGGGGTGTTTGTGGGTAAGTGCACACCCGCACAGGCACCCAGGGTCATGCCTGACACTTGGTGTGTGCACCTGACTGTGATACTCCCCAAACATGTGGTCGGGTCTCTGCAGGAGTGCGAGACAATGCTTGACGCTTGGTGGTCACACACCCATGAAGTCGGTCCCAGTGGGACTGCACCGTCATCACCATTCACCACCAGCACCATGTTGAAGAATCACATTCAGATTAAAAATAAATAAAATGCAAGCATAAAAACTTTCTCGACCAAGTCATTTAAGATGCAGATAACACAGATGACAAAGAAGAACAATTCTATTTTAATTGTTATGAAATTTTAGGGCTTGCACTAAGAACCTCATCTTTCAACATTTGTCTGCCAATGACAATAATAAAAATAATGGCTAAATATACATATATACACATATATATATATATATGTTCACCCCTTATTGCTGTGTGTTTACTGTGTTCCTGGCACCAAGCTGAAGGCTTTATAGACATACTTTTATTTAATCTTTACAAATTCTTACAAGGTGTTAACTGTCATGTGCCCCATGAGGTACTTCACAGTAAAATCTTTGGGAGTTTGAAACATGACCTAAGGACATGAATCTCTCAAGTGGCAAAACTGGGCTTCGAAGTGAGGTCAAGCTAAGCTCAGAGCACACATGTTTAAATAAATGCCCTCCTGCCTCACACTATTAAATACTTTTCTCACACATCATCCTGCCTGGAATGTCTTTGAGAAGCTAACCCTAACATGAGGCAAAGGAGTCATATTTTCCTGCACTCTTTTTCTCAAACCTATTTGTAAATTGATATATATGCATATATTTTGGGAGTACCTGTGATATTTTGATGCACTCAAATAATGCGTAATAATAAAATCAGTGTAACTGGGACACCCATCACCTTAAACATTTATCTTTAGGCTGAGAACATTCGACTTATTCTCTACTAGCTGTTTTGAAATACATGACGATTGTTGTTTAGTAGAGCCACTCTGCTGATTTATCAAGCACTGGGTCTTATTTCTTCTCTCTACCTGTAGTTTTGTGCCTATTAACCAACTTCTCTTCATCCTTCTACCCCTTTACCCTTTCCAGCCTTACTAAACTACAAGGAAATTTAAAGGATACTGTATTCATCTGTTCTCACGCTGCCATAAAGAACTACCTGAGACTGTGTAATTTATGAAGAAAAGAGGTTTAATTGGCTCACAGTTCTACAGATTGTACAGGAAGCATGGCTGTGAGGTCTTAGGAAACTTATAATCATGGCAGAAAGTGAAGGGAAAGCCAGCATGTCTTTACCATGGCAGAGAGAGAGAGCAAGAGATTGAATGGGGCAGTGCCACAGACTTTTAAACCATCAGATCTCGTAAGAACTCACTCATTATCACAAGAACAGCAAGGGGGAAGTCCCCCCATGATCCAGTCACCTCCCAGCAGACCCCTCCTCCAACATGTGGGGATTACAATTCCAGGTGAGATTTGGGTGGGAACACAAAGCCAAACCATATCAGATACCAAAAATGTACAAACCATATCAGATACCAAAAATATAAATCGATAATTGATGGAATGACAATGAAAGGAAAATAATACATCCTGGAAAAAGATGAGCAAACAAACAAACAAACAAAATGTAACATTTCCATCTACCCATGCATTTAGTCATTGAACGTGAGTAGTGAGTCAGGACTATTCTGAATTATGAGGATGTAATTTTCACTTTATTGCAGGGAAGCTCTATGCAAACACGTGAACAAGAAAATATACAATAAGCCAGGTGGGAGGTGAGGGATTTAAAGAACTCTAAAGCAGGATAAGGGTCTGGAGGAGTGTTCTGGCTTGACCAAGGGACACCTTTCTCAGGGGGGTCATAGTTGAGCTAAAAAATAAACAGAGAGAGCAACAGCCTTTGGCGCTATCTCTGATAGAAAAGTATTCTATGCACTAAGAACAACAATAATAGTTTTATTTCTTATCTTTAACTATTATGGATACACAATAGATGTGCATATTTATGGAGTGTATATGAAATTTTGAGACAAGCATACAATGTGTCATGATCAGATTAGAATAATTGGAGTACCCATCACCTCTAGCTTTTATCATTTCTTTATGTTAGAAACATCTCAATTCCACTCTTTTAGTTATTTTGAAATAACAATAAATTATTGTTAATTATAGTCACCTGATTGTACTACTGTGGCAGACTGCCACAGTTACTACTTGAGACCGTCACTGCAACAGTTACTACTGTTACTACTTGAGACCATCATTACAAGACTGAACAAAAGGGGACGAATGTAGAAATGAAAACTTAAGACAAAAGAAACTGTTTTAAAGAAGAGGTTTGGGGAAGAAGAGGAGGGCTCCTTGCTTCTAGTGAGCAAAGGCAGCAGCCCTGAACTTCTACAGCCCTTCGTATTTATTGGGTAGAAAGAGCAGGGAGGAGGAGGTAATGACTGGTCAGCTGCTTAATTGATCACAGGTTCACATTATTCCTAACAGGCTTCAGATGCATCTAATCACAAGCAACACTGCGCTTGGGGCATGACTGCCCTCAGCATTCCTTCTGGGCGGCAGATACAGTTTGTCAGTTTGCCAACATTCTGCATTTACGAGAACAGTTTGCTGTTTACTCATATAGCCTCCAGTGGTATACTGAGTTGATCATGACCCTCATTCTTTCAGCCTGCGACATACTACCAGACACTAGATCTTATTCCTTCTATCTAACTATAGTTTGGTGGGTGCAGTGGCTCACACTTGTAATCCCAGTGCTTTGGGAGGCTGAAGTGGAAGGATTGCTTGAGGTCAGGAGTTCGAGACCAGCCTGGGCAACAGAGTGAGACCTGATCTCTAAAAAAATTTAAAAATCATCCAGGTGTGGTGGTGTGCACCTGTAGTACCATCTACCTCAAGAGACGAGGTGGGAGGATCACTTGAGCCTGGAGTCTGAGGCTGCAGTGAGCTATCATCACACCACTGCACTCCAGCCTGGGTGGCAGAGCAAGACCTTGTCTCTAAAAAAATAAAAGTCAAAGATAAATTTAAAACAACTGCTTTTTGTACTCATTAACAGTAGCACAGGCAGGCTGCAAAAGAGATAGAAAGGGGTAGAAAAGAGTGGGGAATATAAGAATGACATTTTTTATTTCACAAGAGAGTATGGGAGGTTTGCACAACAGAGGTGGTGGCATTGGACAGGACCACTGCACAGGTGTCAGCAGGACTGGCTGCATCCATGAATCTGATATATATACATGAGGAGATGCAGCTGAAGGACCACATGAAATCTTTTTATTGTTTCTATTCTTCAGTAAAACCAGGTTCAATAATCAACTGAGAATAAAGGGCAAAAAAGATATTTCAAAAGAAAAGAAAGAAAGTGAAACTTCTCTCCAGAAGACTGTCTGAATGTCCCGGGGAAATGCAGTAGGATTCTAAAGTACTATTATATACCTACTTGAGGTTTGTTGTCATGGACTTAAAGGGAATGCATCGAAGTGGCTGTTTCTTCTTTTCCAGCACCGCTAGCTGCCAACCACAGTCGGTAACTTACAACTCTGTACCAATAACAATTAATTTATATAAATAAAGGTGGACTGAGCCATGGGCTGCAGTTTGGCAGCCCCTGGTACAGATCTGGAGAATAAGAAACAGATGTGGGGTGCACAATAAGATCCCAAGAGAGTTGAAGTCTGCAACAGAGAAGGAGAATGTTAGAACGGTTATTACCATGACGAAGTTCAATGAAGTAAGAGATGGGCTCGCGTATCCAGGCTCTTTCTAAAGGAGAGATTATAATAACAGACTGTCTTCTAGATTGTGCACTGGTTAGGTGGGAAAATGCATGTAGGGGGTGGGGATAAAGTAAAAAATGGTATAATGAATATTGAAGGTCATGGTGGGGTTAAGTTGTTATAGTCAGGGTAGAAATAGTGAACCAAAAAAGATGGGAGTAGAAGCTAAAACAAGGAATGCCTGGGCAACAATGAGAGACACTGTCTCTAAAAAAAACAATCAATTAATTTAAAATAAGTAAATAAATGTAAGTCCAAATGAAAATTGTTGCTGGTGTTAGTTGCACCACATTATAAATGTATTTTACACCATGAAACTGTACATTTAAAAATGATTAAGATGGTAAATTTTATGTTGTATGTATTTTACCACAACAAAAAAATATATAAATGTCTTCCTTTTGAAGTGAGTTCAAGGCCAAGTGCAGTTGCTCAGGCCTATAATCCCAGCACCTTGGGAGGCTGAGGCAGGAGGATTGCTTGAGGCCAGCAGCTTGAGACCAGCCTGGGAAAAATAGTGAGACCCCATCTCTTCAAAAAAAACTTAAAAATTAGCCAGGCATGGTGGCATGCACTTGTAGTCCAGCTACCTGGCAGGCTGAGGCAGGAGGATCGCTTCAGCCCTGGAAGTCGAGGCTGCAGTGAGCTATGATTACACCACTACACTCCAGCCTGGGTGACAGAGCAAGACTCTGTCTCTATAAAGAAGGAGGAGGAGAAGGAGGAGGAGGAGGAAGAAGAAGGAAGGAAATGCAGCATATTTATCCACTGAAGCATATTTATCCACAAGAGCATATTTATCCACTAAAAATGAAAAATGCTGAATCATTCAGTTTTTAATGGGTGGCACATCTCTAGGTCTTGAAGTTCTACTGGGGAACAGAAACTAAGAGCTCGTGATGAAAATATGAGCCTAATTTAATGGCAAATCTGCAGAGGAAAAAAAAAAAGCCCAAAGAGTTTCAGTGTGCAAAATGAAATCTGTCTTTTTCCCACATTAAGAATGGGAAATATAGTTCATTGAAACCCGAACTGTCACATTGCAAAGGAAAACCTTAATGAGTATATCAAGCATCTGCCACAGTCACAGAAAAAGCTGAAACAACCAATAGTATGCCTAATTTTTAAACAATGTGTTTACTCCATGTGGACTTCTGTAATTCTACCAGCATGTAATGGTTTGATGTATGATATGGGATTGTTGGATGATACCTAACAATTTCATTTAGTGCTTTCTATATGCAAAAGCTGCTCTATTATTTATTTCACAATTATTCTTTGATCTAACAAATGTGTTAGTTGTTTTTCTGATTTCTATTTGTCTTTTTAAATTTTCTTATGTTTCTAAGTGCCATAGATTTAAAATTGGCATTCCGTGAAAGGCAAGTGAATTCAACGGAACTTTTCGAAATTTCTTTTAATCAATTCTATCCTCAGTTTTTTGTTCTTCTTTTTCTATTATTTTATAATGCCTGCCTTGGCTTGACAGCTGATTTCACTTCCTTGGACTTGAATCTATCTAAGCAAACAACTCCAATAATTTCAACATCTCTCATCTTCCAACAATTGGCCCTTATCCCTGACTTATTGAAATTATTCATGCATGATTGACTTTATCCACTCATATGCATGATCAGTCAACTGTCACATGTTGGAGGGCTTCAGAGGTGTGTGTCTGAAAGAGTAACTTTTCTCTGCAGAAAAAGTGCCAAGGCCACTGGCAAACATGCACCTAATGAACGCTCTCTGATGTGGATAAGTTAACAGAGAACTTAGCCCACAGACTTCTGGATTCTGCATTGTTAGGTAGGACTATACAGCTATGAATTCATCCATCATCATCTGATAAAACTGTAAATGTGAATCCAAGTGGAGCTTCTCTCTATGTGTTGGTCTCTGCTACCAAATCAAAGCAGAAATTTGTGAACATTACTTGGATCACTAGAGCAAAAGGAAGGCTTTATTTGTGAATTCTCTCCTTTTGGGCTTTAGCTGGAAATCAAGCAAGCAAGTTGTGTGATATCAAAAAAAAAGAATGAGGTTAACTTTTTTTGTTTTGTTTTGTTTTTGAGACAGAGTCTCACTCTGTTTCCCAGGGCGGAGTGCAGTGGTGCAATCTCAGCTCACTGAAGCCTTGACCTCCCCAGCTCAGGCAATCCTCCCACCTCAGCCTCCCGAGTAGCTGGGTCTACAGGCACGCACCACCATATTTGGCTAATTTTTTGTACTTTGTGAAGAAATGGGGTTTTGCCATGTTGCCCAGGCTGGTCTCGAACTCCTGGGCTCAAGCGATCCTCCTGACTCAGCCTCCCGAAGTTCTGGGATTACAGGCATGAGCCACAGTGCCCCAACTAAGCATGGTGATTTCCTATTATTGGGTTGGTTAGTTGGTTGGTTGCATACTATAATGTCAGATTACAAAAAAAAAAAAAAATCCCTCCCTGGTTGGTTTTATCAAAAAAAATCTCAGTATTACCTCTTTTGATATTCATAGTTTTGTATATAAATAAAGACCCCATCACGAAATTTGAGTAAGAAGTAAACCTTGGTTATAAGACACTACATTTGTGGAGTCATTTATTACTGCAGCTAAACTTAGCCTAAGCTAACAGCTGCAGCATTTACAAAGTAGCACTCATACAGGAAAATGTATACTTACCCCAGCCATTCCCCCAAAAAGAATGCACTTAAAGTAACACATTGAGGCCGGGCGCGGTGGCTTACACCCGTAATCCCAGCACCTTTGGGAGGCCGAGGCGGGCGGACCACAAGGTCAGGAGATCGAGACCATCCTGGCTAACACGGTGAAACTTCGTCTCTACTAAAAATACAAAAAAATATTAGCCAGGCGTGGCGGCGGGCGCCTGTAGTCCCAGCTGCTGCGGAGGCTGAGGCAGGAGAATGGCGTGAACCCGGGAGGCGGAGCTTGCAGTGAGCCGAGATCGCACCACTGCACTCCAGCCTGGGCGACAGACCGAGACTCCGTCTCAAAAAAAAAAAAAAAAAAAAGTAACACATTGAAACCTTTCTTATTTTCAGGTATAAAACAGAATTAGCTACCAGTTTTTAAAATTCCTTATTCAGAACTGCTGGAAAGACAACCTTCCCCCTCAATACACACACACACACACACACACACACACACACAACTTTGCATTTGCCTAGCTGTAATTCTTTCCACCGATTTCAATTTTCTAGGCAAAATGATGCGGTAAGCATGTACAATTAAATGAGGTGATGATGCATTCAGTAGTCCACAATCCAGATAAAATCAATATTGAGCTTGCATTGGGAGCTGAAATCATCACTGTGGATAGCCATGTGGATTTAGTGAATCTCAGGGTAATAAAAATATAACAAGACTCTCGTCCATGACTTTGGGCCTGCAAGTTGAGGCATTATGAAATACATCAAAGAAAATAAATACAGGCAATTTTTATTAAAATGTCCATTATCCAAGTGAAACAGATAAATAAGGAGATTGTAATTCAAAGGAAATATGAATAAGAGGAAATCATCAAAAGAAAAATTCAGGGATTTTATCTTCTTTTATCTACTTGCCTCAACTCCCCACAGACTATTTCAAGGGAAGTCTAAGACATCAAAAGGGGGAATGTATTCTTCTCAGCATGAATGCATTTGATTTGTAAAGTAGGGAAAAATGATTCCAACCTCACTGGATCATTATGACAATGAAATTTTAAAAATTAATGGGAAGTTCCTTATATTATAATCCATTATTTTTAAAATGCAATTGTAAATCCCAAACTTCAAGGAATTCAGAGAGTTTTGTCTTCACTTCTCCCAATAACTAATTTGGGTATGTCTTTTGTGCACAGGAATCATTTATCCACACAAACATATGCTTAAATGTGCACATCAGAAAATGGGGCAAAGAGCTTCTGACTAATTTCCCACCACCTCTCTTTCGGTGTGTTCTAAGAGCCACATGAACCCTGGGTGTGCTATTTCTTTCTCATTCATTCTTTTTGGATTGCAGAGGAAGCACACCCTGCACCTGCACATTGGGGTTTCTCTTTGTCAGGCATCTAGCAAAGATGTGATTTTAAAAGGAACTAGGCAGAGAAGAGAACATTGGTTGACAAGTTCGAATTATTTGTTTATGTAAATAAAAGATGACAACAGTGGCACCCCTGAAGATATATATTGATGCTGACAGCCTCACATGCAACAGTAGAGCATGGGTGTTTTACATCCCAGCAATAGAGGGGCATACTCTTCTTTATAAGGAATAAAGACTTGCTTATATGTTAGAATGTTCCAGTGACAAGTGGAGCTGGATTCAAATCCAGCTGTCACAGGCTAGAGAACCCTGAATATGACAGTGGGCAAGGAGCTCTTCACACGGTAAAGCAGAGAGAGGTGAAATATAGATTATAGATAGATAGATAGATAGATAGATAGATAGATAGATAGATAGATAATAGATAAATAGATGATAGATACATGGATAAATTAAATAGATAAGTAGATAGATGATAGATAGATAGATAGATGGATAGATAGAGAGATAGATAGATGATAGGTAGATAGAACAGATGATTGATAGATAGGCTAGGTAGATATAAGAGAGATACATGTGATGGATAATATTAACAGATGGGTAGATGGATACATAGATAGATGGATATATAGATAGTAGAATAGATACCTGATGATGATATATAGATACATACATATTATGACAGAATAGACAGCTAAAATACCTGATAGATACATGATTGATAGAAAGAGATAGTATACATAGAAGATTATAATGATGATGAACAGAGATAGATGATAGGTAAATAATAGAGATGAAGATAGATAACATAGAAACATATTAGGATACATACACGATGATAGATACATACATACATAGATGACAGAATATATAGATGAGATTGATAAGATACATGATAGATAATTGGCAGAAATAGAGAGATAGTATACATAGAAGATTATGATAATAAAGATAGATGATAGAGATAGATAAATAATAGAGAGCTAGATAAGATTCATAATGAAGACATACGTAGATTGATAGATGAGATAGAAAGGTAAAATAACATGATGATGAAGATAGATATATGATAGGTAGATAAAAGAGATAGATAACAGATTAGATAGATAGATAGATAGATAGATAGATAGATAGATAGATAGATAGAGAAATAACTCTGCCTAGAAGTCTGCCATGGACCACTTGAGGGAATATCAGTTAAAGTGTAGTACAAACATGCTTGGCACAAAGCCACTATTGAAATTTTATCTGTATTTTGCCTTTTCTCCCCCAGCTTCTCATATATCTATTAATTCAGTAAGTCCCATTGGTAATCCATGTTTGCTTTTGAGGAGTAAGTGTACCATGAACAACACATAACTTTTTTAAGTGTGCTAGTATTACATATTCAGCATTTCTCCTAAATAACAAAAACTCAGAAAAATCTGACCTCGAAGAGATGATTCCATTCTGCAGAAGAGTGGATATTTATTTTCCTGAACATTTTTCCCAGTGCATCATGGCCAGCAGGGAACCAAAGGAGACTAAACGCTCATAAACTCAAGAGTCACAGAGGCCACTTTCTTAATAAAGCTTTAAAGTTAAAGAGCTAGTCACAGACAACAAGCAACCTTAGGTAAGAGCAGTTGCAAAGCACGAGGGTTTAAAGGCATCCCTCTAAGCTAAGCCCATGGAATCTGTTCGCCAGATTGTGTTTTGTTTGAGAATCTCCTTCATGAGATGCTGGGCCATTCTCCATTAAATGTTGCAAAAATCTTTTATGGGAAGCTACAGCATGTTCTATCTGTCACCTGCTCATTTACTTTTAGAAAAAGAATAAGGAGATTTGCAAATAATCTCAAACAGGGACTCGAAGAGCTATTTGTACACCCAATTCATTCACAGTAATCAAAAGATGGAAGCAAACCAAGTGCCCATCACCAAATGAATGGATAAACAAAATGTGATGTGTTCATGCAAGGGAATATTTTTCAACCCTAAGAAGGAAGGAAATTCTGACACCTGCTATGGCATGGATGAACCTTGAGGACATCACACTGAGTGCAATTAGCCAGTCATAAATGGTCAAATACTGTGTAGTCTCACTTATACAACATCCCTGGAGTTGTCAAACCCATAGATAAAGAAAGTAGGATGGTGGGTGCCAGGGTTGGAGGAAGAGGGATAGGGAGTTAGTGTTTAATGGGGACAGGGTTTCAGTTTGGAAAGATGAAGCCATTCTGGAGGTGGATGGTGGTGATGGTTACGCAACGTGAATGTACTTAATGCCAGTGAAGTGTACACTTAAAAATGGTTAAAATGGTAAATTTCATGTTACATATAATTTACCCCAGAAATCAAATTAAGGGATTTGCATCAACTCCAGATTCTAGGCCGATAGTGAGTAACCTTGAATGTTTTAGTTATTATCATTACTCACCAGATAAAATGCTGAAGAGTTTGTGTTAATGCACACCTTAGAGATCATTTTTAAACCTTTAAACTCCTTGAAGATGGTAAATGAGAGATGACATCTATACACAGTGCCTTTTTATAGAGCGGAATGTTATACAGAGTGATGTCATCTTTATAACATGACTTGTAGAGTTTCTTTCTTTCCTGCAATATCCTCAGGCTTGTGTTTAAATATAAATGTGCAAGCTTTTGCTCAACTTGCCAAATGAGAAAGGTTTTTTCCTTAAAGGGGCCTCTTCTCCATTTGCTGTGGTAGAAATTTTGTATCTGTAGATAAGGTATTTTTATGCTAAAAAATGGAAATCTCCTTAACAGCAATAATGAGTAAGTAGGCTACATTTTCATATTTATGCCAACATATGTTTTACATCCATTGACATGAGTTGGTTTTGTTTTTTTTTTTTTTTGTCCTTTTCCTCTGGAAGATGCCATCATTTCATCTGGCTTTATTCTCCACTTTTTTACAAATAAAACTTAGGTTGTCTATTTTTCTGACATATTCCTGCTTTCCAAATCATGAATCCTTCCACATTTTCTCAATAACTTTAATCTTTCATTTATTTCTTTTTTCATAAACCTCTCTAAGAGCATTATATGTTGGAAGAAAAATAAAGTAATCCCCAAGCCTTCCACTCTCCTCCTGCAAAGCCATTTTTCAGCATCCTTCACTCATCCTTTTTTGTAAATCTTAAATTGGGGAACTTTTGAGTGCTAAGTGCATCAATCCACATTCTTACTTAAATTCTTCAAACAAGTATATACACTACTGGATTTTAAAAATCATTTTTAAAGGAGAGGGACTTTCCAAGAACAGATGGGTGACTGTTAGGAAGAACCAACAACACTTTTAAAAAAGAGAGATGACAGATGGGCTATTAGGTTTTTGTCCTACAGGTACACCATATCCTTGTCTGGCTTGCTTTTTAAACCACCCTATAACAAGCACCTGGGAAGCGGTAAGGCCCAGGATCACAATCCTTTTCTTGAGCTCTTGTGTGTCTGTCTCTGCAGAGGCTGCAGAGGCTGCAAAGTCCCCCAAAAAGCATTAGCATGGATTATTGACAATGGAGCCACCAGGACTTCGTTTTTGAGTGGATTTGCTCAGCCAGAGTTCTGGATGTTCTGAAGTACTTGGACAAATATTTCCAAAAGGAAAGTTGTCCACAGCGAGCCGTGGTTTTTTTTCTAATGTATAATGAGTTCCATTTTGCTGGCTTTCTTTTGATTATTAGACAGATAATGATGTCCTGAAGAGCAGCTACCAGCAACCTGCGCATCTCAGCCAGCAAGAAATTATATGTGGACCGTACTCTGGACTGGACTTTGCAATTTTGCTAGAGTTCTAGGAAGCTATTTTAGACAGGTCACAGGTCCCTTCCTGGAATATATATTGCTATTCTCCTAGATGGGCCTTCCTTCCCACTTCTCCACCTTTCTCTTACAGAATCAATGCAAGAAAATCCATTGAGCTAGAGACCACCTTAAGCATGAAAAATGTGGATGCAGCTTGAACCACAGCATTAGCAGTCTCGAATATTTTAACAGTCTCTAGCTCTGCAATATCTAAAATGTGAACTCTGTAACCTGGCAGCCCTAATCGTGAGCATGCATATCCACTGGAAACAAACACTGCCTTGTTTTTGGTTTTTGTTTTTGTTTTTTCCATTGCTATGCAGGGTTTCACACTCCCACGACACTGTGCTTTTGCTCTTTTGATGGAGCAAACACTCTTTCCATTTGCTCCACAACGAAGCGTTTCAAAGATAAAGATTTATTAAAAGCCAGATTGGGGTCAGTGTGATAGAAATTGGGGGACATACTAAGACAGAAGTTTCAGGGACTCCAATGTCTCCTCCTGTTTGCTTCCCTCATCATTAGAATTGCAGTATCTATCGGCCCCCGAAACGCTGCCTGATTGTGTTTGCTTTCCCTGATTGGATGCAAAATGAAAAACCTTCTTTCTCCATGGACCGGCTGCTCTCTCCTCTAATCGACTGCATGCATTGAATCCCAATTACAGGCTAGGAGCCTGATGAATTGACTTCAAGAATATTAATTTAATGCTTGAAATGTCAGCAAATAGAGTGGAGGTATTATTCCAGGCCCAGCTTCTTGAAGTCTCCGTTTGACAGATTGTTTTTAAGGCAGCCTCTGCATGGGAACACCAACTCCGTAAAGCACTGTGAAGCCATCTAACAAAGCAAGTGGAATGCACCCAAACTTTGAAAGCTCAGTCTCTGCTAAGTGGTTGCATGAGTTGGAATAATCAGGCAAAGGGCGAGACAACCTAGAGTCTAGAAAATGTTGGTGGGTGCCTTCATGATTTCGGGAAGCCTTTTCAGCATGAGCTCTGCTTTGCTTTTTAAAGATATTTTATTTATTTTATTTTTTAGAGAGTAAAAGACACACTGTTTTATTGCATAGGGTCTCTGGTTATGATGCAGACCCCGGAACTAGGTTGCAATGCCATAGGCATATCTAGAAATGTGAGTTCACATCCATTGATACCATATGCACTTGCAGCTCCCTGTTGGGCTCAGAAAACAATACCCCACAACGCAGGTCTCCACAGCAGCCTCAGAAGCCAACGTTTCTCTCTGACCATCTCCTGCCAACTGCCTCTCAGTCCCATCCTCCCCCGAGGCACCACAGAAACTAGAATCCCTCTTTCCCAAGGCGGGTCACAGAAACCAGAACCCTTTTTCCCCAACGTGAGCCATAAAACCTAAAAATTGGAAGTTAACTTTCCCTCTATCCTATCTGCATAAAGACTGGCCATAAAGAAATTCCCTGACCTACCTCGTTTGACTGTAGGTCCTAAGAACCCCCACTCCAGAGAGGGTCCCGCCGCACACCCAGAAGGAAGGAGCGCTGCTCAGAGAGGCAAGAAGAATCTAGACAGACAGGCCTGGTTGGGTTTCCACTCAGTCCGTTAGCATTGGATCAGGCCCTTTTTGTCCAACCCTATCTCTACATGGCTGCCCATACTTTGTTGAAGCAAAGCATAAAAATGGACAGCTTCCCCTGTATCTTTATGTCTTCATTCTAAAGGCTCCTCTGTATACATGTTAATAAAATTTTTATCCAATTAATCTGCCTCTCGCAAGTTGGTTTTTCAGTAAACCTTTCAAGGGCTAAGGGAAAACTCTCCTTTGCCCCATACATCCCAACAATCTCTAATCATTTTTAAATATACATAATTTCAACTTTTAGATTTGGGGGTCCATATGCAGGTTTGTTACCTGTGTATATTGCATGATGCTGAGGTTTGGGGTGTGAATGACCCCATCATCCAGGTAGTGAGCATAGATAGCACTCAATAGGTAGTTTTTCAGCCCATGACCCCCCTCCTTCTTTCCCCACTCTAGGAGTCCTCAGTGTCTATTGTTTCCATCTTTATGTCTATGAGTACCCATTGTTTAGCTCCCATTTATAAGTGAGAAACGTGGTATTTGATTTTCTGTTCCTGCATTAATTCAGTTAGGATAATGGCCTCCAGCTGCATCCATGTTGCTGCAAAGGACATGATTTCATTCTTCTTTGTGGCTGCATAGTATTCTGTGGTGTATATGTGTAACATTTTTTTTATCCAATCCACCATTGATGGGCTCCTAGGTTGATTCCTTGTCTCTGCTGTTGTGAATAGGGCTACAATAAACATACGACTACATGTGTCTTTTTGGTAGAATGATTTCTTTTCCTTTGGTTATAAACCCAGTAATGGGATTGCCTGGTCCAATAGTAGTTCTGTTTTAAGTTTGTTGGTCCCCACAATCTCTAATCTTTAGCTTAGAACTTTATATATTGCAGTTTCATCTGCTGGAAATGTCCTTTCTTAGAAACTTCCTCTCCTCCTTGCTAACTTAGATCCTGAGAATTCTCATCCTATAATCCCTTTTCATGTATACTTGCCCTGTTGATGTCTGGAAACACTTACATATCCCTTATAGGCTCTAGGTCAACTTGCTAACACCCTACAGCATATCATACAACGTGGAGACACTAGATGACCAATTTGCTCACAGCTGAACTCCAGTTCTGACACCTGTAGATGCTGCATACATTTGCGTGAATAAATAGGTGCACATGTAGCAATGTATAGAGACACACATGCACCTGTGCCAGAGGCTGACTTTTGTCAGCTGAGGCTCCTGGTTCATTCTGTCTGATGGAAAATAATGTTCCATTTTCTAGGTATATGTGTCATCTGCATGCTTCAGTTTCATTTCATCTATCTCAATTTGCTTCTTGTTCTGCCCCAGGAAAGGCACAATGCCATAGTACTGTTCAAAGGACTTTGTGTGTATTAATATTGTCCACAAAGACTGTTCTCACCACTTATTAAGAAATGAAAATAGGCTGGGCACAATGACTCACACCTGTAATCCCAGCATTTTGGGAGGCCAAGGCAGAGGGATCACTTGAGCTCAAGAGTACTAAACCAGCCTGGGCACCCATCTCTACAAATAAAAAATACAAAAATTAGGTAGGGGGCTGAGGTGGGAGGATCACTGAAGCCCAGGAGTTCAAGGCTGCAGTGAGCTATGATTGCAGCACTGTACTTCAGACTGGGCCACAGAATGAGACCTTGTCTCTGAAGAAAGGGAAAGAGAGGAGAGGGGAGGGAAGGGGAGGGGATGGATGGGGAAGGGAGGGGAGGAGAGGAGAGGCGAGGGGAGGAGAGGAGAGGGGAGGGGAGGGAAGAAGGAAAGGAAGGAGGGAAGGAAGGGAAGAAGGGAAAGAAGGGAATAAAGGGAAGAAGGGAAGGAGGGAAGGGAAAGAGGGAAGGGAAGGAGGGAAGGGAAGGGAGAAGGGAGGGAGAGAGGGAGGGAGGGAAGGGAAAGGGAAAGGGAAAGGGAAAGGGAAAAGGGAAGGGAAAAAGAAAAGAAAAGAGAAAAGAAAAATGAAAATAGAAGTATGCACAAAGCAGCACATTATATTTCCTTTAACTTCTGTTTGGTCACCCCAGAAATTCCCCCAAATTCTCTCTTTGGCATGATGTGTCCAAGGTCCCCAAATCTGCCCTCCGATTCCACGATTTGCTAGGAAGACCCATAGAACTCGGAGAAGCTGTGACCCTCATGGTGGTAACTTATTATGGGGAAAGAAAGCAGACTAAATTCTGCAGAAATATCTCCTTACTCATTTCCACAATGATTGTATCAGTCTACAGTTCTACAAACAGTACTTCAAGATTCCCTTTTCTCCACATCTTTGTTACATCTTGTATTCTTTTTGATAGTCATCCTAACAGGTGTGAGGTGGTATCTTTGTGGTTTAGATTTGCATTTCCCTATTGGTTAGTGATGTTGAGCACCTTTTCATGTATCTGTTAGAATATATCAAATCATCACATCACACACCTTAAATTTATACACCTTAGGAGGCTGAGGCAGGTGGATTCCTTGAGCCCAGGTGTTTGAGACTAGCATGGGCAACATGGCAAAACCTTGTCTCAAGAAAAAATATAAAAATTAGCCAGCCAGGCATGGTGGCTTGCACCTGTAGCCCCAGTTACTTGAGAGGCTAAGGTGGGAAGATCACTTGAGCCCGGGAGGTGGAGGTTGCAGTGAACCAAGATTGCGCCACTGCACTCTAGCCTGGGTGACAGAACCAGACCCTGTCTCAAAAAAAAAAAATTACACAACTTTGTTAATTATACCACAATTAAGCTAGAAAAAAAAGAATTTTTCAAAAATAATTGAATGTAGAACTTCATGATAGTATTGCAAAATAAATAAATATAGTTAAATGTTTCACAAATTTGCAAAGGTAAAAGGTACATATGGCAAAGTTCAGGAGAGCCCAGACAAGAGTTTCCAGTCCTTGTCTTCCAGCAGAGTCAGAAGGACAGCACTGAATTCTTCCAGCAACAGTGTGAGACAACATGAATAGAATGATGTCAAGGAGAGAGGGTCACTGGAGTCTTGGTGTCTAGAGTTCTTACAAGGGAGGCAGACTTATAGTTGTGAAGCACTTGCAAGCCTTACCTTGGTTATTAATGCCCCAGTTTGCTCGCCCAGAGGTCAAACTAATACAGCATGGCCCACCACCTCAGGAAAACAAAAATATATGGATTCACCTTCAATCATGTTGTTAGTACAAACTACCTGGCATGGCCCCAGACCCTCATCACAGAGGATATACCTTGGCTCATAGGTTATCACACAGAAGCTGTTCAAGTCCTTTCTTTGGCCCATGGAGGGTTGGACCACGCAAAATCTCCTGCATTCACCCTTAACTATACCCATGCCTACTTGCAAATAAGAACTACCCAAGCGTGTGGAACCTACAGCTGCCACAGAAGTCCACTTGAAACTATCTAGGTTTTTAGAAGTTACTCATTGAATTCCAAGACTGAACAGTTGGAAGGCATGAGTGACCCCAAGACCATTCGAGCTCATCTGTTTTTTTTTCCACTGAGTTCTTTGCTCCTAACTCCTAGTTTCAAAATAATATCTGTACTCCAAACCAATGAGCCCTCCAAAGTACTGTCTATGTGAACATTTGAAGATAACTTTGTATTGTAACTGATTGAAATTGGAAGGCTTTACTTATGTAGCCCGGGGGATGCAATTGAGTTAACTTTGAGCTAATCCGACCCTTTGAAGAGTATCCCTGCCAAGAACCTCAATTATATCTTATTCAAAACAGCTGTTGGCAAAACACAATCATAAAACCATCTGGTTTGCAAGAGTTTATTATGTAAACTTAGTGGCTTCCATGATTTTTAAGGCCATCAGTGCCCCTCGGAAGAGATTCTCTTCCATTGTTTAAGAATATCAAAGTACAACTCCTTCAAGGGACTGTTCTCCCTACAAGCTATTGGGGCCATCAAACCTAGTGGGGCATTTTATTGCATTGATGTTTCTCCAGGACACACGTGCTTTATTGTCATCTTTCATAAAGAACTCCTGCAGGCAATGTTAAAAAGTAAGTATCTAATAAAATTTAGCAATGAGGCTTTGTAAAACTGATGATAGCTAAAAGATAAAAAAGGAAAGAGAGAGAACAGAAGAGAAATATGAATATTGATTTTCCAGGGTATCATTTAAAATTAGAATCAAAGAGGAAGGACAAAGAAGTGCTTGGATCTCAACCGGGGCACCCCTTCCCTACTAACCAAAAACAAACAAGTTGTGGGACTTCAGTGTCCAAGTCTAAGGCAGTTGATTTGCAGGACTTAGTGTCAGAACCTCATAAAAGGATGTCAGAAAAATCCACAGTGTTTGACTGGCCACACCGGCACAGGGGCATTTATCTGACAATTTTGAAGACTTGTTAGAAGCCAAGCACTGGATGTATTGTTGACAATGCTAAAATCACTGAGACTCAGTCCTGTCTATAGGCAGCTCACCCGTCAGTAAATAAAAATAGATAAATAAATAAATAATTTTTTAAACTAGGTCATAGAATAAAGACGAGGAATATGAAGTAGGTGTATTAGTCTGTTCTCACTCTGCTAATAAAGACATACCTGTGATTGGGTAATTTATAAAGAAAAAGAGATTTAAAGAACTCACAGTTTCACATGACTGGGGAGGCCTCACAATCATGGCAGAAAGCAAAGGAGGAGCAAAGGCACGTCTTACATGGCAGCAGGCAAGAGAGAATGGGAACCAAGCAAAAGGGGAAACCCCTTATAAAATCACCAGATCTCATGAGACTTATTCACTACCATGAGAACAGTATGAGGGAAACTGCTCCCATGATTTAATGATCTCCCACTGGGTCCCTCTCACAACAAATGGGAATTAGGGGAACTACAATTCAAGATGAGATTTGGGTGGAGACACAGCCAAACCATATCAGTAGGTAATCATTATATTGAAAGGCGGAGTGCCACATGAAAGATGTTTTAATAAATAACTGGCCCAAAGTAGAACTGATCTCAGAATACAGTTTAAGGCTGGGAACAGTGGCTCACACCTATCATCCCAGCACTTTGGGAGACCAAGGTGGGTAGATCACTTGAGCTCAGGAGTTCAAGACCAGCCTGGACCACATGGAGAAACCCCGTCTCTACCAAAAATGCAAAAATTAGCTCAGCATGTTGGTGCACACTTGCAATTCCAGCTACTTGGGAGACTGAGGCAGGAGGATGGCTTGAGCCCAGCAGAAAATCAGGGCTGCATTGAGCTGTGATGGTGCCACTGCACTCCAGCCTGGGCAACAGTGTGAGACCCTATCTCAAAAAACAAAACAATAACAACAAAATAAAGAATACAGTTTCAATAGTGACAGCTCAATTGATTTCTTCAATAGACCAAATAGCTTGCTTGCTGCTCCTTCAATTCCTCCTTAGCCTTACTTACTATTCTGAGGAGAAGAATACGGAGAAAGAAACGTGTTATTTCTTCATCAATTACATTCCTTGGGATAGTATAGCAGTTTCTGATTGTGCTATAACAAATTATCACAAATGGCGTGGCTTAACACAACAAAGTTTACTCATTTTTAGTTCTGGAAGTAGGAGTCTGAGATCAAGGTGTAGGCAGGGCTGTGCTCCCTCCAGAGGCTCTAAAGGAGGATCCTTCCTGCCTCTCCCAGCACCTGGGGGCTCCAGGCATCCATGGGCTTGTGGCCGCAAAGCTGATGTCTCTGCCTCAGTCTCAACGTGGCCTTTCCTCTGTGACTGTGTCTCCTCTTTTCTTTTAGAAGGACACTTATCTTTGCATTTAGGACTCACTCTAATCCAGAATGACTTCTTCTCAAGATCTTTTATTTAATTACCTTTCCAAAGACCCTCTCTCTCTCCAAATGAGATCCCATCTGAGGTTCCAGGGGATAAGATGAGGACACATTCCACCACAGCAGGGACAATGTCATATTTCCCTTTCCGTCACTTGAAACCAACACATTCCTCACTCACTCTTTTTAGTAGATTTCTACTGAATACCCAGGGTGTAAAGACAAAGGCCAAGCAAATAGAGATATCATCTATGCTTCTTTGGAGCTTACAGTTGAGCCCTGGAGGTTCACTCCTAGAATATAATCACACACATAACCATAGGATTACCAACTGCAAGGGAAAAGATGAAGGAAAATTAAGACTACACGATAAGAACACAGAGAGAGGACCTAGCCCAGGTCTGAGGAGTCAAGATCGTACTTTGTGGTTAGTTCTATAGGAAGAATAAAATTTAACTCTGCAAAGACAGAAAGAGAGGAAAATTCGGCAAAGAAAGTCTCCTGTTCAGAGAGAGAGAGAGAGCTTGATTTTTTCCTATGCAGAGAAAGCGCTTTTGAGGAATTATAAGGAGAAGACCAGGGAGGGTGAGAGTAGAGACCAAGATGACACTTGGGAATTGACTACACCCTGGGCTTTCTCCAGGACTCCGTCATGAGGATGGTGCAGAGGACTGGAAGACGTCACCCTGCTGAATGGAGTTTCCTTGCTCTGAAAATTTACCTATATTAGCAACGGACATTACATGTAGGACATGTTTATTCACTGTCCAAAGGTTAGCTCTTGAAGGTGAGTTATTAAAAAGCTCGCTAGTCAGGATCATTCACGTTGATAGAGTCACTTTTTACAACTGCATTAGGGGTTGACAATATAGTGACTGGGGCCTTTTCACTAGACTTCTGTGACTACAAACTACTTTAATATAAAGTAATTAAATAGTATATTATCACAGAGTAACTATACAACTCGTTGCAAATGACTTATGGAGAACAGGTGATACTCATAATAATATCATACATAATATGAAATAGTATATATAATAAAGAATAAGTGATACATAATAATATCATACATAATAGATGAGTAAAATGCATAATAATCAATATAAGATATGCAAAGTTAATATTATATACTATATTAATTACAGTTAATATAGTATAACAATTATTCATATATATTAGTATATAATTACAATTATTAGTGTATATAATTATAATTATTAGTATATATTATATAACATATATCACAATATATAATATATTCTAATAATTATAATTAATATAGTATATATTAATTATAATATATTATATATGCCAATGATTATAATTAATATAGTATATAATATATAATATAATATATATTAAGAATTATTTGCAAGTAGCAATAAGAATAAGTGATATTCATGACAATATAAAACTAACACAATATAATAAAAGCATGATAATTTATAAATGCATAATATACAAATACAACATACTATAAAATGATTAATTAATATGTAAATATATATGAATTAATATGATATCATGAAATAGCTGCACAACTTATTTATTACAAATAAGTTATACTTATGATATATAAAAGGAGTAAACTGCAGCATACACAAAAGTTGTTATGTTAAAAATATGTAATGTAATAGAAAATATAATTATTCTATTCAAGAGACATTAAAATAACTGACAATTATAATAATGTATATTATAGTAAAATATATCAATATACTTATGTATAAATGTATAGGGTATAATGTGTAAATAATACAATATAATAATAATTATTTGCATCTGACATTAAGAACAAGTCTGCGCAACTGAGGCCTAACTTAAAAGAAATATAGATTTCTCCCCGACTGCTTTCACAGTTTCCATATGCAGCATTTTGTTTCATCTTTCACTGATGCATTTTAGAAGAGCTTGAAAATATTACCCAAGGAATACAGCAACAGTAGTTTATAAAGCTCCTAAAAATATATTGGTAATAATATCATAGAAAATATAAAACTCCACAATGGCATAAATTCAAATCTGTTTATTTCTCTTTTGGGAAAATAATCTCAACTGATCTTTGCAACACAATCTGCCCCTTCCCATGTAGTGAGTTGCCTCCTATGTATGACATGTCACTGGGTCACAAGTACGGATTGACTTTACAACAAAAACACCTGCCCAAGGTGTTTGGATTGATAAGGTGCTGTAGCCAGATACAACACTGTAAAAATTAAAGGATGCACTTCTCTGGAAACTGTCAAGATAGCCAGGGAGATGAGCACAAACTGGAACTGCCTAAGCCAGCCACGGTGGAGACTAACAGCTGTACACTCCAGCAGCTTTTCAGGTTTCCTTGAGTGTAAATCAAAGTAAGTTCCTCCTCTGATAACCCACCAGCTTCTTATTCTCCACCAAGAGCATTCAGTATGATCTAATCTCAATGGGGCCATTTTCGAGAGGCAGCTCATAGCCAGGACTGTCTCAAATCCTAAAAGATATTTGTGGGTTTCCATAAGCCCAATGCTATCTTATTGATAGGCAATCCTACCATGCAGGCTTTGAGCCAACAGCAACAGTTTGCTTATGGAAATGCTGAGAGCTCACTCTGATGGGTACCACCGTCAGGTAAAATCTCCCTGTCAGGCTGCATCTTAAAATGTAGGATACTCTACTGTCTCAACCCTGCAGTTATGCCTCTGGCTGGCTGGCTGGTAGCATCACTGCGAGTGAATCAAACTCAGACTCATACCATCCTTCTGCAGAGACGGACACCATGCACAGGTGGTAACCCCCAATTCTTTCAAAGCCATCATGGGGAAGAGTGATTCATTGTTTACTCTCTGGAGCTGTAATCTCCAAGTCTTAATGCATCCTGACAAGGTAGCCCCACAGGTTGGAGACCACCTTTCTAAACAGAATGCAAAATCTCCATGCCCTGCAAGAATTAGAGGGTGATCCTAGTAATCAGTGTCCCAGTAGTGTCCCATCTGATCCATCATTCAAAGCTCACCTAATTTGTCCTTTTCTTCTTGCATTCTCTTTTTTTAACTCACATCACCAGCTTTGCTGTCATTGTTTCCTTAGTACAGACAGAAATTCAGCATTTTCTTCCAGGCAATTTTAACCCTACCAGAAGTGGGCATGGAAAAGACGATTTCGGTCTTTCTAAGTTGAGCATCTGTCTGCAGTAGGAGCCATTCTCACTCTACCTTTGGTCTGTTCTTTTCCCGAATCTCTTGCCTTCATGAATGGCATTTAAGAAACCAAAGCCCAAGAATCTACCAGATCCTTGATCCTGAACCTATGAACCATATCTGCAATGCTGCTTAAAGCTATCCATGGGGAAAAAATCACTAGTTTCAAATTGCAGCATCTGGTGTTCCTCGAGAGGGAATGAAAAATAAAAATATTGCTCTAAAATGAAGCGGAGGAAATGATACTTACTTCCAAGTGCCAGAAAAAGCTGCCTTTCTCCACCAGAACCCAGCTTTTCTGAGTAATGTGAATGGTGGTAGAATTTTCCCTTTCATCCAGGATAAAGAAGAAGGCAGCAAGTCAAGTATTTTATTTCCATGAGCTCATCGTCCACAACTTCAGGTGGAGAATTAAGGACCTAAAAACTTAGACAAGGAGCTAATATTCAAAATATATGATATGATTTGGCTGTGTCACCACCCAAATCTCATCTTGAATTTCCACGTATTGTGGGAAGGACCTGGAGGGAGGTAATTGAATCATGGGGATAAGTGTTTCCCGTGCTGTTCTCGTGACAGTGAATAAGTCTCACAAGATCTGATGCTTTTAAATTTCTTTTAAAAAAAGAAATTCCCCTGCATAAGCTGTCTCTCTTTGCCTGCTGCCATCCATGTAAGATGTGACTTGCTCTTCCTTGCCTTCTGCCATGATTGTGAGGCTTCCCCAGCCACGTAGAACTATAAGTCCAATTAAACCTGTTTCTTTTGTAAATTGCCCAGTCTCGGGTATGCCTTTATCAGCAGCATGAAAACAGACTAATACAATATACAAACAACAACAACAACAACAACAACAGCAACAAAAACAATTTTATTAAAAAGTGGGCAAAAGACATTTTCCAAAAGAAGACATGCAAATGGCCAACAGGCATATGAAAATACGTTCAACACCACTAATCATCAGAGAAATGCAAATCAAAACCACAATGAGATATCATCTTGCCCCAGTCCTAATGGCTACTATTAAAAAGTCAAAAATAACACATTTTGGTGAATATTCACAGAAAAAGGAATGCTTATGCACTGCTGGCAAGAATGTAAATTAATACAATGTCTATGGAAAACAGTATGGAAATTTCTCAGAGAACTAAAAATAGCACTACTATTTGATCCAGCAATCCCACTACTGGGTATCTACCCAAAGGAAAATAAGTTATTCTATCAAAAAGATACCTGCACTCATATGCTTGTCATAGCGCTATTCACAATAGCAAAGATATGGAATCAACCCAAGTGTCCATGAGTGGAGGATTGGATAAAGAAAATGTGGTACATATACACCATGGAATACTACACAGCCGTAAAAAAGAATGCAAACACGTCTTTTGCAGCTACATGGATGGAACAGGAAGGCATTATCTTAAGTGAAACAACTCAGACACAGAAAGACAAATACTGCATGTTCTCACTTATAAGTGGGAGCTAGGTAATGTGTGCACATGGACATAGAGAGCGGATTAATAGGCACTGGAGACTCAGAAGGGTGGGAGGGTTGGAGAGGGTGGGTGATGAGAAATTATTTAATGGGTGCAATGTACATCATTCGGATGATTGATACCCTAAAAGCCCTCACTTCACCCCCATGCAATCCATGCATGTAATAAAATTGCACTTGTACCCCCATACATTTATAAAAATAAAAATAAATAAATACAAGGCATATGTAGCATGCTTTCTTATTCTAATAAAAACTTAAATAATTGAAGAAGGAAAAGGAGGCTAATGCATTTTACTTTCTCCAAGCCCAGGAAGAATCACGTTTCTGGCCTCATTCCCTCTAGTGTTTTGCATTGATGGTAAACACACTGGCAAATCTGTTTCTCTCCTAGACACAGACCTTCCTCACCATTAGTAACCACCCCAGCTCCAAACCTCCCCATCTCTGTTCTGGATCAATAGTTGAATGATCTTTGGCACTCATCTTGATTGATAATCTAAACACCCCATGCCTGATCACATCAAACATCAAGATGTGTATTGAATATTGATTAAATTATAAAGGTTCACTTCCTACCATTTCTTTAACTATGCTTTATGAGTCTCTGTATTTGCACACTTGCAGTTTGCACACTTGCTGTTAGGATTCTGATAACCTGAAAGAATGAAGGTCAGCTCTCAAGTTTTAGTTCCTATCCTTGACAATATGCCCTAAACAGCATCCTTTTTGGGATAGAGCAGTCCTATAATTCCTAACAAATTTTAATGTAATGTTTAATTATATTTGTCTACACTGCTAGGATCAAAATCATGGGTAAGGAAACTTAAGATATACTGGCAGAGAGGACATTTATTTCTGATCATATAAGTCAGCATCATAAATTTAAATGCTAAGTAGAATATACAACTCAAAGTTCTATATGCATTTACCTTATGCTAGGCCATGCACTTTTAGTTTATTTGCACAACAATAAATTGGGAACTTTGTTTTCCCATTTCCAGGTAATAGACTAGAGCTCAGAAAGGTTTAGTAAAATTTCTAAGTTTGCACAGTTAGTCGAAGCCAGATCTTATTGGGTTTTACTGACTCTTAAGGTCTTACTGGCTCTTAACCACCACTCACTTCACTGATGAAAGTGCCAGAAAGCCATCATGGTTACCAAATCATGCGATGAAAAATCAAATGACAACGCAATAAATTTCCGTGATGTAGATGAAACACAGACTGCGGCAAAACCATCTGTTAGATTTTGTTAGTTAAATAAACCCCAAAATGAATCTCGCAGGAATATTTGCACCTATCCTAACCAAGTGTACACTTATATACATTTATATTTTTTAATGCAAATTTGCATGTACAGGCTATGTTCATGCTCAGAACAAGTCTACTTTTGGAGAGATTATTCTTATTATGCTATGATTATCATCAATGAAAAGTCGAATCATCATTTAATGCATCATTTGCTATGTAAATTGTTTTTCACAGAAAACTGTTTGGTTTGACCTTTCTGGGAGTTGTCATTTCAAACTCATGGTCATTTACATTTTTCACCTTTCAGGAAGGTGCATTGAGTAGTGCATAGCTTGAGTGGTGCATTTCAAAACTATAAAAATATTGGCAGGGCAGTCCTGTGATAGGCAGTCCTGTATTTAAACTCTGCTGTCTTTATTTAAAGTTAGATTCGGAGGAGTCAGGAGCTAACAGTCCATATGGAAGAGGAGGGATGGATCCTGGGAATTCACCCTTCTATGCTCCATGCTAAACTAGATCCATGGCCTTGAAGTCTTTTCTTCACAAACTCTATCAAAATTGGAGCATCAGCCCAATAGTTGAATGTTATTTTACTTATAGAAAGATCCCTGTGCTTTGGGTCAAATAGATTGTGCATGCTAGCAAGCTTACACCCAAACCAGAATGTCCAAAAGAATAAAATGTGGATGAATGAACAATGTTTTAAAATTGCTCAGGACATAGTGTGTGCATTAATTTATATGTCCATGTTAGGTGTTAATAACCATAATTTCTTTAACAATTTAGATTAAAAGATGCATAGAAATTGACATTTTAATAACCACTACTCCTTGTCCCTCAGCTAACTGTGCAATTCTGGGTGTTCACCTTGCTCAGTAAACCACTGCCCAGAAAAGGGTCACACTGAATCTACAGATGAGGTCTCACCATTTCTGAATCTAGAAATGTTGGCGGGTACAATTGCATAGTTTAGCAAAAAAAAAAAAAACATACATACACATATATATGCATATATATATATACACACACACACACAAATGCAATATTTATACATAAATTTGTCATGTCAGAAATTTTGAAGAAAATTAGTATTGATCCTAATTTATTTTTATTTTCATATCTGTTACCCAAAATTTTATAAACCCTCCATTTGTCTGTGGTAATAAACAGTGTTATTCACATGCATGGAATACTTTACAGTTAGCAAAATGTTTTTCCAAATTCTTCTGTGAGCCTCAAAACAATCTCCAGGAACTTAAGGCAGTGTCTTAGTCCATTCGTGCTGTAGAGAAATACAAGAGACTGCATAATTTACAAAGAAAAGAAGTTTATTCGGCTCTCACTTCTACAGGCTGCACAAGAAGCATAGCGCCAGTGTCTGCTTCTGGTGAGGGTCTTAGGAAGTGTCCACACATGGCAGAAGGGGAGGGGAGCAAGCAAGTGCAGAGCACATAGTGAGAGAGGAAGCAAGAGAGAGAGGAGGTAGATGCCAGGCTCTTTTAACAACCAGCTCTTGCAGGAACTAACAGAATGAGAGCTCATTATTATGAGGATAGCACCAAGCCATTTTTGAAGAATTCGCTCCCATGACCCAAACGTCTCCCACCAGGCCCCACCTCTAACACTGGGGAACAATTTCAACGTGAGGTTTGGAGGGCCAAATATCTAAGCTATAGCAGGCAGGTATGCATCTGTTAACCAAATCCTCTCAATGGGCTCTGTACCAAATTCAGTAATAGTATCTCCTCTTCTTCTTTTACCATGAGTGGATACAGCCTGAAGCCCTCATCCAATGCAGATGCTGGTGCCATGCTTCCTGTGCAGCCTGCAGAAATGTGAGCCAAATCAACCTCTTTTTTTTTAAATAAGTTACTCAGCCTCAAGTATTCCTTTATAGCAACACAAATGAACTAAGACGCTACCTCATGTTCCTGGCAGTTGCTGTGAGACTCAAAGAATCTACACCCCAAAACATGGCACATACAGCTATTGAAATTCCTAGAAATAAATATCTAGGCCAAAATGAATATCTCAAAAATGAAAACAAATATAATAAGTACTCAAATCAAGAGGTAAAATTGGAGAGAGCCACTTGTCAAAATGCGAAAGAAAATGAATAGTAAATGTAATTCTATACACATCGATCAAAGCAATGAGCTGCTGCTTATAGCACGGCATGTATGAATCTCACAGCCATACCATCAACTGAAGAGAATCAGATATATTAGAGTTTATAGTATGAAATTCTATTTACACAAAGTTCCAAAACAATATCTATGGTGGTGATAGATGTCAGAACAGGGCTAAACATTGTGAGAGTACTGACTGAAAACAGGGAGGAGTTTTCTGGACTTCTGGGAATATTTTATATCTTGATACAGGTGGTGAAGACACAGGTGTATGTGTATGTAAAAATGTATAAAAATATAAACCTTTATTCCATTGTAAACTTAATACTGTTCACTTTTCTGTATGAAGTTGTACATCAAAAGTAATGATCTAGTGTGTGTGTTTTCAGAATTAAAAATCCATAAGAAATTGGAATAAGCAAAGCATACCAATATTTGATTTTGATTCTTTGGGGAAAATATCATGAACTAGACAAACCACTTTAAAGGAGAGTAGGAGAGAGGAAAAGAAACATGATGTGAATAGAAAGAGAGCAAAAGAGAGAGAAGAGAGAGAGATATAAATAATATTAAGCCCAGAAAAGTAAATAATCAAAGATTCAGTGGAGATTGTAAAGATTAGACAAGAACATTGTGAACTCTGTTCCAAAGTATTTAAAAGTTTGGACAAATTACATTACTTCCAGAAACATATAAAATAAAACATTAAGATAATTTAATATTCATTAAAATATCATTCATTATGATGTTTTTAACTTTATAAATTAAGATATATGAAATAAAACTTTGACCAGACAAATATCAAATAAAGAAATTAAAATAATTAAACATTCTTCCTTAAAAATGTAAACAGCTCGTTCAGTATCATTAAGTCTAACAATATAATGTACCTTGATAACATTTTTAAAAGAGGAAAAAAATCTTCAACTGTAGCCAATGCAGATGCCAATGAGCTGCCCACATAGGGAAGCCCCTGGAGGTCAACGAGTTCACTCTCTGAAGTTGACTACAGACTAAATTTTCAAGATGAACCTGGAGTTTAAGGGTCTAAGGACCTTTTTACCCACATCCCAAGAGTCTTTGTCTTATTGGTGCAGAGAAATAATAATATAAACATAAAATAGTGCCACTGGCAAACAAAGATGACATCAGGAAATGTCTGTTGACTATAGATGTTATCTGATTC